>NC_000002.12:115974466-116277496 GCF_000001405.40 Homo sapiens
TTCATATCAGTTGATTTTCTCATTTAAGTTATAATTTTCTCAGTTCTTGGTATAATAGGTGATTTTTTAATTTTTCTTGGACATTTTGTGTATTATGTTAGATTCTGGATCTGATGTGTGTGTGTGTGTGTGTGTGTGTGTGTGTGTGTGTGTGTGTGTGTATACCCCCACAAAGGCATTTGCCTGTTTATGAGTATTGGCCCACTTTCATGGGCTACGATTCCAGTGGTAGTTTTATTTTCAGAACCTTTATGTTGTTATTTTGGTATGCTTGGTTAATCTGGTGCCACTAGGGGTCCTAGCAGTCCCTCTTGGCACTGCCTGAATGATCAGAATTTCCCCAGACCAGGTAGCAGGATGTCTCTCCATGAAGGAACAGGACAGGCATGGCAGGATACTCCTACTTTTTCACTTATCTCCTACTATTCTGGTGTCTCTGGGAAGTGGAAGAGAGTCCCTAACTCATTGGGACAGAGTGGCTTTCCAATCCAGGCCACCTGCTTCTCTGATTCTTTTCTATTGACTGGAGCCCTTTTCACTCCAGTATCTCTTAGTAAAAGGGGACTCTCAGGCCAGGCAAGAGGAGAGAGGGCCTCCACTGGTAGCTTCTGGAAGAGCTCACAAATGATTCCTCACCAGTGGTGTTGTAGATCATCTCACTTGATATTATCAGAAGAATGTTTGATCTAGGGGAGGAATGCACTGTCTTTTGTTGCTAAGATGAGGATCAGGACAAGCTGGGACTGGGTGGCCTTCCTCTGTTGAGTAAGAGACATGCAAGATGCCCTACCACTGTACTGTTCTGTTGGTCCTGGGGTTCCAAACAATATCACACTTTTCTTCTTTTAGTTCTCCTTTGGTTGTCTCTTGAGCCATTTTCAGGGTTCATAGATGTGCTTAGCAGAAAAGGGAAAGAAAAACAGGTCCATGCCATCTTGTCCCCACTGGAAGCACCTGGATATCATTTTTAATAGACTGATGCAAAGAGGAAACTCCTTAGTGTGAGTAAATAAATGTAAAGAAGTTTATAACTTAAAGTGTTTCTATCCTATAAAATAAAATGTAATGTTTTGTGTATGTTAGGATACTCTTTCTAAAATACATTTATTACCACTTTCTACTTATTGAAAGCTTTATGGGGTTTAAAAATGGCTTTTATGTCAAGATTTCCCAACATGATGATGATGTAGGCTTAAGCAGTTAGATCTCCTCCTCGGGATCTGTTTTGCTACTTAGCACAGGAAATGCTGCTACCCTCATGCCAGTATAGGAATTTTAAGCGCCTCAGTGATACGAAACAGGAATGAAATTTAAATAAGGGAATAATGGGATGACCTTTGGTCAAGAATTGCAAATCTATTACAATAGTCAAGAAGGACAACGAAGATACACAAATATCCCTAATTGGAGGGTGAAATCAAGTCAAAGGAGAAGCTGATAGAACAGAGAAATGTGGGAGGGAGATGTGGATACAGAGTCCCTGGCAACAAGGCTTTACGTCAGAGCATTAAAGCCCAGGTCTTTATGAAACAGGTTTTACCAGAGAAAGAAGTGAAAAATATCTTCACAACAGCCAGAAAAGTTGGGGCTGTGATGGCTCCAGTAAATACGCCCAAATATTGAATGAGCTAACACGGGAAAAAATAAAAGTCTCTGGCATTATCTAAAATCAGCTTAAGTCAAAAGAAAGGTTCTCCCCTGAAGAATCAGAAAATTCTCTTATCTAAAATTGTTTCTCTGTAAGAATGAAGAAAGCAATTAAGCTATTTCTGATTGGCATACACATACATACAACAAAGCAAATATAAAACTAGATTATATAGTCGTGATGAAATAATATTCTGATATTTTAAAATTAAGGTTACAAATATAATTGCCAAATAAAATTATGTACTGAAGAAAATCAAGTAATAACTGCAGACTCTGGATTCTGAAGGCCAAAGATGCATGTGCTGGCCCAAAACTCACATGCTGAGTGACATGGCAGGAAAAACGACAAGGAAGGAAGAGGGAGAAGATAGAGAAAGAAAGAGAGGAAGGGCGAGTGTGGTGGAGTCATGAAACACACCTAAAAGGATTCAGAGAAATTTGGTTTGGTTTTGTTGAAATATTTTATTTTCTTTCCTTTTCATCTTTTTATAAAATTATCCTAACAGTTTAGTCAACTAGGGCAATTGAGTGTGCAAGAGCAAGAAGAAGACTTGCTTTGCCAGTGGAAGGGCCAGGTTAAGTAATAAAAGAGGGAGATCCAGTGGAAGTACTGAGGAAAAGGAGGATACCCAATGAAATCATAAGGAGAATGATTTTGTGTTCTTTAGGATCCAACCAGGAACAAAAACCACCTTAAGTATTTACAACAGAGGCAGTTTTCTGCAGGGTTTTGGTTATACTGATGACAGAAAAGTGAAAGCAGTCAAATCAACAGTGAAGCCACACACAGACTAGCGATGTCAGGAAACATTCCACTCCCAGACAGAGGGACAAGGGGAGAATGAGATTTACCAGAAGCTCAGATGTCACATAGCAGGAGTGTAAACCTTTGCAGGCCTTTCTTGTAGGAGCAGTAGGTAGGAGAAGAGACAGCCACTGACAAGAAAACTACCAGAATCTTCGGCCTTCCAATCTCTTACCAGAGCCACTCATAGGTGGACTCTGGCTGGAATGCAGCTGACACAGTGAGATAAGAATCAGTCTCCCTGCAGCACAAAGCAGGGGAAGAGCAAGAGATTCTCAGGGCAAATAATTTTGTGACATAATGATGCTGGAGAGGTATTTGAGGAAAGAAATAGAGGAAGCACAAATTGGACAGCAAAAGAAGTGATAGAAATCAGAGGCTAAGAATGAACAGTGACTGAGGAGAGTAAAGTAGGAAGCTAGAGATGACGAAGGTGAAGATGGCAATTGGAAGCAGAAGCATCAGGAGAAACAGTAAAGCATACAAATATGTAGGAATGCAAATCAGTATGCTTCCTTACTTTTCCCATCTATGTTTTGCATCTGAAGTGTGCAAGCAGATAAACTGCATAGCATCTCAGGGCAATGAAGGACAACACAGGCTTAGCATCTACTAAATGATGGAAGGATTTCAACAGTGCTAATGATGATGCTGTTAGGAATTTGACAGTATTTGTCCAGACTGCATAGGGAGGTAGATGATTGCAAAAGATGAAAGCAAAGAAAGAATTGAGTTACTGTGTGTATCACATCAAATGTAATTTTGAGTGCAGTTCATCGTAGTAGTTCAGATAAGACCCAAATTGCTACGGATCCAGGTGGATATAGATGGCAAGAGTTATAGGGAACAAATGCCCATCACTTCTTCCAAAAATTAGAAGTGCGTGAAAGGAGAAAATAAGTGAGTAGTTATGAATAGTTATTTTTTTAGAATAGTAAAATTGTGCATATGTTCAGAAAATTGAAAGGAATTACAAATTTCCAATGACAAGTAATTAAGGGAACCACACATATTTTTACTTAAGAAGAGGTTCTAGTCATCTGTTTACATAGTCTTAACTTTAATTCAGCTGATTTTATATGTTAACATTGATGGCTGATAAAGAGATCAAAGTATTTATTTTATAAGTTGTCATGGAAATTTTACATGTACAGCATTGGCAAATGTATCTCCAAACACCCCAACAAAATCATCATACTAATCCCTGGGAATATTTCCAAGCACAGTCTTACGATAACAATTTTAAAAACTAGAAAAAGTGATTCTGTAGTCACAATGAGGGCAAGTGTTGACAAAGAGGACTTAGCAAGTGATATACAGGTGGCTTTAATATAGGCAACCATGTGCTTGCCTCTGGGAAGTATTCTAAAGGACAGGTCCTGAAGAAACACGTAGCATCAGCAGTGGACTGGGTGAATAATCAAGTAAGCTCTGTGACTCTATACCACTCACAATTTAGAGCAGCTAAAGGGAGAAAACTCCAACAAGAAAACCACTGTAATAATTGAGCCATAATTATTAGCATTTTAGAGAGAACATTAAAATTAAGCTCAATGTACCGTGTCTGTCCTTTTAAAAAATGGGACAAAGGAGTCTGGGTAAAAAGTCATCCAAAGTATAACAAAAATGAAGTAATGTTGGAAATCTGTGGCTATAGTGAGATGTAGTTAGGAGATTTCACTTTGACATTTCAGTATTTATTGATGTTATTTCAATAGATATTGGAGTACAAGTGACTTTTGGTTACATGAATGAATCTCTGAAATTGTGAACTGTGCTGAAATTAACATGTGTGCATGAATCTTTTTCATGTAATGACTTATTTCCATTGGGTAGATAGATACCCAGTAGTGGGATTGCTTTATCAAATGGTAGATCTACTTTTAGTCCCTTAAGGAATCTAAATACTGTTTTCAGTAGAGATTATGCTAATTTACATTTCCACCAGCAGCATATAAGCATTCCTCTTTCACCACATCGAGGCCAACATCTGTTGTTTTTGACTTTTTAAAATAATGGCCATTTTTGCAGGAGTAAGATGTTATCTCATTGTGTTTTAAATTTGCATTTCACTGTTGATTATTGATGTTGAGCATTTTTTATGTTTGTTGGCCATTTGTGTATCTTCTTCTGAGAAAAGTATATTCATATCATTTGCCCAATTTTTGATGAGATTATTTGTTTTTTCTTGCTGATATGTTTGAGATCCTTGTAGATTCCAGATACTAGTCCTTTATTGAATTCACAGTTTGCAAATATTTTCTCCCATTCTGTGGGTTGTCTGTCCACTCTTGAAGATTATTTCTTTTGCATGCAGAAGCTTTTTAGTTTAATCAGGTCTTGAATATTTATTTTTGTTTTTGCTGCATTAGATTTTGGGGTTTTAGTCATATTTTTTTTTTGCCTAGGCCATCATCTAAAAGAATTTTTCAAAGGTTATTTTCTAGAATTGTTATGGTTTCAAGTCTTAGATTTAACTCTGATCCATCTTGAGTTTATTTTTCTGTAGGGTGAGAGATCGGGATCCAGTTGCGTTCTTCTGCATGTTGGCTAGCCAGCATTCCCAGTAACATTTATTAAATAGAGTGTCCTTTCCCCAATTTATGTTTTGTATCCTATGCTAAAGATCAGTTGGCTGTAAGTATTTGGATTTATTTCTTGGTTTGCTATGCTATTCCATTGGTCTATGTGCCTACTTTTATGCTGGTACCATGCTGTTTGGGTAACTATAGCCTTGTAGCGTAACTTGAAGTCTGGTAATGTGATGCCTCTAGATTTGTTCTTTTTACTTGGAATTGCTTTGGCTCTTGGGCTGTTTTTCAGTTGCATATGAATTTTAGGATTTTTTTTTCTAATTCTGTGAAAAATGATGCTGATATTTTTATGGGAATTGCATTGAATCTGTAGATTGCTTTGGGCAGTATGGTCATTTTCACAGTATTGATTCTTCTAACCCATGAGCATGGGATATGTTTTCATTTGTTTGTGTCATCTGTGATTTCTTTCAGCAGTGTTTTGTAGTTCTCCTTGTAAAGGTCTTTCACCTCCTTGGTTAAGTTAATTCCTAGGTATTTTATTTTTTTGCAGCTGTTGTAAAAGGGATTGAGTTCTTGATTTGGTTCTCACCTTAGTCGTTGTTGGTGTATATCAGTGCTACTGATTTGTGTACATGGATTTTGTAACCTGAGATATTATCCAATGTGTTTATCAAATCTAGGAGGCTTTTTGAGCAACCTTTAGGGTTTTCTAGGTATATAATCATATCATCAGTGAATAGTGATAGTCTGACTACCTTTTCTCCACTGTAAATGTCCTTTATTTCTTTCTCTTGCCTGATAGCTCTGGCTAGGATGTCAGATACTATGTTGAATAGAAGTGGTGAACTTGGGTATCCTTGTCTTGTCCAGTTTTCAGGGGCATTGCTTTCCACTTTTCTCTATTCAGTATGATGTTTGCTGTGAGTCTGTTATATAGGGCTTTTATTAATTAATTCAAGGTAAGTCCCTTCTATGCTTAGTTTGCTGAGGGCTTTTTATCACAAAGAGATGCTGTATTTTATCAAATGCTTTTCTGCACCTATTGAGATGATCATATGGTTTGTTTTCAATTTTGCTTTTGTGATATATCACATTTATTGACTTGCATATGTTAAACCATCCCTGCATCTCTGGGATCAAACCCACTTGATCATGGTGTATTATCTTTTTGATGTGCTGTTGGATTTCATTAGCTGGTATTTTATTGAGGTTTCTTTTTTTGTTTGTTTGTTTGTTTTAATCTATGTTCATCAGGGATATTGGTCTGTGGTTTTCTTTTTTTGTTGTTATGTTAATTCATGGTTTTAGTATCAGGGTGAAATTAGCTTACAAGGATGATTTAGAAAGGATTCCCTCTTAATCTTTTGGAATAGTTTCAGTAGAATTGGTACCAATTGGACATCTGGTAGAATTGAGCTCCGAATCCATCTGGTCTTGGGGTTTTTTGGTGGTGGCGGTAGGTTTTTTTTTTTTTTTTTTTTCTGATTCAATCTTTATGTTTATTGATCCATTGAGAGTTTCTCTTTTTCCTGATTTAATCTGGGAGGATTATATGTTTCCAGGAATTTCCTACATTTCCTACAGTTTTTCTAGTTTGTGTGCATAGAGGTGTTCATAGTAGTAATAAATGATCGTATTTCCGTGGTGTTAGTTGTAACGTCTCCAGTTTCATTTCTAAGTGCACTTATTTGAATCTTCTCTCTTCTTGGTTAACCAAGCTAATGGTCTGTCAATTTTGTTTATCTTTTCAAAGAACCACCTTTTTGTTTCAGTGATCTTTTTATTGTGTTTTTTGTTTCAGTTTCATTTAGGTCTGCTCTGATATTTGTTACTGTTTTTTTTCTTCTACTAGCTTTGAGTTCAGATTGCTTTGTTTCTCTGCTTCCTTGAGGTGTGACATTATGTTGTCGATTCATAATCTTTAAGGCTTTATGATATAGGCATTTAGCACTATAAACTTTCCTCTTAACACTGCTTTTGCTGTATGCCAGAGATTTTGATAACTTGTGTCACTATTATCATTCATTTTGAATTTTTTTTTAATTTCCATCTTGATTTCATTGTTAACCCAAAAATCATTCAGGAGCAGATTGTTTAATTTCCATGTATTTGTATAGTTTTAGGGGTTCCTTTTGGGTCGATAACTAGTTTTATTCCAGTGTGGTCTGAGAAGATAACGTGGTATGATTTCAATTTTCTTAAGTTTATTGAGACTTGTTTTGTGGCCTGTCATATGTTCTATCATGGAGAATGTTACATGTGGTGATGAGAAGAATGTATATTATGGAGGTCTTGGGTACAAGGTTCTGTAAATATCTGTTAGGTCACTTTGTTCCTGAGTGTAGTTTAAGCCCATTGTCTTTTTGTTGACTTTCTGTCTCAATAATCTGTCTAGTGCAGTCACTGGAGTATTGAACTATTATTATGTTCCTGTCTATCTCATTACTTAGGTCTAGTCGTAATTGGTTTATGAATCTGGGACCTCCAGATTTAGGTGCATATATGTTTAGGATTATATCTTTTTGGTGGACTGATCCTTTTATCATTATATAATGACAGTTGCCTTTTTTTTTTTTTACCGTTGTTACTTTAAAGTCTGCTTTGTCTGATATAAGAATAACTACTCTTGCTTGTTTTTGGTGTTGATTTGTTTTTGTTTTTTCAGTTTGTCTTGTTTTTGGTTTCCAGTTACATAGAATGCCTTTTTCTACCCCTTTATCTTGAGTTTATAGGAATCCTTACATGTTAGGTAAGTCTCTTGAAGACAACAGATATTTGGTTTGTGATTCTTTATCCATTCTGTTAGTCTGTATCTTTTAAGTGTGGCATTTAGGCCATTTACATTTAATGTTAATACTGAGGTGTGAGGTACTGTTGTATTCATCATGTCAATTGTTTTCCAGATACTTTTTTAGTTACTGTTATTGTGTTATTGTTTTATAGGCTCTGTGAGTTCTGTGCATTCAAGAGGTTCTATTTTTGTGTATATTGAGCTTTTGTTTCAAGATTTATAACTTATTTTAGCATTTTTTTTATCGGGCTGCTCTGATAACAACAAATTCCCTCAGTAGTTGTTTGTTTGAAAATGACCTATTTGTCCTTCATTTATGAAACTTGGCTTTGCCTGATACAACACTCTTGGTTTACAGTTATTTTGTTTCAACAGGACAAAGATAGAACCCCAGTCCCTTCTGGCTTATAAGATTTCTGTTGTAAATCTGCTGTTAGTCTGGTAGATTTTTCTTTATAGGTTACCTCATGTGTTTTTCTCACTTTTTTTTTAGAACTCTTTGTTTCATGTTGACTTTATATAGCCTGATGACTGTATGTCTTGATGATGACCTTTTTGCAATGTATCTCCCAGGTGTTCTTTAAGCTTCTTGTATTTTAATATCTAAATCTCTAGCAAGGCCAGGGAGTCTTCCTCAATTATTCCCTGAAAAAAGATTTCCAAACTTTTTGCTTTCTCTTTTCCCTCAGGAATACCAATTATTCTTAGGTTTTGCCATTTTACATAATCTCATAATTCTTAGAGATGTCCTTCATTTCTCTTGATTCTTTTTTCTTTATTTTTGTCTTATTAGATGAATTCGGAAATATTTTTGTCTTATTAGGTGAATTTGAAAACTTGTCTTAGAGTTCTGAAATTCTTTCTTCTACTTTCCTTTGCATTGTGTAATTTACTAAGTGTGTATTTCATTTCCAGAAGTTCTGATTTTTTTAAGATATCTATCTTTCTAGAAAATTTGTTATTCATATTCTGAATTTTTTTTAATTTCTTTCTGTTGGTTTTTACCTTTCTCTGGTATTTCCTTGAGTAGCTTAATAATCAACCTTTTGAAATTTTTATCTGGTATTTCAAAGATTTCATATTGGTTTGCTTTATTTGCTGGAGGGCTAGTGTGATCTTTTGGGGGTATTATAGAATTCTGTTTTGTCCTATTATCAGAATTATTTTTCTGGTTTCTTCTCATTTGGGTAGACTATTTCTTCACATTATTCTTGAATTTACTTTTGACTTCTTTTATTTTTTTCCTTTTTATGGATGTGACTTTAACATTTATAGTTTATTGAAACCTAACTTAGGTACTGGTGCTTTCTAGGGTGAAGACTCAGTATGGATTCCTTGGTTATAGGTCTTTGTATGATGGCCTTCTCGGGTGCTGATTATAGTAGCAATGTGCTCACTGTGTGAGCAAGTTCACTGTTTCCTGTAGGAAATGCCTCTCAAAGCTTATTTCATTCCCCCATGATGTTTACTTTTTTATTTATTAATTTTTCCCCAGGATTTTATTTACTGGGTTGAATAGTTCAGGCTTCAGCCCAATAAGGGATGTGTCTACAGGTAGAAACCAGATGTTGTTAAAGCAGGTGGGTAAATGCAGTATCCAATGTCTGGGCAGAGGACGGAGGTGGCTGGGAGAGCTCTCAGTGAAACACACTGAGGTCTTATCAGTGGGAAGGACCAGATTTACCTCAGCTTCTCTGCCAGGACAGCAGGAAGTCTTTCCCTCACCAAGACACACTCCTGACCTGGTGTTCCAGCTATTCAGATCAGACAGGTACCTTTTTTACATCTGTGGGAATGTTGGTGTTTCAACTAGAAAGAAACTGTGGTTCTACCTCTCATGTAAACCTGCACTTGGAGGCATTTCTCCTGTGGGGATGCATCCCCCCTGAGGTGTCGCAGAACATCTGTCTCTAGGTGCACCCACACTGAGCTCCTATGGGAAAACCCCAACTGTGTCTGCAGTGGTGGACAAATGGGAAACTTGTCCCATTCTCTAAGACATTTCATGAGTAACAGAGCTTCCCGAGCATTGTGGTAGAACTGAAGACTTTCTCAGCTGAGCCTAGCACTGCAACTGTGGCTCCACTGGAAGAAACTTGCCACCAGCAGAAAGGTCTGGGACTCAAGGTCTGCCATCTGGGTTTTGTCCCATAGGATGTCCCCTTGATTTGGGGCCCTCTCCTTCCTCTAGGAAATAGAAGTTCCAGAGAGCCAGACTATTGTGAATGCTGTTGCTCTTTGGGGTGTAGCCACCCACTAAGGCCACCACACTCCAGGCTGGTGCTGGTGAATGTCTGCAAGGGATCCTGAGATGTGGCCTGTTGTTAAGTCTCCCAGCAGTAGGTACTAGCACCCGCTCTGATAGGGATGACAGGGGAGTGACATAGACTCTGTGAGATTCCTTGGTTATAGATAGGCTTAGTTTGCTGACTTTCTCAAATGCCAGTTATTGTAGTGATGAACTATGAGGTAGACAGACTTAGGACCTCCTGATTAGCCAGGATTGTGAAGGCAATGGTGGTAATTTAGGTTGCACACAGGTTCTCTCCTTCCTGGGTATAGTGTTTTTCTACCTGGAAATGCTGTAGTGGACTGTGTCAGTTGGTTTCCAGCCAAGAGCTGACACTTTTAAAAGAGCACCTAGTAGTATTGGTCAGATTTGTGATTGCCTTATGTAACCCAGGGGAGGTACACTGGTTTCTCAGATGATAGGCAGAGTCATAAAGCTCCCGAAAGGTTTGTCCTTTGTGTTAAGCTACCAGGGTGGGTGCAAGGGCAAAACCAGGTGGGGGCTGGGTCAGGCAGGTTTACACTCAGGCTCTCAGCATGCAAGGTAAGCAGTGGCCCCTGTGGGAGTCAGGAGGGCAGTTCTCTGGCCACTGGGGTAATATTCCAGAGAAGAGCGTAGCTGCCTCTGCTGCAGAAGAGTTTGTGTAGGGAGTGGGAAGTAGCAAGTGGCAGTAAACCCATCTAGGGACTTGGCAAGGCAGATCTCCCAGATGCAATTTTTCTCTAGCAGTAGAGAACTAAGTTCCAGGCGATCTATGCTCAGAACTCACAACTGCCCCAGGCCATAAACTCTCCCTGCAGAGATAGCAACCATGGCTTTCTTTTCTTTTCTTTTTTTTTTTTTTTAATTGTACTTCAAGTTTTAAGGTACATGTGCACAACATGTAGGTGTGTTACATATGTATACACGTGCCATGTTGGTGTGCTGCACCCATTAACTCGTCATTTAACATTAGGTATATCTTCTAATGCTATCCCTCCCGACTCCCCCTACCCCACAACAGGCTCCAGTGTGTGATGTTCCCCTTCCTGTGTCCATGTGTTCTCATTGTTCAGTTCCCACCTATGAGTGAGAACATGCAGTGTTTGGTTTTTTGTCTTTGCGATAGTTTGCTGAGAATGATGGTTTCCAGCTTCATCCATGTCCCTACAAAGGACATGAACTCGTCATTTTTTATGGCTGCATAGTATTCCATGGTGTATTATGTGCCACATTTTCTTAATCTGGTCTATCATTGTTGGATATTTGGGTTGGTTCCAAGTCTTTGCTATTGTGAATAGTGCCGCAGTAAACATACGTGTGCATGTGTCTTTATAGTAGCATAATTTATAATCCTTTCATGTGTCTTTTGACTGCATAAATGTCTTCTTTTGAGAAGTGTCTATTCATATCCTTTGCCCACTTGTTGATGGACAACCATGGCTTTCATGCTATGCCCTTCCCAGTCTGCCTGCACATCCAGGGTGCAGAGCTCCTGTGGTCTTGGTTGCAGCACACTTCCCACTCACTCATGGGTTCTGAGCAAGGGAGTTCTTCCCCATTTGAGTTTATATCGCAAAATTCATTTGGGAGATTCTTTCAACGTGCTACTGGTGCCTGAGTTAGTTGAGAGACCTCTGTGAGGTCCCCTGTGAGGCAGAATAAAGAATGCCTTCCCTAGGTCTGGGCAGTCTATCCCCCTCTCATACTCTGAGGACTTAGTTTTTTTGCTTGCTCATGGTGTAGGTGGCAGCCTGCTGCTTCTTTCAGAGGGTCTATGGATTTCTGTTTTCCTATTAAGTTCTTGCATTTCTTCTTAGAAACAAAATCTCACAGTGGGAGTATCTGTGTACTATTTTGTCTTTCCAAGTGGGAGAGACATGCTAATACTGCCTCCAATCACCTATCCTGGGGTTGGGGGGATGTTCAGTACGATTTAGAAGGCTGCCTGTTGTTTGTCTAGAAAGTATATGGAGAGTGTGTTATATTCAGATTTCTTGGGATGTATTCTCTATTAGCCTTTTCATGTTGCCATAACAAAGTAATGCCAACTGTGTGAGAAACAACAGAAATGTATCCTCATGCAGTTCTGGACATCAAAGTTACAGCTAATTCTGGTCTAGATAAGGGCTCTCTTCCTGGCTTGTAGATGGCTGCCTTCATGCCATGTCCTCACATGGCCTTTTTTGGGTGCACGTGCACGTGTACACTGTGTGTGGGTGTGAGTGTGGGTGTGGGTGTGGTGGGGGAAAGGGAAACTCTTAATTTTTTTAATAAAGCTACCAATCCCATCATATTAGGATCTTCATTTTATGAACATGTTTAATCCTAATTACCTCCTTATAGGCCCTATCTCCAAATACAGTCTTAATGAGAATTGGGGCTATTAAATTTTGAGGGAACACAATTTAGTCCACAGCATGTTCTAGTGGTTTGAGTCAAAGTCCTTAGCATAATCTAAGCAGCCTGGAATGTAGACCTGTGCCCTGGCTAGATCTCTCATATTAATATCTATTTAAGCATCCTGACTACCTGCTGTTATTTGAAATGCTAGATATAGTTTCTTTTCAAGGCCTTCCTATGCAGTGTTTTCTCTGCCTGCTTACATAATGACTTCTCTGTTTGGCTGAAACTTTTCAGTTAGATCTCTTCCCAAATGTTGCCTCCTTATCCATTTTTTAGGGGTTTAAAATGTACTTTCATCAATTTATAAGTTCAGCATAAAGACACACTCTTTTGTTCATTGTTTCTTATGAAGTAGTAAATATTTATTGGATTAATGACAGAAAAAAACAGACTGAGTACCAATTTTATTTTAATTGCATATCAAGGAGGACCTGAGTGGCTGGACTTTTTCTCATCTGTTTATAATTAAGTCACTTGGACCAATTTGCAAGTTCGTAAGGGTATGCCCTTTCATTCTCTAGCCCTTCCAGTCTGGTCCACATTAACAAATGCATGTATCTAACTATCAAATACTCCTTTAGATATTCAACGTAATTAGTAGCTCACGAGAGAACAAATTATTTGCTATTTTACATCTCCAGTTTGGGGTAGCTTTTTCAAAAACCGTTGTTGGATGCCACTATAAAGGAATTTCTAAAAGGGGGCCTCAACATTTACAGTCTCCTCTCAGGAAATTCCACATTTATTATCTCCAAACAGTTAAAAAATAAAACTGTTGATCTGAGATGTAAAAAGCACAATTTGTGGCTAAATTAAGCAAAAGCTGAAATTACTTATGATCCATCCTTATTCCTTCTAATGGTGTCAATATTCTTTTTTTATTAGATGTTTATAAATTTTATTTTTTCAGTCCTTAGACTATTAGGCAGAAGCTGTCAACATTTCTGATGACAGCAAGGAACAGTAAGAACAATCAAGGTAACAGGTTGACAAATTTATTAGAAACCACAGGAAATTTACACAAGCCACTGCAGTAGATGAGTGACTCCATCTCCTCCCAGTCCTGGCATTCTCTCCTGTGCTGCAGTGGCCACCAGGTAGAACATGAAGGGAACATAGAAAGTTGACACTATCTATCCTAAGTTCTCAAGAGGAATCAGAGTGCAAAAACAACTCAATTTGGAAATTCAGCATCGTTTCTTTTATTTACAACCCACACAGCTCTTTCTCCTGCCATTTCTTACTTGTGTGTTCTTCAGAAACATTTCACACTTCCTTGGACTTCCCTCAAAGGTGACAGATGGGTAACCCAATCCGAATATGCTGTTTACTTCACTTGCATATGAGTTTCTTATTACAATATAATTGATGTGGGGAGGCAGGTATACAAAGGCACACTTGGAGCATCTTTCCAATTTGGCCAAGTTTGAATCCCATTTCAACATAATTGAGCCATCTTATTTACCACATGTCTGTCAGGTACACTTATTTCTTTTCTTACTAGCCAGCATTATTTCACCACAGAATTCAAAATAATCTAAGTACTTATGTTGATCTAATTACCTCCTGGAATTTTGCTTTTTTACCAAATGACATTAACTTTTTAATGTATGAGATGATATTTGTGTTTCATTGTATATGACTTATCAATTTTTACGTAATGCATTTATCTTATGCATTCTACCTGGTCTCATGAGGGACCTTGCACAAGGCCTTGGGGATAGAGAACAGCTTTGGGAATGACCAGAACCTAAACTCTCCTAAAAGGCCATCAAAGAAAGGAACAACATGTACAGTAAGTCACCACATTGGTAAATTCAATGATTGTTACTTCCAGTTATCCTTCCTTCACATAGCACTTAATTCTGTTTCAAATTTCTGAATAATGATTGAAAAAAGGAGTTTAGATCACATTCTAAGGAAATATCTGATCCCCAAAGATTCCATAGTGCCAGGAAATACTGTCCAGGCTCAACTATACACAACATTGAGGGTAATTTCCCAAAAACATTGTGGGCTGCTGTTACAAAGAGTTTTAATAATACATAATTTGTAACTTTTATGTGTACATAGTATACATATTTATGGGATATATGAGATACTTTGATACAGGCAGGCAATGTGTAATTATATCATTATCATTTGTATTGCAAACAATCCAATTATACCCTTTTAGTTATCTTTAAATGTAAAATCAAATTATTGACTATAATCACCCTGTTTTGCTATCAAATGCTAGATCTTACTAATTTTTTAATTTTTTTTGTACCCATTAACCATCTGCACCCCACCATTCCACCCCCACTACACTTCCTAATCTCTGATAACCATTCTTTTACTTTCTGTCTTGATGAGTTCAATTGTTTTAATTTTTAGCTCCCACAAATAAGTGAGAACATGTGAAGTTTGTCTTTCTGTGCCTCGCTTATTTCACTTAACATAATGACCTCCAGTGCCAGCCATTTTGCCACAAATGACAGGATATCATTTTTTATGGCTGAATAGTACTCCATTGTATATATGTACCATTCATACATTCTTTATCCATTTATCTGTCAATGGACACTTAGGTTGTTTCCAAATCTTGTCTACTGTGAATGATGCTGCAATAAACATGGGAATACAGTTATCTCTTTGATATACTGATTTCCTTTCTTTTGGTGATATACATAGCAGAAGATTGCTGGATCATATAGTTGTTCTATTTTTAGCTCTCTAAGGAAGCTTTAAAATGTTCTCCATAGTTAGTGGTTGTACTAGTGGGTCAGTACAACCCACTAGTTAGTACAACAACGAGTCAGTGGGTGGGATTCTCCCACCCACAGTATAGGAGGGTTCCTTTTTCTCCACAACCTCTCCAGCATTTGTTAATTGTTATTGCTAGTCTTATTAATAAAAGCCATTTTAACTGGGATGAGATGGTATCTTGTACTTTTTTTTTTTTTTTTGAGACAGAGTATTGCCTAGTCTGAAGTGCAATGGTGCCGTCTTGGCTCACTGCAAACTCCACCTCCCAGGTTCAAGCAATTCTCCTGCCTCAGCCTCCTGAGTAGCTGGGATTACAGGCGTGTGCCACCATACCTGGCTAATTTTTGTATTTTTAGTTGAGACAAGGTTTTGCCATGTTGGCCAGGTTGGTCTCAAACTCTGACCTCAAGTGATTCATCTGCCTCGGGCTCCCAAAGTGTCTGGATTATAGGTGTGAGCCACGGCCTCTCATACTACTATTGATTTACATTTCTCTGATGATCAATGATGTTGAACACCTTTTCATATACCTGTATGACAGTTTTATGTCTCCCTTTGAGAAATGTTTATTCAGATTTTTTGCTAATTAATCAAATTATTAGATTTTTTTTCCTATAGTGTTGTTTGAATTCCTTATATATTCTGGTTATTAGCCTCTGTCAGATGGGTAGTTTGCAAATGTATTCTCCCATTCTGTGAGTTGTATCCTCACATTGTTGATTGTTATTTTTGTTGTGCAGAAGCTTTTTAACTTGATGTAATCCCATTTGTCATTTTTTGTTTTGGTTGTCTGTGCTTGTGGGGTATTACTCAAGAAATCATTGACCAGTCCTAGAGAATTCTAGGATGGAGATTCTCTGTCTTAGAGAATTTCCCCAAAGTTTTCTTTTAGTAGTTTCATAGTTTGAGGTCTTAGAATTAAGTCTCTAATACATTTGACTTGATTTTTGTGTATGGCAAGTGATAAGGGTCTAGTTTCACTCTTTTGAACATGGATATCCAGTTTTCACAGAAACATTTATTGAAGAGACTGTCTTTTCTCTATACATGTTCTTGACACCTTTGTTGAAAACAAGTTTATTATATGTACATGGATTTGTTTCTGTGTTCACTATACTGTTGCATTGATCTATGCATCTGTTTTTATGCCAGTACCATGCTGTTTTGGTCTCAATAGCTATTTAGTACAATTCGAAGTCAGGTAATGTGATTCTTCCAGTTTTGTTCTTTTTGTGCAGGATGCCTTCGGCATTTCTGGGTCTTTTGTGGCTTCATATAAATTTTAAGTTTTTTTTTTTTATATTTCCATGAAGAATGTCATTGGTATTTTGATAGAGATTGCATTGAATCTGTAGATTGCTTTGGGCTTATGGATATTTTAACAATTTGATTCTTCCAATCCATAAAAAGGGACTATCTCCCCATTTTTTGTGTGTCCCCTTCTATTTGTTTTTCAGTATTTTATAGTTTTCACTGTAGAGATCTTTCACTTCTTTGGTTAATTTCTAGGTATTTTATTTTATTTGTAGCTATTGTAAATGAAATTACTTTCTTGATTTCTTTTCAGATTATTGGCTGTTGGCATATAGAAATGTTATGGAATTTTATATGTTGATTTTTTTATCATGCAACTTTACTGAATTTGTTTATGAGCTCTCACAGTTTTTGGTGGAGTCTTTAGGTTTTTCCAAATACAAATATCATCTGCAAACAAGGATAATTTGATTTCTGCATTGTTAATTTGGATGCCCTTTATTTCTTTCTCTTGTCTGATTGCTCTAGCTAGGATTTCCAGTATTGTGCTGAAACAGTGATAAAAGTGGGCATCGTTGTTATGTTCTAGGTCTTAGAGGAATGGCTTTCAGTTTTTCCCAGTCTGTATGATACTGGCTATGAGTCTGTTGTATACGGTTTTTATTATCTTGAGGTATGTTCTTTTTGTACCCAGTTTATTGAGTATTTTAATCATAAAGGGGTGTAGAATTTTATCAGCTTTTCAGCATCAATTGAAATAATCATATGGTTGTTGTCCTTCATTCTGTTGATATGATATATCACACTGATTGACTTGTATATGTTGAATTATCCTTTCATCCCAGGAATAAATCTCACTTGGTCATGATGAATTAGCTTTTTAATGTATTGTTGAATTGGGTTCTTTACAACGTATTGTTAGGTTGTTTATTTGAAATTTCTATACTTTTTTATGTAGGTACTTATAGCTATAAACTTTTCTCTAAGTACTGCTTTTGTAGTATCCCATAAGTTGTGGTATGTTGTGTTTCCATGTTTTGTTTCAATAACTTTTTAAATTTCCCTCTTAATTTCTTCATTGCTCCACTGGTCATTCAGAAGCGTATCATTTAATTTCCAGGTAATTGCATAGTTTTCAAATTCCTCTTGTTATTTATTTCTAGTCTTATTCCACTGTGGTCAGAAAAAGATACTTGATATTATTTTATTTTTTGAATTTTTAAAGACATGTTTTGTGGCCAAATGTATGGTCTATCCTTGAGAATGATTCATGTTCTGAAGAGAAGTATGTATTCTACAGCCATTGGATGAAGTATTCTGTATATATCAATTAGGTTCGCTTGGTCTATACTCAGATAAATATCAATATTTCTTTGTTGATTTTCTGTCTGGATAATCTGTCTAATGCTAAAACTGGGGTGTTGAAGTCTTTATTGTTGTACTGGGGTCTATCGCTTTATCTCTAATAATATTTGTTTTATGTATCTGGGTGCTCCATTGTTGGGTACACATGTGTTTTCAATTGTTATATCCTGTTGCTAAATTGACCCCTTTATTATTATATAATGACCTTCTTTGTCCTTGTATGGTTTTTGTCTTGAAATCCATTTTGTCTGATATAAGCATATCTACTTGATATGGTTTAGATATTTGTCCCTGCCCAAATCTCATGTTGAACTCTATTCCCCAGTGCTGGAGTTGGGGCCTGGTAGGAGGTGTTTGGATCATGGGAGAAGATCCCTCATGACTTGATGCTGTCTTTATGATAGTGAGTGAATTCTTGCAGGATCTGGTTATTTAAAAGTGTGTGATATTTCACTTCCACTCTCTCTTGCTCCTACTTTCACCATGTGAAATGCCTACTCCTGCTTCATTTTCTGTCATGAGTAAAAGCTCCCTGAAACCTCCCCAGAAGCAGATGCTGCTATGCTTCCTGTATAGCATTCAGAGCCATGAGCCAATTAAGCCACTGTTCTTATAAATTAACTAGTCTCATGTATTTCTTTATAGCAATTCAAGGATGACCTAAAACAGAAAATTGGAACCAAGGAGTTAGGTATTGCTACAAAGACACCTGAAAATATGGATGCAGCTTTGGTTCTGGGTAATGGACAGAGGTTGGAAGAGTTTGGAGGGCTCAGAAGAAGATAGGAAGATGAGGAAAAGTTTGGATCTAACCAGAGACTGGTTAAATGGTTGTAACCAAAATGCGTGATAGTGATATGCATAGTGAAGACTAGGCTGCCAAGGTCTCATATGGAAATGAGGAACTTATTGGGAACGGGAGCAAAGGTCACATATGTTACACCTTAGCAAAGAACTTGGCTATATGGCATTCATGCCCTAGGGATCTGTGGAAATTTGAAGTTCAGAGTGATGATTTATGCTGCTATAAAGACACATGCACACGTATGTTTATTGTGGCACTACTCACAATAGCAAAGACTTGGAACCAACCCAAATGTCCAACAATGATACACTGGATTAAGAAAATGTGGCACATATACACCATGGAATACTATGCAGCCGTAAAAAATGATGAGTTCATGTCCTTTGTAGGGACATGGTTGAAGCTGGAAACCATCATTCTCAGCAAACTATCGCAAAGACAAAAAACCAAACACCGCATGTTCTCACTCATAGGTGGGAATTGAACAATGAGAACACTTGGACACAGGAAGGGGAACATCACACTCTGGGGACTGTTGTGGGGTGGGAGGATGGGGGAGGGATAGCATTAGGAGATATACCTAATGTAAATGATGAGTTAATGGGTTCAGCACACCAACATGGCACATGTATACATATGTAACAAACCTGCAAGTTGTGCACATGTAACCTAGAACTTAAAGTATAATTATATATATAAAAGAGTGATGATTTAGAGTGTCCGGTGTAAGAAACTTCTAAGCGACAAAGCATTCAAAAAGTAATCTGGCTGCTTCTAACAACCTATGCTTAGATGTGGGAGCAAAGAAATGACTTAAATTTGGAATATATATTTAAAAGGGAAGTAGAGTGTAAAAGTTTGTAAAACTTGCAGCCTTGCCATGTGGCGGAGAAAGAAAAGGCTTTCTCAGAAGAGGAATTTAAGTGGGCTGTGTAACCACCACTTGCTAGAGATCTTTGCATATCTAAAAGAGAGCCAAGTGCTAATATCCAAGGCAAGGAGAAAAGGGCTTTGAAGGCATTTTAGAAACTTCACAGAAGCTCCTTCTACCACAGGTCTGGAGGCCTAAGAAGGAAAGATGGTTCCCTGGGCCAGCCTCAGGGCCCTGCTGCCCTGGGCAGCCTTGGAACAATGCTCCCCACTTTCTGACAGCTTCAACTCTAGCCTCAGCTCAAAAAGGCTTAGTATTTCTCTAGCTGACACTTTGGACAATGCAGGCCATAAGCCTTTTGGCAGCTTCTATGTGATCTTACACCTGTAGGCGCACAGAATGCAAGAATGAAGAAGGCTGAGGAGCATCTGCCTAGATTTCAGAGGATGTGTGAGAAAGCATGGGTGCCCAGGCAGAAGCTTGCTACAGGGTCACAGCCCTCAACAGAGAACCTCTGCTAGGGTAGTGCCAAAGGGAAATGTGGGGTTGGAGCCCCTGTGCAGGGTCCTCAGTGGGCACTGCCTAGCAGAGCTGTGAGAAGGGGGCCACTCTCCTCCGGACCACAGAATGGCAGATTCACTTGCGGCTTGAACCCTGCACCTGGAAAGCTGTAGGCTGTCAACAGCCTGAGAGAGCAGCCACAGGGGCTGAACTTTGCAAAGCCACAGAGGTGGAGCTGCCCAGTCCTTGAACCAGCATGCCCTGGATGTGGGACATGGAGTCAAAGGAGACTCCTCTGGAGTTTTGAAGTTTAATGACTGCCCTGCTTAGTTTCAAATTTGCATAGGAGCTGTGACCCCTTTCTTTTGGCTGATTTCTCTCTTTTGGAACAGGTATGTGTATCCAATGCTTCTACTCTCATTCTATCTTGGAAGCAAATAAATTGCTTTTGATTTTACAGGCCCATAGGTGGAAGCCTGTGAGCTTGCCTTGCCTTTTTGTTTTGTTTTGTTTTTTTAAGTTCTAGTGTATATGTGCACAACGTGCAGGTTTGTTACATAGGTATACATGTGCCATTCTGGTTTGCTGCATCCATCAACTGGTCATTTACATTAGGTATTTCTCCTAATGCTATCCCTTCCCCAGCCCCACACCCCCCAACCAGCCCCAGTGTGTGATGTTCCCCACCCTGTGTCTATGTGTTCTCACTGTTCAACCCCCACCTACGAGTGAGAACATGAGGTGTTTGGTTTTCTGTCCTTGTGATAGTTTGCTTAGAATGATGGTTTCCAGCTTCATCCATGTCCCTGCAAAGGACATGAACTCACCCTTTTTATGGCTGCATAGTATTCCATGGTATATATGTGCACATTTTCTTAATCCAGTCTATCACTGATGGACATTTGAGTTGGTTCCAAGTCTTTGCTATTGTGAGTAGTGCCTCAGTAAACATACGTGTGCATGTGTCTTTATCATAGAATGATTTATAATCCTTTGGGTATATGCCCAGTAATGGGATTGCTGAGTCCAATGGTATTTCTAGTTCTAGATCCTTAAGGAATCAACACACTGTCTTCCACAATGGTTGAACTAATTTACACTCCCACCAGCAGTGTAAAACATTCCTATTTCTCCACATCCTCTCCAGCATCTGTTGTTTCCTGATTTTTTTTCTTTAGTCCTCTTGTTTTATTTTTTATTATTTATTTATTTATTCTTATTTCTAGTTCTAGATCCTTGAGGAACTTGCCTTGTCTTAGATGAGACTTTGGACTTTTGAGTTAGTGCTGAAATGAGTTAAGATTTTGTGGGACTGTTGGGAAAGCATGATTGTATTTTGCAATGTGAGAATGGCATGAGATTTGAGAAGGACCAGTGGCAGAATAAGAGAGTTTGGATATTTGTCCCTGCCAAATCTCATGTTGAATTGTAATCCCAATGCCAGAGGTAGGGTCTGTTGAGAGGCATTTGGATCGTGGAGGCACATACCTCATGGCTTGGTGCTGTTTTCACAATAGTGAGTGAGTTCTCATAAGATCTGGTCATTTAAAAGTGTTTGTGTGGCATATCCCTACCACTTGCTCTCTCTTGCTTCTGCTTTCTCTATATGAAGTGCCTGCTCATGCTTTGCCTTCCATCATGAGTAAAAGCTCCCTAAAGCCACTGCAGAAGAAGAGGCTGCCATGCTTCCTGTATAGCCTATAGATCTGTGAGCCAATTAAATCTCTTTTCTTATAAATTACTCATTCTCAGCTATTTCTTTATAGTAATTCCAGAGTGCCCTAATACACTACTACTGCTCTTTTTGGTATTCATTTGAATGTAATAATTTTTCCATCCTTTTTTTCATTCTATGTGTGTCTTTATAGGTGAAGTGTTTCTTGTGAGCAACAGGTCTTTGGGTCTTTTTTTTTTTAAATCTATTCAGCTACTTTTTGTCTTTTGATTGGAGGGTGTAATTAATTTACATTCAATATTATTAAGTAAGGGCTTATTCCTGCCATTTTTTTTTCTGATTCTTTTGTTATTTTCTCTTTCTTCTTATCTCCCCTCCTGTCTTCCTCTTACTGAAGATGATTTTCTCTGGTAGTATATTTTAATTTTCTGCTTCAAAAATATATATCTATTGTATGTTTTTGGTTTGAGGTTACCATGAGGCTTGTAAATAATATCTTATAACCCAGTATTTTATTTATTTTAATTTTTTTTATTCTACTTTAAGTTTCAGGATACACGTGCAGAATGTGCAGGTTGGTTACAGAGGTATGCCATGGTGGTTTGCTGCGCCTCTTGACCCGTCCTCTAAGTTCCCTCCCCTTATTTCCCACCCCAACAGGCCCTGGTGTGTGTTGTTTCCATCCCTGTGTCCATGTGTTCTCCTTGTTCAACTCCCATTTATGAGTGGGAACATGCAGTGTCTGGTTTTCTGTTCCTGTGTTAATTTGCTAAGGATGATGGCTTCCAGCTTCATCCATGTCCCTGCAAAGGACATGATCTCATTCCTTTTTATGGCTGCATAGTATTCCATGGTGTATATGTACCACATTTTCTTTATCCAGTCTATCATTGATGTAACCCAGTATTTTAAACTGATGACAACTTAACACTGATTACATGTACAAACAAACCAGCAAAGACAAAACTAACAACAACTCTATATTTTAACTTTGTTCCCCTATTTCTTATTTTTTGTTGTTTCTATTTATATCTCATTATACTCTCTCTGTCTTGGGAAGTGGCAGTAAATATTCTTGATTACTTCATCTTTTCATCTTTCTTCCTAAGATAGGAGTAGTTTACACACCACAATTACAGAGTTATAATCTTCTTTGTTTTTCTCTGTACTTACTATTACCAGTGAGTTTTAAACCTTCAGATGTTTCTTAGTGTTCAGTAGCATTCATGTTTTTGAGATTTAAGAACTCCCTTTAGCATTTTTGGTAGGACAGGTCTGATATTGATGAAATCCTTCAGGCTTTATTTTTCTGGGAAAGTCTTTATTTCTCATTCATGTTTGTACAGTATTTTCACTGGATATGCTATTATGGGGAAAACATTTTTCACTTCGGCTCTTGAAATACATTGTGGCAGTCTCTACCTATAAGGTTTCTACTGAAAAGTCTGCTGCCACACTTATTGGACTTCCGTAGTATGTTATTTGTTTCTTTTTTTCTTGCTGCTTTTAGGATCTTTTCTTTATCTTTGACCTCTGGGAGTTTGATTATTAAATTCCTTGAGGTAGTCTTCTTTGGGTTAAATCTGCTTGGTGTTCTATAACCTTCTTTTTCTTAAATATTGATATCTTTCTCTAGATTTGGGAAGTTCTCTGACATTATTTCCTTAAATAAACTTTCTACTCCTATCTCTTTGTTTACCTCCTCTTTAAGGCGAATAACCCTTAGATTTACCCATATAGGGCTATTTTCTATTCTGTAAGTGTGCTTCATTCTTTTTTATACTTTTTTCTTCTGTTTCCTCTGACTGTGTATTTTCAAATAGCCTGTCTTCAAGCTTACTGATGCTTTATTCTGGTTGATCAATTATCTTATTATGAGTCTCTGATGCATTCTTCAGTATGTCAATTGCATTTTTAAACTTCAGAATTTCTGCTTGATTTTTTCTAATTATTTCAATTTCTTTGTTAAATTTATCTGATAGAACTGTGAATTCCTTCTCTGTATTATATTGAATTTGAGTTTCCTCAAAACACCTATTTTGAATTCTCTTTCTAAAAGGTCACATATCTCTGTGTCTCTGGGATTGGTCCTTGGTGCCTTCTTTAGTTCAATTTGTGAGGTCATGTTTTCCTGGATGGTGTTGATGCTTGCAGATGTTATTCAGTGTCTGGGCATTGAAGATACAGATATTTATT
Organism: Homo sapiens; assembly: GCF_000001405.40. Lineage (NCBI taxonomy): Eukaryota > Metazoa > Chordata > Mammalia > Primates > Hominidae > Homo > Homo sapiens. The sequence continues at coordinate 115,998,340 of NC_000002.12, forward strand.
GTAGTCTTCGCAGTTTAGGATTGTTTATATTCATCCTTCTTAGAAAAGCTTTCCAGGTATTCAGAGTCTCTTTGGTGTTATGATCTAAATTTTTGGTCACTGAAGCCATATCTGCATTTGTGTCATCTCGATCCCAGTAACACTGTTGACTCTGACAGACTTGTAGAGGTACTTCCTTGGTGGTACCTCTTGGTGGATAAGATCTGGTAGAAATCTTTGAATTACCTAGCAGAGATTTCTGGTCTCTTCCTTTAATTTTTTCCAAAGAAAAGTCTCTTTCTCTCTGCTGAGCTGCCTGGGGCAGGGGGAAGGGTGACACAAGCCTGGGCAACATGATGAAAGCCCGTCAAAAATTACACAATTAGCTGGGTGTGGTGGCACATGCCTGTAGTCTCAACTACTTGGGGGGCTGAGGCAGGAGAATCATTTGAACCTGGGAGGTTGAGGCTTCAGTGAGCCAAGATGGCACCACTGCTCTCCACTCTGGGTGACAAAGTGAGACTCTGTCTCAAAAAAAAAAGAAAAAGAAGAATTAAAAAAAAAAGAAATGCAAATTCTCTGACCTCATTGCAGACCCAGTGTATTAGTTTCCTAGCGCTGCCATAACTAATTACCCAAAACACAGAGGAAACTAGAAGTCCACAATTAAGGTATCAGCAGGAGTCTTTGTTCTGAAGCCTCTGAAGGAGAAAACTTCCCATGCCTTTCTCCTAGTTTCTGGTGGTTACTGGCATTATTTCTTTTTTTTCCACACTCCTTGGCTTGCAAACACATTACTACAATCAATGCTTTGTCTTTACATGGCTTTCTTCTCTGTGTTTCTCCTCTGTTTTCATATCTCAAGTATCCCCCTTCTTTCTCTAATAAGGACACCAGTCATTGGATTTTGGCCCCACCCTAATTCAGGATGACGTCATCCTGAAGGCCTTATTTTAATTATGCTTGCAAAGATTCTTATTCTAAATTAGGGAACATTCTGAGGTCTGGGGTGGACATGAATTTTTGGAGGATAAAAATTCCTCCCATTTAACCCACGACACATACAAAACCGGAAGCTCTGCTGGTGGAGTCTAGTAATCTTTTACCGAAGTTTCCAAATGATTCCGGTGCATACAAAACTTGGCAAACCACTGATACACAGTGTATGGCCCTGTCTTAATCCATCTGTGCTACTATAACAATAACTAGACTAGGTAATTGATGAAGAACAGAAATGTATTTGCCACTGTTCTAGAGACTGGAAAGTCCAAAATGAAAGTGTCAGCATTTGCTGAGGGCCTTTTTGCTGCATCTTAACATGGTGGAAGGCAGAAGGGCAAGAGAGCAAACCTTTCACAAGGTCTTTTCATAAAGGTGTTAATCCGTTCACAAGGGCAGAGGCTTTGTGATCTAAACACCTCCCATCAGGTCCCACCTTTCAACACTGTTGAATTGGTGACTACATTTCAAACATATGAATTTTGGAGGGGACAAAAGCATTCAAACCATAGTATTCCTTTGATAAGAAGTACAGTAACAAAATGTTACTACATTTTGTTATAGTCCCAACATAAATATCAATAAAAATTCTGTTTTGTTCACAAAAGAACCCCCACTTGAATATTAACTTATCATCCTTACAATGACATGTCAAACTATTAGAATATTCACAAACTGAGCAAATTTTACAAGATGAGGAGCCTAAGTGTGGGTAGGGACTGCAAGTAACAGTTGACAGACGACTTATAATATCTCACTGACTTGTTAAAATAGATACACACATAATTGAGGAATCTGCCCATCCTTTATTCTGCCTTTTCCTTTGGGGAGAAACCCTTGGGCAATAAAGTTGAAATTTTTTCTGAGACTCGCTGGGTAGAAATTTATGCCCAAGTACGTCTAAAATGTCAGTGGTGAAATGTATGAACAGAGAAAGTTTTAATGCTCTTACAAGCTAGGTAGAAAATTTAAGATAGGGAATTGCATCAAGCCTGAAAAATGGCCTAGGAAACTGAATAAATAAGAAATTTACAAATGGCCTTTCCAGTAACCAAAAACTGCATCTAAGGAGATTGTATTTTTTCATCTATCTGTACATACAATTATTTCTATCGTTGACGTGTTCTGCAATGTTAGAGAAAACCTAGGAAATATTTTCTGTGCCATCCCCACATGAATGAATAGAGAGTTAATTGAAGACCAGCAGGCTACTACTTCCTCTTCTCTGTTTAACTTCAGAATAAGAAATCCTTCTTCAAACCTGTGTTGTGAGACTTCACTTATTTTTAGTTTTACTATTGTCCTAATCATTCCAAAAGGAATGATAATTTTAGTTTTGCATATCTTTAAGAAATAAATACCTCTGTGCATTGCCTGTGTTCCCTGTAAGCAATTCTCTAGCCAGAAGAGAGAGAAAACTGAAACATCAGGAAAATACAAAATGACAGAAAGCATAGTTATTTCTCCTTTTCTCTTTCCAGTATTTTATTATTTAGGATGATTATCTTCTGTATTAAATTTGTAACTTTTTAACCAAGGTATGAGATTTTTTTGTACAAGTAAGAAATAATAAGAAATAAATAAGTTTTTTGTAAAATAAGAAAAAAAAGCTAGAATTACAACTTTCTTAATGTTTTGAATATGCAGGCTTCATGTAAATTAATTAAATATTAACCATTTTCAACCATTTATTGAACATGCTGTGTGAGGCTTTCTTGATCCTTGGTAAGAAAAACTCATTTTATACTTATGTATACAGTATGTATGCTTATTTAAGGTGTATGAAATATGAGTATGTGAATTATAGCAGTTTAGTATGTGAAAGATGTCACTTTAAGAGTGCTATTCCAGAATTGTGTGATTTTTTTTCATTTTGACATAAAACTATCATACCATAAAGACGGCAAACATTTCAGAACAAGCAGACCAGAAAAAAATGAAGGGAATGGGAGAGAGAGGAGGAAGGGAGGGAGGGAAGGAGGAAAAGAGGGAGGGAGGGAGAGCCTGAAGAAAAAGAGTAAATAATTTAAACATTAAATTAAAAATGTTTGAAAAATAAATCATAAAGTGTAAATAAGTGAAATAATAGAATTAATTAAAAAAAGACCATACCACATTTGAAAAAAAAGATATTAATAATATAAATCAAATTGTGTTCTATTTGAAAACAATAGACTCTAGACTAATCAGGAGAAGAAAAGGAAGAAAGCACAGAAACAAAAGATTAGGGAGGAAATGAAAAAGAGCCAAAGATACAAAGGAAATTAAAAAATTAAACAATTCACCACTTTCTTCAGATCAGTTCAAAAGCTGAATATAATAGATGAGATTCCAGGAAAATACAAATTGCTAAATTTAACAGATGAAGTAACAGAAAACATAAACAGATCAATTGCCTGAGACAAACCTGTTCAAAAAGAAAACCACCTCCTCCTCACTACTGCATCTCTAATACTGGGCAAAATGCCACAAACCAGAGGTTTTTACAGGTAAGTTTTATGAATATTTCAAGGAATTGATCAAGTTGTTGCTATTTAAACTGGTTAAGAGCACTGAAAGCAAAGGAAATATTCTAAAATATTTTAAAAATCAAACATCTTTGATATCAATAGTAGACATTTTAGTACAAAGAAAGAAAACTAATTTTAACATATTGATTTTAAAGTGACACAAAAAAATGAACTCGAGCAAAACAAAAACAAGAAAACAACAATTAGGAAATGCAGTAGAAAACCAGGGTTTGTTTCTAGAAAAAAAGAAGGATTTAATATGGAGAAATATGTGCATATAACCTATATTATATTATAAGACATACACTAACAAAATGTATACATAGAACTACTATAAAAATATATAGCAAAGCTAGATTGATGGTCACGGCATATTGAAAAATATTTTTTACCCTTTTTTTTAGGTTCGGGGTACATGTGAAGGTTTGTTACATAGGTAAACTTGTGTCTCGGGGGTTTGTTGTACAGATTATTTCATCACCCAGGTATCAAGCCCAGTACTCAATAGTTATCTTTTCTGCTCCCCTCCCTCCTCCCGGTGTCCAGCCTCAGGGAGATCACAGTGTCTTTTATTCCCTTCTTTGTGTTCACGAGTTTTCATCATTTAGTTCCCACTTATAAGTGAGAACATGTGATGTTTGGGTTTCTGTTCCTGCTCTGCTGAGGATAATGGCCTCCAGCTCCATCTATGCTCCTGCAAAAGACCTGATCTCATTCTTTTTTTTTTTTTTTTTGTGGCCACATAGTGTTCCATGGTGTATATGTGCCACAATTTTTAATCTAGTTTGCCATTGATGGGCATTTAGGCTCATTAAATGTGTTTGCTATTATGAATAGTGCTGCAGTGAACGTTCATGTGCATGTGTCTTTATGGTAGAATGATTTATATTTCTCTGGGTATATACCCAGTAATGGGATTGCTGAGTTGAATGGCAGTTCTGCTTTTAGCTCTTTGAGAAATCACTATACTGTCTTCCATAATAGTTGAACTAATTTACACTCCCACCAACAGTGTATGAATGTTCCCTTTTCTCCACAACCTTGCCAACATTTATTAATTGACTTTTTTTTTTTTTTTTGAGACAGGGTCTGGCTCTGTTGCCCAGGCTGGAGTACAGCAGTGTAATATTGGCTCATTGCAGCCTCAACCTCCCAGACCTAAGTAATCCTCCCATCTCAGCCTTTCAAGTAGCTGGGTCTACCAGCGTATGCCACCACACCTGGCTAATTTTGTATTTTTTTTGAAGAGATTGGGTTTCCCTATGTTTCCTAGGCTGGTCTTGAACTCCTCAGCTCAATAGATGTGCCTGTCTTGGCCTCCCAAGGTGCTGGATTACAGGCATCAGCCACTGTGTATGGTCTTGCCTTTTTAATAATACCTATTCTCACCAGTGTGAGATGGTACCTCATTGTGATTTTGATTTGCATTTTTCTAATGATTAATGATATTGAACTTTTTTTTTTTCTTCAGAGATGGAGTCTTGCTCTGCCACCCAGGCTGGAGTGCAGTGGTGTGATCTCAGCTCACTGCAACCTCCGCCTCCCAGGTTCAAGCGATTCTCCTGCCTCGGCCTCCAGAGTAGCTGGGATTACAGGCGCATGTCACTACACCTGGCTAATTTTTGTATTTTTAGTAGAGACAGGGTTTTGCCATGTTGGCCAGGCTGGTCTCAAACTCCTGACCTCGTGATCCACCTGCCTCACCTTCCCAAGATATTGAGCTTTTTTTCATGTGCTTGTTGGCCACATGTATGTCTTCCTTTGAAAAGTGTCTGCTCATGTCCTTTGCCTACTTTTTAATGGGGTTGAAAATTTTTTTATTATAATCACTTAACTTTAAATAAAATAGTATTAGATTGATGCAAATGAGATTGTGTTTTTTGTCACAAAAAGTAATGGCAAAAACCACATTAACTTATGTGCCAACCTAACAATTGATGGATGCTTCCATTGTGTTACCAAGCATAGGCTCAGCTGCTCAGCACTTGCAATGCCAATGACAAGGATGAAGCGCCATGAAAGGAGAGTGATTTTACTTACCAAAGCTAGCAGTGGGGGAGTGGTCTAGGCTCCTGCCTTAAACCATTTCAGAGTTCTGGGTTGAGTGTAGGTACTTAAAAAGGGGAAACACAGTAGGAGGGGCATGTAAGAGTAGCGAGGAGGTGTTGGTCTACATGGCTTGTTCTGATGACTTACCTTGAGTTATTACCCCACATGGTGAATAGGCTGGTGCCATCTTGGCAATGAGTAATCTTTTTTTTTTCTTTTTTTTTGTTTTTGTTTTGAGATGGAGTCTCACTCTGTCACCAAGCTAGAGTGCAGTGGTGCGATCTCGGCTCACTGAAACCTCTGCCTCCTGGGTTCAAGCAATTCTCCTGCCTCAGCCTCCCAAGTAGCTGGGACCACAAGCGTGCGCCACCATGCCCAGCTAATTTTTGTATTTTTAGTAGAGATAGGGTTTCACCATGTTGGCCAGGATGGTCCTGATCTCTTGACCTTGTGATCTGCCTGCCTCGGCCTCCCAGAGTGCTGGGATTACAGGTGTGAGCCACCACGCCCGGCCAGTTATAAGTAATGTTTAGAAGATTACTCAGGAAAGAAAATTCCACTGCTGCCTGGACTGTTACAAGATTTAATCTCTGAAACTTATAAGGAATAATTAAATAAGGAAAACATTGTGCAAAGGAGTACCTAGTGGAAAGAAAGAACATAAAGGATACTATTTTATCATTAACAAGAATCAGGTACCAAAGAGGAGGGGAAGGAAAAGAAAGAAAAAGAAGAAGAAAAAAAAAACCTTAAAAATAGGATACTTGTTTACGACTGTAGTACTTAATAGCAGAACACTGGAATATTTGTCACTACATTCAGAAGATGGTCTATTGCCACCATTGCTATTATTTAACTTTTTTCTAGAAGTACTAATCAGTGTAAACAAACAACAAATTTATATTTATATGTATAAAACATTTTTGTTAAGAGGCAAAATTTTTATTTTAAAAATGATGAGATCATATAACTGGAATAACTAAGTATGTCAATTTAACACTGTCAGGAACTAAATAAACTCATTTGTATAGGAACAAAATTATTATACTTAGCTTTCTTATTTATAAATAATGACCTCTTAGAACTAGAGACCTCTATGTTTATAATAGTAAACAAATGTAAATAAATTATATAAATAAACTTAATAAGACACCTAGAAAAAAAAACATAAACACCCATCAGTGGTTCATTACTGTGTAACTAACCACCTCAAAACTTAATGGCTTAATAAAACAATAACATATTTGCTCCTGTTTGTTTTTTTGGCAGTTTGGGTCCTGCTCAGCTGGAGCAGCTCAACTCTGCTCCATGTGGTGTTGGCTTCTTCTAGGTCTCTCTATGGTCTCTCATCCTCCAGGATGCTAGCCTGGACTTGTTTGCATGTGGCAGCAGTATTCCAAGAGGCTCAGAGTGAAGTGGCAAGGCTATTTTAGGCCTAGAATTTGCCAATTGAACTTTAAGTCACAAGCCACCTAGATTCAAGGGTTTGGAAAATCAACCATATTTCTATACAGGAGAAGCTATGAATAGTTTGTTATTTTTAATTTAATATAATAACAAATGAAGATAAAACTCCTAAATTGTTTTTAGTCAATAAGAATAAATGGTGTAAACATCTTAATTTATTCCAATTTAATCTATGAAGTTAGTATGATTAATAAAATAATGGTTGATTGTTTTGTTTCTTTGATACTTAAATCGATTTTAAACCTCCGATATGAAGACATATAAGAGTAGGAATAACTAATAATTATAAAAATAGAAATAAATAATGATAAATACAAATGATAATTAAGAATACTGTTTCTATGGCTGGGCGTGGTGGCTCACTCCTGTAATCCCAGCACTTTGGGAGGCCTAGGTGGGCGGATCACCTGATGTCAGGAGTTTGAGACCAGCTTAGCCAACATGGTGAAACCCCGTCTTTGCAAAAACACACAAAAAATTAGCCAGGCATGATGGCACGTGCCTGTAATCCCAGCTACTCAGGAGGCTGAGGCAGGAGAATCACTTGAACCTGGGAGGCGGAGGTTGCAGTGAGCCGAGATCATGCCATTGCACTCCAGCCTGGGTGACAGAGCAAGACTCCATCTCAAAAATAAAATAAAATAACATAAAGTAAAATAAAATAAAATACTATTTATATTAAAACACATTACAAATATATAGTAATAAAAACTTTTGATCTTAGCACAGAGTCAGCAAGCAGATATATGAAACAGGTAAAGATTTCATAAAATACATTAAAATAAAGCTGCCATTTAAAATTAATGAGAAAGCTATATATTAATAAACAGTAGTTAGACAACTGAAACCCAAGTAAAAATAATGCTGGACCTTGAAAATATTCATTATATCACACTCTCAAAATAAAACTAGAGGACAACATGAAGGGATTTATTTTATAATCTTGGAGTAGAAAAGGGTTTTTCTAGAAAAAAAATCCAGAATCCATAAAAAAAGACAGTTTATAAATTTGTGATTATATAAAAATTTTAAATGTATGTATGAAAAAAGGAATATAAGAAATAAGTCACAATACTAAAGTCAAACTGAGAGATACATAAAGAGAAACTAAGAATCGGCAAGAAAAATACCAGAAACCCAATAGGAAATAGAATAGACCAAGGATATGAATATGGAGGTAGAAATACTTTAGGTAAAATATAGTATAAATGTATGAAATAATTCACTCACAATTGGAATAAACTCACCCCAAAATAAAGTATATTAAACTCTCATATCAACATACTAGCAAAAATAAATCAACAATAGCCAGGTGCAGTGACTCACACCTGTAATCCCAGCACTTTGGGAACCCGAGCTTAAGCAGATTGCTTGAGCCCCAGAGTTTAGTGAACAGTCTGGGAAACGTGGCAAAACCACATCTCTACAAAAATTGAAAAAGAAAAAGAAATACAAAAATTAGCTGGGCGAGGTGGTGCGAGCCCCTGTAATCTTAGCTACTCAGGAGGCTGAGATGGGACAATCACCTGAGTCCAAGAAGTCGAGGCTGCAGTGAGTGGAGATCACTGGGCGTAGGAGTGAGACTATTTCTCAAAACAAACAAACAACCCAAGGTATCCAATAATGATAAAAGTACTCTTTATTTCTTAATTCTGCTTCCTTTTTTAAAAACTTATTCTCAGATGCTCTCTACTAGTTAGAACCTATCAGTTCCACACTTACATCCTACTCTAAAAACATTGGTGGAAACAAAACATCTTTTTTTCTAATTATATTAGCAAAAGTCCTAATCATGATTATCACTGGACCAGGGTGGTCATGTGACCACTGCTGCTATAATTGCTGTGTTAATGTGGTGGAACCCTTATGGAACTATTGCGACTCCAATGTTATCCAAGCCACATGGAGACCTGTAGAATGAGATTGTTTCCAAGAAAAATGAAGTCTTCGTTACAGATGAAGTTTCAGGCTTCTCTGAGAAAAATATTAAGGCTAGTTGAGTCCTCTTGTTTTCCTGCAAAGAGGACTGGTCCACTGAATTCACCACAGCACTCAAACCATGTTGCACAAAGAGACAGGATAACAGGAAGGAAAGAGTAGCACTGGAGTTATGCTCGCAAACTGCTCTATCCTAGATTACTGCTGACTTGGGACAAGTCTGTTATTTCGTTTGATCTCAGGTTTCCCCACTTGTTTAAAATGGAGATAATGATATGTATCTCATAGCATCACTGAATGAAGTTTGAATGGAAATGATTCATATTTCTGGAATCATAGCGTTTGCTTCATATTTGTTATTTCCACTTCCCATTCCCCTTACATATGCCTAGTCTGTGCTCTTAAGCGCCCCATGCTATTCTGACCTTTTTCTTAACTTGGAGTGCTTGCTGACATGCTCGCTTTCCATTTTCTATCCCAGCAGTTGTTTTTATTGGAAATACTTTTGAATTTTTATTTTCCAAAATAAAAGTTCATGCCACACCAGGCAACTTCACCGTGGACAGCCTCTGTACTCTGTACAAAGGATAATGAACAAAGAATTCCTGAGACCAGATCCATAGATACCTGAGAGAGTTGAGCCCCTGTGGCTGACAGTGTATTAGGTCAGTATTGACTGTGACCCATGTTGAATGGGTAGATAGCAGTTGAGATTTAATATTGTCCTTTGCAAATGACCTGTGGTAGCCATAATCCTGAAAACAATAGTGGACAAATCTGATGACTATCCTCCTAGTGGATGAAGGCAAAGTATCCTGAATTTAGGGGTTATCTGGCTACAGAAGTCCAAGGGGTCCGAGAAGAGATGTGCTGGCCCAACTAATGAGTACTAATGAAGAAAGGGGCTGAGATTTAACTACAAACTGTTTTGGAATATGCAATTGATTATTGTAACAACACAGAAACCCCGTAAACATATTTTCATTAAGTATAGAGAACGGAAGTCAACATCTTTTCTGTTATCATGCTAACCAATTCTAGGAGAAAGCATATTTTCATGCTTTTGTGCTAAAGTAGTCTGGATCAGGCAACAATAATTTAGCTGCTTGTTCCAAGAAATTCTTGTTCTTGTGAACCAACTAAACAGCTTAGTTAATAGTTTTCCTCATTAAGAATCACTTGTAAGAACCTCACTTCACTTCACTGCAACCATTAATTCAAAGTTACTAGGTCATATGCTTTGCTTTCTTAAACGGTTTCCTGCCTTACAAGTCTTACCTTAAAATCACCCAGCCCAGCCCATGCACCCTGTAAAGACCAGTTTCCAGTTATCCCATTTTGAGATATTATTGGGAATCAGTGAAGGTGATGGTCTCTTCTGTGGCATAATTTTGCTTGAACAAAGATTTTGCTGGAAGTCTCTTGGGAAGTGACAATTATTATCAATAAATACATAGTGGGCAATATGTCAGAAGAAACCAGATGTTAAAATCAAGGTTGGCAGTTAACTTTCCGATGGCTGCTACACGTCATTACGTTTACTTAAATGATAATACTTTTTAAAGCCACAGTCATTTGATACGCTCTTTTCTATCTATGAATGAAGAAATTGACATCCAAGGATGTTAAGAGTCGTCAACATTGATACATGTTAAAAGAAATTAAATTAAAGAGAAAGCCAGAACTAGAATGATTTCCCAACAGTTCAACTTAGTTATTCTATTAAAATAATGCCTATCTCTGAAGATCCCTTTATCTAGCATCTATCTATCTATCTATCTATCTATCTATCTATCTATCTATGTCTGTCTGTCTGTATGTATATATTTTCATAGTATAAACACATTTTAAAGTATAAGTCTCCAAATTATGCTATGAAATTATGAAATTGTATATGTTGTTTGAAGCACTTTTAAAATGGTACAACAGATAAAAATGTTACCAAAATACAATCCATTTATTTTAGGGATTTGGGTACAATTCTGGAGTGCAATTTTCCAAACTTACAATAAGAATGACTTAGAATTCATATTAAAATTATAAATGTGTGGCTCCTCTTTGATCTACTGAATATTTTTATAAGAGGTGCCTAAGAATTTGCTGTTTTATCAACTTGTCAGATTTTTTAAAATCTAAGGTAAGTGTGGGAAATGACGTATTCTAGGACTTTGGCTCACATATGTAGTTGCTCTTTTGAATCACCTGAGAAGCGTTTAAAATATACCAATGCCTGGCCATACCCTAGACCAATTAAAATATTTTTGGGAGAGAACCAAGCATGTATTTGTTGATATTGTACCAAGTTATGCTAATGTGCATAGGGCTGAGACCCAGCATATCAAACCAGAGCTTCTCATTTATGTACATACATATCTTAGTAAAACACACATCCTATTTCAGTGGATCTGCAGTGGGGTCTGAGATTCTGAATTTCTAACAAATTCCCAGGTGAGGCTGATGCTGCTTTTTGCAGACCATACAAAGGGTGTAGCAAGCAATTAGAACAATGATTCTCTAAGTTATGGTCTCTAGACCAGCAGCATCAGCATCCCCTGGGAACTTGTGAAAATAGAAGTCCCTGGGCCCCCACCCTAACCTATGCAATCAGAACCTCCAGGTCTCTGGCCTTGCCTTTATGACACCCCCCTCCCGCATGCCCTCATAGCAACAGAAGATTCACTGTCATTTATTTGACACAATGAGCTTCCACCAATAATTTTGTTTGAGTAAGAAGTTCTGAGAATAACAATTAATATATAAAATTAGTTATGTTGGTAGATAATTGAAAACCTCACATTTACAGGAAAATTATGAATTTGTAATCAGAAAACCAAATTTAAAATTGTAGCTCAATTTCCTCTTAGTTTTGTGAACTTGGGTGAATCATGTAACCCTGAGCTTCAGATTTTTAACTAAAAAAAAAAAAATGTTAAAATGAGCACTTTCCTTACCCATTTTACATGTTAGCTGTGAGGAACCAAGATGTTATTATTATAGATAGCAGAAATATGTACCTGGTGATGATGAATGAGGTGGATAAAGAAATATAAATCTTAAACTTGGTTCCGGCTGCACAGAATGTTTAAATTATTAGTGAAGTAACAAACACTAAGAAAGCAAAAAGTTGTCAGAAAGATCAAAAGAAAGGATAGTAACATTTACTGAAGACTCATTTGGTGCTTTAAATATGACATTTCATTTTTCTACCATACTAATAAATTCCAAGTGAGGAAATTAAGATAGCACAGAAAATAAAGTTAATAACCTTTGGAGCCACATTAAAGGGCTTTTGCATCAGAAGACCTAAGTTTGAGTGATACTCTGTTGCTGGCTATGGACCATTGATTAAAACTCTCTTACTCAATATGTCTTCAGCAGCATAGAAATAACATGTGCCCTATAAGATACTTGGTATCCAGAAATTTAAAAACGATGAGAAATTGCTCTAAAAATGTCAAAGATTTTAACTATGTAACTCATTATGTAAAATAACACATAAGATGTATAGACTTTAATAATTTTAACATTTTGCTAAATTTGCTTCAATTTCTCTGAATTATACATATAGCAAAGGTATACTGAATGGTAGAATATTTACACATATTCAAACTTTATTTCCATTTAAGTTATTTTTTATCAATGTTATCTATTCAATAAATGTTTAGGGGATTGAGTACAATCGTTGAATTTTGTCTCATTGCTATGTCATTTTCATTTTACAGAAGGGAATTCATCTACCTAGTGCTGATTTTATTGGTAACTTTTATGTTTCTATCATATTTTATATATCTTGAGTTTCATTTTACTGGCCTTTGAGGGAAGACTCTCTACTTCTCTCTCCATCTGCTTTTCATGCTTTTGGGGTTTTGCAGTTTTTTCCACCCAGCATCCCGAGGCTCCCAGTTGAGAACTGAGAGTCATGTGTATGGCTCAGTTCCTACTCCATGTTGGCTCTGCTGCTGTTACTAACGCAGTGGCCAAGCCTGCATTTGTGCCTCTGTCCTTTTTCAGCTTTTTTATCTTGATAACAAAAGGTCCTTTATCATGTCTTGCTTTTAACACAACAATCCTGTCTCCGTTTTTTCACCTTTTCTGGGGAGCTTTTTCCTTGTAATGCCATCTGACTCAAATTCTCAACTGTTCCTTCCTGCTTAGAAATCTAGAGCCCATTTCACCACAGCCTCACCAGCATTGTGGAAGACAGTGTGGCGATTCCTCAAGGATCTACAACTAGAAATACCATTTGACCCAGCAATCCCATTACTGGATATATACCCAAAGGATTATAAATCATTCTACTGTAAAGACACATTCACACGTATATTTATTGCAGCACTACAATAGCAAAGACTTGAAACCAACCTAAATGCCCATCGATGATAGACTGGATAAAGAAAATGTGGCACGTATACACCATGGAATACTATGCAGCCATATACAAGAATGAGATCATGTCCTTTGCAGGGGCATGGATGAAGCTGGAAGCCATCACCCTCAACAAACTAATACAGGAAGAGAAAACCAAACACTGTGTGTTCTCACTCATAAGTGGGAGTTGAACAATGAGAACACATGGATACAGGGAGGGAAACATCACATACTGGGGCCTGTTGGGGAAGGGCAGGTGGCAAGGGATGGGAGTGCATTAAGACAAATACTTAATGCATGTGGGGCTTAAAACCTAGATGACAGATTGATAGGTGCAGCAAACCACCATGGCACATGTATACCTATGTAACAAACCTGGACATTATGCACGTGTATCCCAGAAGTTAGTATAATAAAATTAAAAAAGAAAAAAGAAATCTAGAGCCCAGAGAGAGTGGCTTCAGTTCTGCTGTTTTGTTTTCTAGTTGTCAGGTATTTGATTTTATACATGGCTAGATCTTTTTAAATGTGTCTTTTATCTATTATATTTTCAGTGAAGAAGAATTGCCTCAGATTATAACTTTTAATGCCAGCTTAATCAGAACTCTGGTATGGAATTTATGATCTGAATGTTAGAGATATCCAGATCCAAGTGAAGAAAGACTCATGAAAAAGGTCTTCCTGATAGTACCCAAGTAGACAAAATCAGATCATTATGTTAATTATGAATGATCACATTAATGCCTGCATTTGTGCCCTGCATGTACTGAAGCATTACATGCCCAGCCTCAGTGAGGCAGAGGATGACCCTGTCTTTCCCTCTTCTTTTATTGTTTGCCACTTCATTACTTTCCTTATCTGTTGGACCCTGGGGAAGTGAGCTTGTTTGGTCTTCACAGTGCCTTTAAATTGGCCATTTTTCAGTTGAATTTTCCCCCAGCTGGCTGTGACGGAATCAGATCAACCTTTTGCAACTTGATGGATTGTTCTATGTTCTGTCATCGAGAAGGCTGAAAAAAAGAGTGACAGCAAAGTTGACAATCTGTAGGCTTTTCCTAAAGATATGTTCACTTACTGTATTCCCTGTCTGTAAAAACTTACTCTCACTAAGGTATACAATACTTTAAAAACATCAATTAAAAGCACTAAGAGTTTTGATCATCTTTTCAATTTAATGGGTTTAACTTTTAGACAATAATTAGGTAAAATTACATTGTCATATTACCTCCTGGTTTTGTATCCATGGAGACACAGAACTCTTCAACCAGTGGAAAGTTATCCTAAATAATATGCCAAGGTGGCTCTAGCATGAAAAATTCCATTTAAAAAAAAAAACTAAATGGTTTATTCTGAGCATTATTGCTAAGTTTCTGGTAATATCTTTGTGAAAGTTCAAAATATAGATAGATTTATAATTTCTAAGGGTATTAAAATGATCTAAAAGAGGTTATAAATCATTACAATACAGTTTATCCAAACAAATAGAATATGTTTAAATAAAAGTAAATATAAAGAACTGTGTTTTTTTTCCTAAGGATGCACTTTTCTTTTAAATTGTCAACTTGAAAAAATAACTGTCAATTAGGTAAGTGGCAGGTTAATCGGTGTATAGATTAACAGTGATTAAAAATAGTAATTGCATGTTTTGATTGATTGATTGATTGAGATGGAGTTTTGCTCTGTTGCCCAGGCTGGAGTGCAGTGATGTGATCTTGGCTCACTGCAACCTCCTCCCAGGTTCAAGCAATTCTTGTGCCTCAGCCTCCTGAGTAGCTGGGATTACAGGCATGCACCACCACACCTGGCTAATTTTTGTATTTTAAGTAGAGACAGGGTTTCATCATGTTGGTCAGGCTGGTCTTGATCTCCCGACCTCAGGTGATCCACCTGCCTCAGCCTCCCAAATAGCTGGAATAACAGGTGGGTGCCACCACTCCCAGCCAACTCTTTTTTTTTTTTTTTAAGTAGAAAGGGGGTTTCACCATGTTGGTCAGGTTGGTCTTGAACTCCTGACCTCAAGTGATCTGCTTGCCTCGGCATCCCAAATTGCTGGAATTACAGGAGTGAGCCACCATGCCCAGCCACATGTTATATTTTAAAAAGGAATGAAGTATTAAATTTGACTTTTTTCTTAAGACTATTGGTGAAGACCAGATCTTTAATGAAGGGGTGATCAAGAGATTGTTAAGCCAGCTTTGCAACTCTTATTTCATTCTGCTTCTAGATAGATTCCAGCAATAAGAAATTCTTTGGAAAGTACAATCAATATGCTGTGTGCTTCCAGGGATGATGGGGCTGGAGTTCTTTTCTCCTCACTTCCAGCCAGTTAAATTTGGGCTTTTATCTGACTCACTTCTGAAATAGCTCCTGATTACAGAGAGGAAGAAATGAGCCAGAATGATGTCAATTTGTTCTCTGAAGACATGAGCTAGCATCCTGTTTTTCCTGGTTTGAGCACTGTCCAAATAAAAGGGTTTTATCTTAGAAGTCACCGGACTCAAGAAGAGTATGTGGAGGAGTGAATCTTCTCCAAAAGAGAGTTTCCTGAGCCTGTAGTGAAGGGGTTGTCACACACCATCACCTGAAGTGGGCATCACTCATGCCCGGTAACCACAAGAAATAATAATGTCTTTGTAATGGTAGGGGGGTTGAAGATCCCACAAAAACCTCCCATGAGTGAAAGCATTGGAACCACTTGCTATCCTAATTATACCAATTCCACATTACAGCTCTACCAGTGAAATCGTTTCTAAACTTAACTCCCTCTCCACCTCTTACCTAATTTTGAAAAAGCGAAATTCAGTAGAGTGAGGAAAGCTTTATGAGGAGTGCAAATAGATAGAAAGAGACGGAAGGACTGAAAGATACCTAATATTCATGAAGCACTTGGATATTAAGTATTTATGATACATACTAGATACTACATAGACAAGAGGCACTCAATGTTCAGAATATTCCAACTATAAGTGAGATATAAGAAGCACTGAAATTCATGAGGCCTTAATTTTGTCACTCAGTGGCGACACCCATTCTGGACCCATATGTCTTCTGTCCAAGCTGTTCATTAAGCTACAGCTATGGTCAAGCACACTTAAGAGTGTCATTGGTCCTGGCCATCTTCTGTCTGTAGTTTCCTTTGCTTGAACCTCAACTCTGGTCTGATAAAAATGTCATCAATGAGAAAGGTGATGTGGCTGAGAGACAGACAGAACATAGGACTATTGAAAACACAGGATTCAGGTAGCGTGTGGCCCTCCCAACCCACCTGTAGCCTGTCCTAAGTATATTCACTTACCCATCTCTTTCATGCTGCTTATCCTTGTGTTCTTTAAATAGATTTTAACACACCATGTTATTCAAGCATTTTAACTTCTCTGGGAAGTTTAACTTCTCTGGGAAGTTCTGTTCTGACCTTCAGGGTTGCTTGCATGGTAATTTAGTGTAGACCATCATTGCTCTCAGGAAATGTCCCATTTGATAGCTACTTATGCTATAGTGTAGCTTTCATTAAGGATTTGTAACAAAATACTTATTAGCTTATTTAGGTAATACTTGTCTTCCTTTGTAGACTATAAATACCATGAAGCCATGAAATATTTTTTCAGTGCCTCCTAGAATGCCCAGGACATACCACGCATCCAACAAATATTTGTTGACTACATTAGCAGGCAAACAGAAACTGTTTTTTTGTTTTGTTTTGTTTTTTGTTTTTGAGACGGTGTCTCGCTCTGTCGCCCAGGCTGGAGTGCAGTGGCTCGATCTCGGCTCACTGCAAGCTCCGCCTCCCGGGTTCACGTCATTCTCCTGCCTCAGTCTCCCGAGTAGCTGGGACTACAGGCGCCTGCCACTACGCCCGGCTAATTTTTTGTATTTTTAGTAGAGACGGGGTTTCACCGTGTTAGCCAGGATGGTCTCGATCTCCTGACCTCGTGATCCGCCTGCCTTGGCCTCCCAAAGTGCTGGGATTACAGGCGTGAGCCACCGCGCCCGGCCAGCAAACAGAAACTTATTAATACATATTTTAGACTTAAAAAACAATCGTGAAAATAATACAGAGCCTTCCCAAGAATTCTTCACTTAGCTTATACTAATGTTATCATCTTACACAGTCCAATTGTCAAAACTTAGAAATTAGCATTGGTGCACTGTTAACTATAAACTTGATTCACATGTTACCAAATTTCTATTAATGTTCTTTTTTTCCAGTTCAGAATCCAATCCAGGAAACCACATTGCATTAATTGTTGCATGTCTTCATATTCTTCTAAGGAGCTGGTGACAGTTCCTGAGTATTTTCTTGTCTTTCATAACCTTGACGTTTCGAAGAATGCTTTTCAGATATTTTGTAGACTATCTCTTGATTTGTGTGTGTCTGATGTTTTCCTGTAATTAGACTGAGGGCATACATTTTTGGTGATGTGCCACTTCTAATGTACCATATTTGATGATGTATGATATCAATTTCTTAGTGCTATTTATCGCTCATATGCATCAGAGTTATCTTAAATTACCTAACAGATATTTGCTACATCTGTGTCATATATGTGAATCTGGCTGTGATGATTGTTTTTTGTCTCAGGAGTCCATTGCTTTTTCTAGCCATATGTACTTTAATTTTATTACAAAAGGCAGATAGCTTGGGTAGCTGAGTTGAGACTTAGGTAGACAGATTTGACCCCTAGAATGGTAACACTCTTTCTTCTACTAGGCCTTAGGGCCCAGTTTTGAGTTAATATAATTAGAAATTGAGCTGGGTTTGAAGTTTGTTATTCCTGTGATTACCCTCTGTCTGTCACAGGTATTAAATTATCCAGAGGACACTTTGTGTTTAGTAATTTTTTATTCATTTTTTCAGTGTCTTCTCTACCCTCAGCTTTGGGGTTCTCCTTTGTGCTGCACCTCAGCAAGGGTCTGTCTCTGGCCAGTTACCTGTGAGGGGTTTGCTAGCCTGCTTAAGGGATTGGTGGGCACTGTGGGGAAATTTTCTGTTGTTTGGACCACAGTCTCAGTCCTAAATAAGCACCATATCTATGGGTCTTGAGGACATAGTCTTTTCAGTCTTCCCTCCCTTACAATTCTGAGTCTAGAAACTATTTTAGATCTTCCCCCAGAATTATAGAGACTTTTCCTGGTCATTTCCCCAGCTGCGATAGTTATAAACTGATAACCCCAGCTTCATAGTGTTTACTTTCTCCCTCCAAAGATTCATATTTTTGTTTCATACAGGAAACATAAGTTGCAGTTTCTACCTTAGTTTTCCCCCTCTCTTGAATCAGCTTCTATTTCCTCCTCCAGTTTTGGAACATGAGAGAGAATGTCTGATGACTCTCCTAATCTTTTCTAGGAACATCTTATGGTGTTTGTGGGGAAACAAGAGTCTGCAAGAGGATATATACCCCCAAATATTTGCATCTCCCAGGAACTTCACCCTCTCGCGGAGAATAATCAGCTGGCCTCCCCCAAGTCACCACATCTCTAGGTAAATATTTCTGACCTGCATCTTTACCAGGTAAGCCAAGGCACCTGCCTCTTCTGCCCCTAAAGACACATGACTTCCTTCTAACGCTGGGTTAGTTGGTTGCTCTGAAACCTCAGTATGTTCAAGAGAAGTTGTGAACAAGTGGCTTGCTTGGCTATTTCTTGAAAGTTTGGAAGCAGTGTTCTTTCTACCTTTTTGTATCTGCAGATGGAAACCAAAAGTTTAAATCACTGCCTTTACCCTCCTCAGACATAGATTTAAAGACGTTTTGCAATAGGAAACTTGGGTAGAGCAAGGATGAAACACTAAACTTTAAATTGTGTGGTATAGTAATAAGAACATATGACCTGAAGTCAGAAAACTTTGAGTTCAAATTTTCTTCCACATCACTTTCTTTTTTGAAATCTTGGTCAAATTTGGATCCAGGGTTGTCATTGATTACAAAGATGTACAATGATTACAAAGATGTAAGCTTCACACTGTCATTTCCACTAGTAATTACCAAATAAATGGCCTTTTTGGGGAGCAAGCAAATAATATTTTGGGTGAGTGGATGAATAAGGGAACCTGCCCCTTCCACCCTCAGTTGGAAGACTTCTGCATTTATCAGCTATGTGGTTACGACTTACCAGTAAGCTCCAACTTGAAGAAAGAATGCCTAGGAAAATGAAAACCAGTTGTATGGATGTAAAATATAAAATGTATACTGATTAAATGCTATTTTGTTTTAGATTTTTAAGAGAATTTAGCCTCATGTGGTCTTAACAAGGAAAGGCAAACCTAGGAACTTGAGTTTGTAGTAATGGAAATCTGAACAGAACTTTAAGGTTATCAAAGGAAAATGGAAGAAACAAGATTGAAAGCAAAGTTAGGAAGAGGTTGAAAATAGATGAATAACGTTGGTCTGGTAATTCTGAAGAGGATAGGACTTGGACTGAGAGGAGAAGTTTGAGAGATGCTTCTGCCACTTATATATTGGGTGGCCTTTAGTAAATTAATCTTTTGGAGGTAAGAATTCTCATTTTGAAAAAGTCATTGTAATCAGGTTCTTCTCTTTCATCTACTCTTTCAGCCTCTGTGCTGAATCCACCCATTACCATTTGCTGTTTCTTTGAACACAGATGCTTGTCTACATTTCCTGCCGATGTTCTCATTGCTCTAACTACCCAGAGTCAGGAACTAGATCTTTCTTATCGCTCCAGAATTTAGTACAGTCACACACAGAAGAGCGTAGATACTCAGGAATGTTTTTTAATGCATAAAAGAGGAAAGGAAGAAAGGAAAAATAAAAAGAGGTGTTATATCCATCTATTCATATCCAATGACCTGTCCAGATTCATCGTTAGGGCCACTCACGTGCAAGGTAAATGACACATATGAAACAAAATCTGTGGATAAGGAGCAGAATGATGAGTTGGGGGTAGAGCAAAGCGATAATAAAATAGGAGATTTGCCTTATTTACACAGACTTTAAATACGTGAGTTAAAAAGCCTAAACTTTCAGAGACAGAGAAAACAAATGTGGAAATACAGAAGAGTGTGATGTTGAGGCTGTCCACCCTAGCTGTGCCCTCCAAGTAGGTAATGTTCAGTACCAATCACTCTGCATTGACTTTTCACATAATATCCGTGGTCATAAATGTGGAGACAGTTAGCAGGCTGCTAAACAGCAGTACATTCCAGGCAACAGGTTAGTCAATGCTTTAATTTTTGGCTGCAATAGCATTCCATCAGGGAATTTACTATTAGAATTCTTTGACTTACTGTATTGATAACAAACTGCCCCTAAACCACTAACTCAGACCCCACCAACGTATTAGAGATACTCCAAGAAATATTCCCTTTCATCGTCACTTTAAAAACAAAGATTCTGTACTTATACAAAAATGTCCAGGTAATTTGAGCCAGCATTAAGACCTGCTAAGTCTAGCCTTAACGAACTTTTCCATCTGAAATTTCACCAATCCCTAACTTCTGTTCCATCAAGACACCCCTAACTCTTAATGAGCCATACACAAACTCTCTGTTCTAGAATCCTTCAGTTCTTACACGTATCAGTGAGTTTTACAGTTTCTGTTAACAGAAGGACTATTTTTTGTTGTGTAACTCTTATTGCAAAAGTGTGAAACGTAGATGTGGTAGGATAGCTCTGGAAGAATGGGAGGCATTGGGAGTAGGGTTGAGTTCTACCTTGATGCTGTTTTTACAGCAACTATTTCAAAGCCCATTGGAAAAAGAAAAAAAAATAATAATCAGAAAATCTGTGTCTAATTTTAGATTGAGAAAGCCGTGTGAGTTTCACCAACTGAGCTCACCTATCTCACTTAATTTTTTGAATACGCAAAATGAGGGAAAGGGACAAGGAGATTTCTAAGGTAATTTCTAGTCATAGAATTATTTAGAGTGGATATAATTTATTATATTGGTAATTTCCACGTTTATACATTAAAAATGGGTTTCTGCACCAAATACTTAGGCAAAATGTCTCTAAAAACATTTGTTGAGGCGCATGGGTTCATGTGGCTTAATGTTATAGAAAGAGACTGTTCTATTCATTTAGGGCATTGATTAGTTACTGACTTGACACAAGAAAAAAAAACCCTGTAATTAATAAAGAAATAGCTATTAATTCTACATCCTTAAGTAAAAAGTGCAACCAGATTCCCATTTATGTGTATGTTTTTTCTTTCCTTATTTGACACCATTTGATCAAAATATTTTATTGTTATGCCTCAGACTATTCAGCAGGCTCAAATAAATATTGGATTCCCCAGGTATAAAACGATTTTTACCCTTCAAAGGGACCTTGCCAGGTTCCAGCAACCTGCTCCTTAGGCAAAGGAAATGTCTTTTTCTGCACATAAATTTTGAGTTGATAGAAGCTAAATTGAAATGACATTTTAAAATTTAAAATTAGTTTTAATAAATCCAATATTGACCGTGTACTACTTGGGAGGAACTAATGCTTGAAAGATCAGAGATCAGTCCGTCCTTGGAGACACCTTGCTTTTTCAGTCAAAAAGGATATCTATTTATTTTGGTTTCTCAAATGTGAAATTGAGAATCAGAAATAACAAGTTGGTAAAAATAATATGCTTTTCTTTTTAACTTTTTCAAAGTACTCCTGTATGATGAAATCTAATTCTCAAAATTGTTAAAACTTTTAAAGTGAACTACAGTATAAAGTTAAGTGTACTAATCTTGTGTATGAGTTTTTAAAATGTATAAACATCTATAACGATCACCCTGATGAAAAAACATTAGCACAACAGAAGCTTTCCTTGTAGTTTCTTCTGGTAAACTCCTAACTCTTAAAGGTGATCTCTAATGAGACTTTTAACATCATAAATTAACAATGTCTTTTTGTGTACTTCACATTAAGAGTTATATAGTATGTGTTGC
Organism: Homo sapiens; assembly: GCF_000001405.40. Lineage (NCBI taxonomy): Eukaryota > Metazoa > Chordata > Mammalia > Primates > Hominidae > Homo > Homo sapiens. Next base: position 116,020,531 of record NC_000002.12, read on the forward strand.
TTTTCATCTGGTTTCTGTTACTCTATATTATGCCCATCCAATATATTTATATTGTTTTGTGTAGCAGAACTTTAAAATTTTTATTGCTGGGTTATAGTCTATTAATTAATAAAGCACTATTTATCCTACCATTGATAAGCAATTGGATTGTTGTTAGTTTGAAATTATTGTGAATAATGCCTCTATCAATGGTCATGTACATAAATTTTTAAAAAATATGAATAGATTCCTTATATGAAGTGAAATTGTGTGTGTTTAATTTTAGTGGTTACTACCAAAAATTTTCCAGAGTTAAGATTGTAATATTGATTTTATAAGCTCACCACCAGTGCCAACAGTAATACTATTATCCTATTATCAGTGCATTTAAAAAATATTTTTAATTTAAATATGTGCATAATTATATCTTCTTTGCTTAGTTTTAATTTCCTTAATGTAAGTTATATGATCATATTTTTGTGTTATTTTATATAACCTATCTCTTGAATATTTAAATTGTTAATTTTATCTTCCTTTCTAAAATTTCCAGAATTTCTTTCGTTTCCTGGAATTCTTTACATTTCCAGAATTTTTTTTTGTATCTTCTGAACATATTAAGCATAGTTATTTTAAAGTTTATTTCTCACAGCTCCAACATTTAGCTCACTATTAGATCTTTTCTCTGTTATTTACCTTGGATTTTTTTAGTCATTTGGTTTGTTTGTTGGCTTGCCTGTTAATCTTTCACTAAATACCAGATATTTTATGCTTTGAGTAATGCTCTTGTACTCCAGAGAGGGTTAAATTTTACTCTGGCAGGTAGATAAATACAAGTAAAACATCGTATTCCAGTGGAGTCTGTATTTCCAGTTACCCCTGGGCTGGCCTATTGTAGGCTGCCCTTATTTCTAGGGTAGAGTTCCCATTCATACTGTGTATTCTGGGGTCTCACTTGAAATTCTTCTTCTCTCCTTTCTTCTCTCCTCCTTTTCCTTCCTTTCCTTCCTTTCCTCCTTCTCTCCCTTCCTCCCTCCTTTCTTTTTTCTTTTTCTCTCTTTTTTTTTTTTTTTTTGTTGTTGAGACGGAGTCTTGTTCTGTTGCCCTGGCTGGAGTGCAATGGTGCGATCTCAGCTTACTGCAACCTTCCGCCTCCTGGGTTGAAGGGATTCTACTGCCTCAGCCTCCCAAGTAGTTGGGATTACAGGCGCCACCACGCCCAGCTAATTTTTCTATTTTGGGTAGAAAAGGGGTTTCACCACGTTGGCCATGCTGGTCTTGAACTCCTGACCTCAGGTAATCTGCCTGCCTCAGCCTCCAAAAGTGCTGGGATGACAGGCATGAGCCACCATGCCCAGCCTGTCTTTCTTTTTACCACCTTGACCCGTCCTGAATTCTAACTTCTTAGTATTGAGGCTGCCAAAATATCTTCTCAGCTTTTTAGCCCTTCGGGTATTGCTTTTTACTTTCTAGGAGTCTTACCTCGCACATAGAAAGTTTAAGGACTGGGCAATGCCTAAAAGGAGAAATCATCTACAACATTTCAGACTCACTTATTTTTGGCATTTGCATCTGGTATTTTGCCCCTAAGTCTTTGTCACCCTGGGAGCCTTCAACTCCAGACTGTGTCTCCCCAGCCCACTTTGAGGTACCCAAGTCTTTAGGTCACCATGGCCTCCATATACCTATAATGTGAACGGCATATTTTTGAAGGCAAAAGCAAGTGAATAGGGGCTCCCCTTGGTATTCTTCCCTTCTCATGCCTGCCCTGGCTATTTTCTTACGCCTCCAAACAGCGACTTAATGTATTTTATTAATCCTTTATCATTTTTCTCACCGGTAGAATTAATCTCTTAATCTTTAGTTTCGTTATCATAATTGAAAGTGAGAGTGCGTTTTTGAAATGTGTGTGGCAAACATTATAGTGCTTATTTGAAACACAGAAGAAATAAATAATGAAGAGAAAGTAACCATTTCCTATGATCACAAAGCAAGACTTTTGTGGACCAGGAATTCGAATTCCAGTTTCAAAACTTCTGATCTCAGCACTTTACATCCTACAGGTTTGAAATAAAGCTGAACTTCCATGGTTCAATTTGTATCAGATTATATGTTAGAGGAAAATTAAAGATCCAACAATCTTAGCTTGTAGCAGAATACAATTTTGAGTGTAACCTTATGAATGCCTACTTAAAGGAAAAATTCTCCTTGAATTAGCAAATACTGATAAAATCCACAATTAGGGAAAAGACATGTATAGAAGAGTGTGGAAATAAAAATTACTTCTAACATCCCTTTCAATGAATTCTAGCACATTTTTCTTGTCCACAAGTGATAGGACAGAAATATTGACATAAATTAATGCATCCATAATATCCAAACCAGTGGCTGAGAAGTGGAGCTTTTAAGTGAAAAGGGCATTCATTTTATGACATGTTGTAATGCTCTATGTGACTTGCATTTACTATCTCATAAGTATTTTGCAATGACACTGTGAGGTAGTTCCAGTGTTCTAGGGAAAAAAAGGAAATGGATGCACAGATATGGTTTCAGGAATTTAACAGGGATAATGAAGAATTCATGACAAATGCCAGAAATGAATCTCAAAATTTTTGTGTCAGTCTCAGCCTCAGACCCTTTTTGCTGTATTTAGAAAAGCTGAATGTATTAGAAATACAGCCGAAGAGTTCTGCCTTGCCCCGTGCCTCTGAATTTGCCCTCAGGCATTTGAAAATACAAAATGAACTGCATAAGGAAAGGTTTCTGAAGTTTAAGATAAAAATGCTGTGGGAAATACCTACTATTTAAAGCATAAGTGGAATGTGCTTCTTGTATGATTTCCATGGCACTCATAGAAACTCATTCCCTCTGCATAGCTGCTTTCTCTCATCAGGAATTTGGGAAGTTCCCAATGGGAATTTCACAGGAGCATAGGGAACATCATTTACATAGCTCTTAATGCAAATGATATCCCTGAAGTTGTTACATTAGCCTTGGGATCAAGCATGGTTCTCTTCCCAATAAAGGCCCCAGCAACTCCCCTCCTTTTAGTTGTCAATGCTTTTCTAAGCATGTAAAATCTTCACAATGTTCAACAACTGTTCATGAGATTTTCTTCCATGCAAAATATTTATGAGATGTTTGAAGGCCTCCAAACTATTAGAATTTCAAATTTTTACAAAATACAGAATTGGAAAGATTGAGTCTCTTCCTTGTGTAATGTACTGTGTTAGAGAAACCCCAAAGCAGTGATGCTTGGTCTTGAATGTGACAGAAAGCAGACCCTGTCCACTCAGTGGGTATTAATCTTATACTACCTAGATTACAAAATATTCACTGTTGACAAAACAATGATGCAGTCGTCATTTCACTTCCCCTCTGATGAACAACCCATTTCAATCTCTTGGCTCTGGATAGGTGTTCTTCTAATTTGCTTTTTAGTGCCATTGCAGGAAATTACTCTCAGAATAGCTCAGCAATGTCAAATAAAGGCTCGAAATATCTGAATTTCTTAAACTCCAGTTGGAACATTCCACTATAGAAATCATAATTGATTTCATCTGCAGATTAAAGAGCCTGGCCAGAAAACAACTCTGCAAAATAAAACAGAATGCTCATATCAGAGCCATATATTTGGTCATTGTAGTCACAGAAACAGATCTTCAAGGATGGCATAGCCCTTCACCTTGTAACTAGACCTCATTTTCCAATAACTGATTTATCTAGAGATAGTAATGTATTTTATTGATTTGAATCATTAAGTTTTGAATTATTATAGCAATTTTTTTTTCACTGAGCCTAGTTATAAACTGTGTATAATTTGGTAAAAATTGAGTTCTCCCTTTCAATAAAAGCTTTCTTTCTTTGTATAGAAAATTGGATTACATTGTACTAGAAGAAAGTTTTAGAGCACTAGGCTAAGCAAGAACTATTTAACACTTTCCTTGAAACATTTGAATGTTCAAAAATTACCATTTCATAGGTTTTCTGATCCTCCAAAAAAGAATGATTCAAATAATTGCTACAGTTTTTTTCCCTTAAGTGTGGCTCACTCGTAGTATGCTATTATTCTGTCACAATAAAAGGTTAAAAAAAGGCAGTGGTAAATTTCTGAAATTAGCCCTCTTATTTTGCTTATGAGTTCAGAAAAGATCAGGATTTTTGAAAGTGCATTTTGTTCAGAAATGAAAATACTTAAGAAAAGGGGTGGGTGGGGGAAGGCATAATGTAGTTAGGATTTTACTAGCAAATGTTTAATTTGGATTGAATAAATATAATTATTTTGTGAGCAACAGATGCACAAATGAGTTTGTGCTTTAATGCCAACTGCTTTAAATCTAATTTTTATATAACTTTTGAGATCTAAATGTCTAGATTTTATCTTATTTTTATTTTGACCAAAATAAACACTACTTGCTGCTATGGGCTGAATATCTGTGTTCCTCTAAAATTGAGGTCTAATCCCCAAAGTGAGGTATTTAGGGGCAGGGTATCTGAGAGGTGATTAAATCATGAGGGTGGAGTCCACATGAATAGGATGAAGCACTGAAAGAATCTGAAGAAACTAGAGCTCTCTCTGTCAGCCATGTGAAGATTCATCAAGAAGGCAACTTTCTTCAGACTTCAAATATGCTGGCTTGGACTTCCCAACTTCTAGAACTATAAGAAATGTATATTTGCTTTTTAAGCCCACACAGTCCATGATATTCTTCTTTACAGCAGCCTGAACTAAGACACCAGATTTAAAAACTTGAAAATTGGTGACACAGTGGACTCAAAATAGCAAATGGGATCCTGCTAGACATAATATTTTTTGTTGGAAGCTGATCAAAAACAGATTATTTCATATCTGGGGATATGAAATATAACAGGGAGTAATTTAATGTTTAGTGAGATAGACAGTGGAAATCAACCTCCTTTTAAACAAAATCATCTAAATCTGTGTTTCAAGGGGTCATCATTGCTTTGAAAGTCCAACATTCTTGAGAAGAAAATAATAACAGCCACCAAGGTACTATGTAGCTTATTGCAGAATTCAGATATGAATTGGAATTGCTCTGAAACATATTGGCATGTTTTCATATATGAAGACAAGTATTTCTTAAAGTGTAGAAAGTATTTATAGAAATGTTTGAGGGCATAGTCATGGCAAAAGAAAATTTCACTCTAACTTCAAATATAGCCCAGCTTAACATGAAGAGAGCTATCCTCTGATGAATGGCCATTTGTATGTACTTCGCAACTTTTTAAAATATTTTATAAATACAGTAGTCTGGTAGCCTCTTTCATGGGTACACAAACTTTTTTTATTTATTGTGAAATACCATGCCTAGTGGTGTCTAACTAGTGGGATGCAGTCACAACCATGAGCTCTGTATTTGTGTTTTTACATTTTGTCTAACCCTTTGGGGTTTCTTTATTAATTTAGACCCCATAACTCAATTTCCTCCTTACTAACATTCTCTCAATACGTTTGCATTTAATTTCAATCACGAAAATATTTTCTTGTGTGTGAACATTCTAGCCAGAGGTTTCTTAAGTCTTCATATTTTCAATGAGTCCTATAGAGCATGATTTATTTTTATTTATTTATTTATTTATTTATTTATTTATTTATTTATTTATAATTATTTGAGATGGAATCTCGCTCTGTTTCCCAGGCTGGAGTGCAGTGGCTCGATCTCAGCTCATTGCAAGCTCCGCCTCCCGGGTTCACGCCGTTCTCCTGCCTCAGCCTCCGGAGTAGCTGGGACTACAGGCGCCCGCCACCACGCCCGGCTAATTTTTTGCATTTTTAGTAGAGACGGAGTTTCACTATGTTAGCTAGGCTGGTCTCGATCTCCTGGCCTCGTGATTCACCCACCTCAGCCTCCCAAAGTGCTGGGATTACAGGCGTGAGCCACTGCGCCCGGCCGATATATATACATATGTGTGTGTGTGTGTGTGTGTGTGTGTGTATATATATATATATATATATATATTTTTTTTTTTTTTTTTGTCCCATGATTTACCAAGCTAGTGCTGAATGGTCCGGGCTGGGAATAAAATACTGCTTTCTGTCCTCCACATAAAGGTGGAAATTTATTCAAAATCTTTCTTCAAGATGTGTTTTATCACCTCTACTAAACTGTAAACTAGGTACAGTGTATCCTGGTATCTTACTGTTTCTTCTTGGGAGCTAGTGAGAGAACTATGCCTATTTATTAAACATTTAAAAAACAGCCAACATAAGATTAATGGAGATATCATTAAATATTAATCTCTTTAACCCTTTAGCTAATACTTCACATAAAAAAATTGTATTATATATTCCGTATATTCAGGTTTCATGGTATTTAAATTCATGATCACACTGTCTCATGTTAGGATTTCCCCTGTTGTTTCAAGTTCTGGACCTTCCAAAATACATGAGTTTATCAAGATCATGTTAATTTAGATGTTATGGCCAAATTTTGGTGGTTTGGGTTGCCCAACTGTGCAAATGTCAGAATAGGGATAGTCTCTTATCTTTGTTCTGCCTAATGCCTACAATAAGGTATTTACTCATTTAGTTTTTCTTTACCTACTGTGCTCTGTGCCTTCTTCCTTCCTTTTTTCCCACCAGTAATTACTTTAAAGGTTTATTGTGCACTGAGGACAGAACATCCAAAAATGGTTTAAGCAGAGGCCAGACTTTCCAGAAGCTCAGGAGGTAATGAGGGGCTCCAACTCTGGAGTCAAATCTGTCTGTGGTGGAGTGGTTTAAAGGAAGATGTGCTACCTGACTTACTAGGGAATTTGGGAAAGATTCCGTTAAAAGATGCCACTGAAAACAGGTCTTGAAAGGTGAATAAATTTGCTTAGGATGGAGAATGTATGGAAGGTCTTCCAGGTGGGAGCACAACAATTACAAAGCAGCAGAAGCATGAAAGAACACAGGACGCTAGGAGAAATAAGCCACAGCTGATGTGCGGGCTGGCGTGACCTTGTTCTCTGATCACAGAGGAGGAGTGGAAGGGAGATGACACAGAGGGGGTTGCCAGCATGGGACATATTAATAGAAGTTTCCTTTTCACATTCTACTCTGAAACCAGTTGATTGATAACTATTTTTCCTATAAATTGCTCCAGGATCATAAAAAGTGAGCTGAGATTATGAAGCAAATAATTTTCAGAACAGGAATAACACAACCACAAAACATACTTTCAGGACTGACATGCCATTCTTCATTTAAAAAGCAATCCTCTAAAATAAATTCCTTAAAAGCAATTACTTTAAAAAAGATAGAATATAGGTACATGTGACGCTTTAGCTTAGAATGCATGGCTCTCTATTCCATCCACACATTGAGTAGAACCAGCTAATCAAATCTGTTTTGCCCAGTGAACATTCTTTTTTTAAAAAATGGTATCCTTTCTCTTGATATATGGGTTTCCTTTGTTGTTAGTGGTGGTTCCTTGTCAAGATATATCATTAGAAAAGTTTTGTTCTTGTCAGTCTAATCCCCTTGGAATATCAAACAACCCATGGAAATCGTATACCCATTAGAATTAAAGGCTAAGCATCATTAATAGGTTGCATGGACAGGTGTATTTCCTATTTTCTTCCACTCTTGGCTGTGGTATCTAATTAGACAGCAACATTTGTGCTCTGAGAAGAGCTTCAGGATGGTACTCATTGAGATAAGAGCCTTATGGTGCTGGAAATTCCTGTTGCTACAGTGAATAAAATAAAATTAGAAATGTTATAGTGATCATATGCATGTACACTTCTCTTCAGGAAGATTTAGATCAGTTTTTCTCATGCTTAAGTAGTACATGATATCTTCTAAGGGAGAAATATATCTGTATGTGTATGTGTGCCTAAGTACATATGTATATGTTTATAAAATTCAAACTTGAGAACAAATATGTAAAACCTAAGTTGAGAACACTTCATTAAAAGGCAAATTCTGACCTCTCTTTCTGGCCACAATAGGATAACAGACACAAAACAGCTAACACTGGACAATACATGTATTACAATCATTTTTAGGCTTTGGGCATTGAGAAATGCAGGACAATGACACTTTTGACAGAGGATATCAGTGAGGTGAGCCCACGATTTCCCAGTTTATTACCTAGGGGGAGTTTGCAAACTAAATGATAAGTATTAGGATTCCAGGTGGAGGTCAGAGGTAGCTCTTGTTTAAAGATGGTACTAGATTGCCTTTGTAGGACTAACATTACCCACAAGATTGGAAATTATGGTTTAGGAGTCATGCAGCTGGATGCTTCAAGATTCTGACCCTCCCTGAACTGCTCCTAAGATCATTACTTGAGATATTTTGCAGACTCTGCACTTGATGGATTAGCTGGCACCACCCAGATCAATAAACTGGGTCATCTGATCTTGTGGCCCCCACCCAGGAACTGACTCAGCACGAGAAGACAGCTCTGACTCCCTATGATTTCATCTCTGACCAATCAGCACTCCCGGCTCACTAGCTTCCCCCCAACCACCAAGTTATCCTTAAAAACTCTGCTCCCCAAATGCTTGGAGAGACTGATTTGAGTAATAATAAAACTCCAGTCTCCCTGAGGAAGGAGGGAAGGAAGGAAGGGAGGGAGGGAGGGAGGGAGGGAAGGAAGGAAAAAGGAAAGGAAAGGAAAGAAGATGGAGCAGAGAATCTAAAGTGAGGCACAGCAGGTAGAGATTACAGCAGTGTAAGAGAAGAGAGATCTGCAGAGGATAACCCTGGCATCTTTACCTGAGTACTGATCAGTGCATGCAGGTAAGACAATCACTAAAGCTGAGAAAAGACCCACTCCAAAAAGTTTAGAGGGAATGATTTCTTCTTTCTTCTTTCTTCTTTCTTCTTTCTTCTTCTTCTTCTTTCTTCTTCTTCTTCATTATTATTATTATTATTATTATTATTATTATTGAGGTGAAATTCCCACAACATAAAATTCACCATTTAGAGTGACTAATTCAGTGGCATTTACCACTTTCACAGTGTTGCACAATCACCACCCCTATTTGGTTCCAAAATATTTTTATTCCCCTCCATAAAAAACCTCGTACCCATTAAACTGTTACTTCCCATTCTGCCTTTCCCACCCCCAACTCCTGGCAACTACCAGTATGCTTTCTGTTCCCACAGATTTTCCTATTCTAGCTATTTCACATAAATGGAATCTAATAATATGTGGCCTTTTGTGTCTGACTTCTTTCACTTACCATAATGTTTTTAAGGTTCATTCACATTGTAGCTTGTATCAGTACTTCATTCCTTTTTGTGGCTGAATTATATTCTACTGTATGTATATACCAACTTTTATCTGTTCATCTGGGGATGAATACATGGGCTGTTTCCATCTTCTGGCTATTGTGAATAATGCTATTATCAATGTGTGTATACATGCACTTGTTTAAGTACCTCGTCTCAATTATTTTTGGCTATAATTGCTGGGTCATATGGTAATTCTATGGTATTCTTTTTTTTTTTTTTTTTTTTTTTTTGAGACAGTCTTGCTCTGTCGCCCAGGCTGGAGTGCAGTGGCACGATTTCGGCTCACTGCAAGCTCTGCCTCCCGGGTTCACACCATTCTCCTGCCTCAGCCTCCCAAGTAGCTGGGACTACAGGCGCCCGCCACCACGCCTGGCTAATTTTTGTATTTTTAGTAGAGACGGGGTTTCACCATGTTTGCCAGGATTCTCTCGATCTCCTGACCTTGTGATCCACCTGCCTTGGCCTCCCAAAGTGCTGGGATTACAGGCGTGAGCCACTGTGCTGGCCTTTTCATTTTTTTTTTTTTTTTTTAAGAGACAAGGTCTCACTGTCACTCATGCTGGAGTGCAGAGGTGCAATCATTAACTCACTGTAACCTCTGACTCCTGGGCTCAAGCAATCCTCCCACTTCAGCCTTCAGAGTAGCTTGGACTGCAAGTACATGCCACCACACCCAGCTAATTTTTAAAAATTGTTTTGTAGAGACAGGGTCTCACTGTGTTTCTCAGTCTGGTCTCAAACTCCTGGCCTCAAGCAATCCTCCCACCTCGGCCTCCCAAAACATTGGGATTACAGGCATCAGCCACCATGCCTGACCTATGTTTTACCTTTTGAGGGCTGCAAAATGTTTTCTACAATGGCTGAACAATTTTACATTCCTACCAGTAAGGTACTAGTGTGTGAATTTCTCCACATCCTTGCCAGCAGTCTTCCCTCCCTCCTTCCTTCCTTCCTTCCTTCCTTCCTTCCTTCCTTCCTTCCTTCCCTCCTTCCCTCCCTCCCTCCCTCCTTCCTTTTCCCCCTGCCTCCCTCCCCTCCCTACCTCCCTCCCCTCTTTCAGTCTGTGGCTCTCTCTTGCACATGTGCGCTCTCTGTCTCTTTCTTGTCTTTTTCTTTTCTTTTCTTTTTTTTTTTTTGAGATGGAGTCTCACTCTGTCAGCAGTTGGAGTGCAGTGGCGTGATCTTGGCTCACTGCAACTTCTGCCTCCCGGATTCAAGCAGTTCTCTGCTTTAGCCTCCCAAGTAGCTGGGACTATAGGCTGCACACCACCATGCCCAGCTAATTTTTGTATTTTTGGTAGGGCAGGGTTTCACCGTTTGGTCAGGATGATCTTGGTCTCTTGACCTCGTGATTGGCCCGCCTCGGCCTCCCAAAGTGCTGGGTCTGTCTCTTTCTTTATGGCCATCCAAAGGGTATAAAATGATCCCTCTTGTGGTTTTGACTTACATTTCCTTAATGACTAATAATGTTGAGCAAGTTTTTTGTGTGCCTATTGACTATTTGCATACCTTATTTGAAGAAAATGTTTATTCATGTACTTTGCCTATTATTGATTTGGGAGTATTTTTGTTTTTTAATTGTAAACATTATTTATATATTCTAGGTACTAGATCCTTATCAGATGTATGATTTGCAAATATTCTTTACCACTCTATAGGTTATCTTTTTATATTATGCACAAATGTTTTTAATTTTGATGAAGTACAACTCACCTATTTTTTGTTTTGTTACTCATGCTTTTAGTGTCCTACGATTCCATTGTCAAACCCAAGGTAATAAACATTTATCCCTATGTCTTCTTCTAAGAGTTTTATGGTTTTAGTTCTTACATTTATATCCCTGATCTATTTTGAGTTAAATTTTGTAGGAGAAATAATTATTAGCACTATACAAGGGAAGAAAATGTCTTTTTCCAGTGATCAGAGTAGAAAATCTCATAACTGGTAGGGTATAATTACTTTGAAGTATATTCAGTGTAGATAAAGTTAGCCTTAGACAAAAGGCTATTTGTATCCTGCTTAAGAGAGGTTAAAGGAAGCTTTGGAAGAATTAAGCTGTTTCCAGGTAATTAAACTGCGTCATAGAACAATGGACAGGTATATTTAAGGAAATAAAAAGCATCAAAAACCCAACAAACTAAACTTCTCAAAATCAAATCAGTAATGTAAAGAAGCAGGAAAATTTGACCTACAATGAAGAGAAAAGTCAATTGATATAAAGAAAATTACTGAATTACTAGGCAAATACATTAAAATAATTTGTTTTAATAATTGTATTCCACATGTTCAAGAAGTAGAATACAGAAGTGGTTCAATAAATAAATGTTATAAAAATACTCAAATCAAACTTTTAGAAATGAAAAACTTTCATGCCTGAGATGAAGACACTGAATGGAACTGTTAGAAGATTTGACAATGTAAAAGAAAAGATTAGTGAACTTGAAGAAACAGCAATTGAAAGTACCCGAAATGAAACACAAATGGAAAAAAGCCCTAAAATGTATGGATCATGCTTTTTCGGTTATACCTAAACCTCTCCTTAATAAGGTAACAAAGGTTTTTCTCTTATGTTTAATTCTTGAAGTGTTAGAATTTTTGGTTTGACTTGTAAGTCTATTCTTAACTTTAAGTAACTTTTTGTATGTCATGTGAAATAGAAACATATTTTTTTTATAACATGTTTTTTTGTTTTCTTACTTAGGGCACTATTCACTGAAAAGACCATCTTTTCTCTTTCCATTTGCCTTGCTATCTTTATTTTATTGATAATCAATTATTCATCTATGATTCAGTCTGTTTTATTGATTTACTTGGAATTTTATTAAAAAGCTACACTTAGAGCTTTATAGTAAGGTAGTCTGGGTCTTCAGGTAATATACTTTTTTAAATTTATTGTTCTAAACTTTAGCTACTGTAATTTTTTTATATAAATTTTAAAATAAGCTTGGCTATTTCTACGCAAATCTTGGTAAAATTTTGGTGAAATTTTGATGGAAGTTGCACTGAATCTATAGATCAATTTTGGGGAAAACATGTAACAATGCTGAGTCTTCCAAACTGTGAACATCATATAGCTCACAATGTATGCAGATTTTTTTTCTTTCATCAATGTTTTGTTGCCCTCACTGTATATATCTTGCACAAGTCTTATAAGAATTATACCAAAGTTTGTTTGGTTATAGTGCAACAATAAATGGATCTTTTCAAATTACAACTTTAAATTTTTCATTACTAGTGACAGAGATTCTTTCCTTGACCATACTCTACTCAGGCTCCCCTGTACTCTCATCTCAACTAGCCTCTAACATTTGAGCTTCTGTATTTGTCTTTTTGTTGTCCAAATTTAGCAAGAATCCTACTGAGTTAGTCAGTTTCCCCATCCTCAATATCTCATCATGCTTGGTATCCAGTTCCTCATCTGCCACCATCTCCGAGGTGGATGTCTGCTGATCACCCTGTCCTGTTGCAGCAATGATTGATCTAATAAGAATCCCTTGTGCCCTGATATTTCCTCTTAATAATTTTCCACCTTGCTTCTTGACTATACATTTTCACTTTTCTCTGTTGTATTTAGAGTTGAGCAGAATCTCTTTCCTCTACTGCAAAACCCCATTGCAGTACTCCCTGTACCCATCCTGATGGTTCTGAACAAAGTCGGCTTTACCATTCTTCAACAAGTGTGATGAGTAATTTTTTTAACACTAGTATATAGAAATACAGTTAATTGATTGTATATATTGACCTTGTATACTGTAATGTCCCTGAATTCATATATTAGTTTCTATAACTTTGGTAAACTATTTAGGGTTTTCCAAATCAATGATCAAGTTGTTTGCAAATAACAAAAATTTTACTTCTTTTTTCCCAAACTGGATAACTTTTATTTTTTTCCTTGTCTGATTGTCTTAGCTAGATCCTTTGTACAAAGTTGCCTTGTTACACATTATTAGGAAGAAGTATTCAGTCTTTTTTCTTTAAGTATGATGTTAACTGTAGCTTGTGTGTAAATGCCTTTATATCAAGTTGAGGAAGTGCCTTTCTGTTGCTACTTTTTGACAATTTTGTCATGAATAAATGTTGAATCTTATGAAAAGCTTTCCCTGTACCTTTTGAGATCACCATATAGTTTGTTTTTAGCTTGTTAATATTGTGAATTGTAGTGATCCATTCTCAAATGTTGACCCCATTTTGCATTTCTGGGATAAAAACTATAGTATTATTTTTAGATTGTCATAACAAGATTAAAAATTTATTTAACTCACAGACTATGAAGACCATATCCACACAGCTCTAATTTAGAAATAGTATTTTAGGCCTGGCACGTTGGCTCACATCTGTAATCCCAGCACTTTGGGAGGCCAAGGTGGGCAGATCATGAGGTCAGGAGTTCAAGACCAGTCTGATCAACATGGTAAAACCCCATCTCTACTAAAAATACAAAAATTATCCGGGCATGGTGGTGCATGCCTGTAATCCCAGCTACTCAGGAGGCTGAGGCAGGAGAATCCCTTGAACCTGGGGGGCGAAGGTTGCAGTGAGCCGAGATCACACCACTGCACTCCAGCCTGGGCTGCACAGTGAGATTTTTGTCTCAAAAAAAAATAGTATTTTAGATATTATAATTTTTAACTGTATATTCAACTGATATGAAATTAATTAGCCAATATAGAAGTATTGTTTTTACCTTTAAAATAAGACTTATGAAGATTGTTTCAGGCATCAATGGAAAAATAAAATAATGTGGTTGTAAAAATGTTCAAAAAAGAAGAATTATGATTTCACTTCAGTGGTAGAAATGGAAGCAATGAGAATTTAAGGACAGAAGGATTTTTTTTTTTTTTTTTTTTTTTTTTTTTTTTTTTTTTGAGATGGAGTCTCACTCTGTCGCCCAGGCTGGAGTGCAGTGGCATAATATCGGCTAACTGAAGCCTCCTCCTCCCAGGTTCCAGAGATTGTCCTGCTTCAGGCTCCTGGGTAGCTGGGATTATAGGCACACACCACCATGTCCTGCTAATTTTTGTATTTTTAGTAGAGAGAGGAGTTCACAATGTTGGCCAGGCTGGTCTTGAACTCCTGACTTCAGGTAATCCACCTGCCTTGGCCTCCCAAAGTGCTAGGACTACAGTCATGGGCCACTGTGTCCAGCTAAGGACAGAAGGATATCATTGATGAATATAATTGATAGCCGGGAGATACATGACTGAGATAGCCCATAAGAAAGGTATTTGTATATTACAGGGGTAGGGTGGGCCTTCTTTGACAAAAGAAAGTATGAAAATCAAAGGATAATTATGTTTTCAATAATGAAAATTCTAGATTTTCTACAGTTGAACCAGCTAAAATATACTAAATTTTACTATATATCAAATACTGAAGATAGACATATCATTTTTAAAAATCTGCTAATATTAAATATTTATTTTAAGTATCTTAAGAGATATTTAATGGTTAAGTAATTTTCCAGGTCACATCGCTAATAAATGTTGTGGCTAGAATTTAAACTCAAAACTCTTTACTTCCAAAGTATATACTATGAACTGTCAACCAAAAACTCAACAAACTGAGTTTAATAATTGTAATTGTCTTTAATTAGCGATTCATGAATTAAACAGCATCCTATCTAAAAAACAGAAAGGTACTCTGCTGTGTGTGGCAGAACAGTTGGTTTTTGTAAGGTAAGCTGAGTAGGAACAAGGGAATAGCAGAGTGCAAAAGGTGGATTGGTCAACATCAGGTTACCTTCCTTATAGGGTTAAAACAGTGGGAACTTTCTTAACGTGTAGACTCAGATCAACTGAACCCCTTATGATTGGTTACTGCAAATTTCTTGTTTTTAGGAAAATTGTCCTGTTTCTAAGTTCAGCTTGATTACATGGCATCTAACACAATTGACTCTATAATGTATCAGTTTGTTCTATGGGATCCTAGTGCAGGATCTCAGTCCAAAACAATGGCCTCTCAGTTTTTTTAAGCATAATCACAATCAAAGACTTGAACAATGAGAAATAAAATGGAAAGGTTGAGGTTACAGGGGGAAAACTCTTGTAACCTAGTCAATAGATAAGTATCTATAAGAATTTGAGCTTGATGGTCATTTGAATACTACAATGAAAAAAAACCACAACTGTGGAATTTATGGGAATCTCATATATACTTGCATAAATGGAGATCCCAAAAGAAGAAACAAACTTTAAATGAGGAAAGGTACAATAAAGTAGGATATTTGCTCCCAAGTAATTTCTATTCATCTACCCTCAAAGATATATTACCTTGGGTTGTTTCTAAAATATAATTGAGAATGAACTTTTGTTTCAGCAGATTTAAATAAAACATTATAAGAATGACTTTTAAAACATGTGGATAAGGAAGATTCATTTGCCCAGATCAGTGGTCCTCAAACTTAAGTATGTTTCAGAATCACCTGAAGGTTGTTGAAAGAGATCACTGGGTCCTGTCACAGTGTTTCTGATTCAGTAGGTTGGCTGTGGTGCATAAAAATTGACCACATAGTTGGAAGTAAAGCACTCCTCAGCAAATGTAAAAGAACAGAAATTATAAACTCTCAGACCACAGTGCAATCAAACTAGAACTCAGGATTAAGAAACTCACTCAAAACCGCTCAACTACATGGAAACTGAACAACCTGCTCCTGAATGACTACTGGGTAAATAATGAAATGAAGGCAGAAATAAAGATGTTCTTTGAAACCAACGAGAAGAAAGACACAACATACCAGAATCTCTGGGACACATTCAAAGCAGTGTGTAGAGGGAAATTTATAGCACTAAATGCCCACAAGAGAAAGCAGGAAAGATCCAAAATTGACACCCTAACATCACAATTAAAAGAACTAGAAAAGCAAGAGCAAACACATTCAAAAGCTAGCAGAAGGCAAGAAATAACCAAGATCAGAGCAGAACTGAAGGAAATAGAGACACAAAAAACCCTTCAAAAAATTAATGAATCCAGGAGCTGGTTTTTTGAAAAGATCAACAAAATTGATAGACCACTAGCAAGACTAATAAAGAAGAAAAGAGAGAAGAATCAAATAGATGCAATAAAAAATGATAAAGGGGATATCACCACCGATCCCACAGAAATACAAACTACCATCAGAGAATACTACAAACACCTCTACGCAAATAAACTAGAAAATCTAGAAGAAATGGATAAATTCCTTGACACATACATCCTTCCAAGACTAAACCAGAAAGAAGTTGAATCTCTGAATAGACCAATAACAGGCTCTGAAATTGAGGCAATAATCAATAGCTTACCAACCAAAAAAACTCCAGGACGGGACAGATTCACAGCCGAATTCTACCAGAGGTACAAAGAGGAGCTGGTACCATTCCTTCTGAAACTATTCCAGTCAATAGAAAAAGAGGGAATCCTCCCTAACTCATTTTATGAGGCCAGCATCATCCTGATACCAAAGCCTGGCAGAGACACCACCAAAAGAGAGAATTTTAGACCAATAGCCTTGATGAACACTGATGCAAAAATCCTCAATAAAATACTGGCAAACCGAATCCAGCAGCACATCAAAAAGCTTATCCACCATGATCAAGTGGGCTTCATCCCTGGGATGCAAGGCTGGTTCAACATACACAAATCAATAAATGTAATCCAGCATATAAACAGAACCACAGACAAAAACCACATGATTATCTCAATAGATGCAGAAAAGGCCTTTGACAAAATTCAACAACACTTCATGCTAAAAACTCTCAATAAATTGGGTATTGATGGGACATATCTCAAAATAATAAGAGCTATCTATGACAAACCCACAGCCAATATCATACTGAATAGGCAAAAACTGGAAGCATTCTCTTTGATAACAGGCACAAGACAGGGATGCCCTCTCTCACCACTCCTATTCAGCATAGTGTTGGAAGTTCTGGCCAGGGCAATTAGGCAGGAGAAGGAAATAAAGGGTATTCAATTAGGAAAAGAGGAAGTCAAATTGTCCCTGTTTGCAGATGACATGATTGTATATCTAGAAAACCCCATTGTCTCAGCCCAAAATCTCCTCAAGCTGATAAGCAACTTCAGCAAAGTCTCAGGATACAAAATCAATGTACAAAAATCACAAGCATTCTTATACACCAATAACAGACAAACAGAGAGCCAAATCATGAGTGAACTCCCATTCACAATTGCTTCAAAGAGAATAAAATACCTAGGAATCCAACTTACAAGAGATGTGAAGGACCTCTTCAAGGAGAACTACAAACCACTGCTCAATGAAATAAAAGAGGATACAAACAAATGGAAGAATATTCCATGCTCATGGATAGGAAGAATCAATATCATGAAAATGGCCATACTGCCCAAGGTAATTTATAGATTCAATGCCATCCCCATCAAGCTACCAATGACTTTCTTCACAGAATTGGAAAAAACTACTTTAAAGTTCATCTGGAACCAAAAAAGAGCCTGCATCGCCAAGTCAATCCTAAGCCGAAAGAACAAAGCTGGAGGCATCATGCTACCTGACTTCAAACTATATTACAAGGCTACAGTAACCAAAACAGCATGGTACTGGTACCAAAACAGATATATAGACCAAAGGAACAGAACAGAGCCCTCAGAAATAATGCCACATATCTACAACTGTCTGATCTTTGACAAACCTGACAAAAACAAGCAATGGGGAAAAGATTCCCTATTTAATAAATGGAGCTGGGAAAACTGGCTAGCCATATGTAGAAAGCTGAAACTGGATCCCTTCCTTACACCTTATACAAAAATTAATTCAAGATGAATTTAACACGTAAATATTAGACCTAAAACCATAAAAACCTTAGAAGAAAACCTAGGCAATACTATTCAGGACATAGACATGGGCAAGGACTTCATGTCTAAAACACCAAAAGCAATGGCAACAAAAGCCACAATTGACAAATGGGATCTAATTAAACTAAAGAGCTTCTGCACAGCAAAAGAAACTACCATCAGAGTGAACAGGCAACCTACAGAATGGGAGAAAGTTTTCGCAACCTACTCATCTGACAAAGGGCTAATATCCAGACTCTACAATGAACTCAAACGAATTTACAAGAAAAAAACAAACCCATCAACAAGTGGGCAAAAGATATGAACAGACACTTCTGAAAAGAAGACATTTATGCAGCCAAAAGACACATGAAAAAATGCTCATCATCACTGGCCATCAGAGCAATGCAAATCAAAACCACAATGAGATACCATCTCACAGGAGTTAGAATGGCAATCATTTAAAAGTCAGGAAACAACAGGTGGTGGAGAGGATGTGGAGAAATAGGAACACTTTTACACTGTTGGTGGGACTGTAAACTAGTTCAACCATTGTGGAAGTCAGTGTGGCTATTCCTAAGGGATCTAGAACTAGAAATACCATTTGACCCAGCCATCCCATTACTGGGTATATACCCAAAGGATTATAAATCATGCTGCTATAAAGACACATGCACTTCTATGTTTATAGCGGCACTATTCACAGTAGCAAAGACTTGAAACCATCCTAAATGTCCAACAACGATAGACTGGGTTAAGAAAATGTGGTACACATACACCATGGAATACTATGCAGCCACAAAAAAGGATGAGTTCATGTCCTTTGTGGGGACATGGATGAAGCTGGAAACCATCATTCTCAGCAAACTATCGCAAGGACAAAAAACCAAACACCCCATGTTCTCACTCATAGGTGGGAATTGAACAATGAGAACACATGGACACAGGAAGGGGAACATCACACACCGGGGCCTGTTGTGGGGTGGGGGGAGGAGGGAGGGATAGCATTAGGAGATATACCTAATGCTAAATGATGAGTTAATGGGTGCAGCACACCAACATGGCACATGTATACATATGTAACAAACCTGTACGTTGTGCACACGTACCCTAAAACTTAAAGTATCATAATAATAAAATTAAAAAAAAAGAAAATGATAAATATTTACAGTATGTAATGAAATTTCATCTCAAAAACTGATGGTATTTATTGTGTTTTAATAAAAGCAGACTTGAAAACATTAGTTTTATTAAACAACAACAAAAAGGAATGTGCATTTTATCAGGGTCCCAGATGCTGCTGCTGCTGCTGCTGCTGCCGCTGCCGCTGCCGCTGCCGCTGCCGCTGCTGCTGCTCCTGAAATCAGCCTTGACAACCATTGGCCTACCCTAGTACATTTCAATTCCACTCTTTCCTCAAGAGCTAAAAATCCAGTGACCTGACTTTTAGTTACAGTGGTCTGATTACTTGTTTGGTTATGGCAGAAGTGGTTAATTTCCTAGGTCTCATTTCCCTCAGTATCTCAACTGTGAGTATTGAACTAAATGACCTTTAACATTCCCTCCCTCTTGAGAGTTCCATATTTTTTTCTTTTTTTCTCTTTTTATTTCAAATGTCTAAATCTCTTGTTGCTGCTTGCTCTCTCATGATTTGAGGCCAATTAATTTAATCATTAATATATAAAATACTTACTGAGGTCTACCTTGTCCTGGACATTAGGTTGTAAGATGAAGAATGTGTCCCTGCTTTCTAGGAGCTGTATCTTATGTAACAAGTCCCCAAACTTACCATGCATCACCATAGCTTTGTTAAAATTAAAGACAGCTGGGTCTTCCCCTAAGATTCCTATGTACTAGGTTTAAGTAGAGTCCTGATGCCTATCACTTTAACTAATCTCAGATGCAAATGCTAAGCAGCCAGTTTTAGGGATTAGTGGCTTTGTGGAGGAGATGAGCACGAAGAAAGAAGACAGTATAAGGTAAGGGAACCAAGAAAAATCGACTGAACGATTATAATCTCAGCCCAATTACTCTTTGTTGACTGTGGAATCCTGACGAAATGTGTGTTAGCCAGATGTTAGTGATCATGCAAAACACTGAAAGTGGTCAGTGTACAGTACAAATTGGGGACCTGGTTTTGGGCCATGACTCGGCCACTAGCTTTTCCTAGAATCCTGGATAAATTGTCTCACCTCTTGAGACGCACTCCCTCTATCTGTGAGATGTGGGTGTAGGGATTGGTGTCATCTAAGATGCCTTTCAATTCTTACAGCTGGTAGCTTTAGAAGACAGGGCTAAGCCTGTAGATGTGTCAGATGGGTTCTAATGACCAGCTTTGATAAAAATGTCCAAAGTGGGCTTGTTTCTGACAATTTTCTTATTTCTCCAGTAAGTGGATTCAGAGGAAGAAGGGTAGCAATCCAGTGGCATACAGTTCTGGATCATTAGAATCCACCAACCAGTGCCTTATTATGGTAGAAGATGACTGTATATGTTTCTTTATTGTGGTTCAATACCATGTGCTTTCATGATATAGACTTTTCTTTATAGCAGCCTAAAATAATCAAATAATCACCATCAATACTATGCTTCCAGCATATTCTCTAGTCTAGTACACAAATTTAAAAACAAGAGAATTCAATTAAGGAACCACTGTCCTGTGAGAGCTGTGCTGAAAACTCTAAAATGCCAAGGGATAATGTCAATTGAAATACAAATGTTTCAGCTTAAACAGGCAAAAAGCTACTTCTTCCCTTACTCTAAAAAAGTGAAACTTTGTCTATTCCTAACAGAGCTCTCTGAGATATAGAGTAATTAGTATCTCTGGTCAACCATTCTGTGGGCAATATTGGAGGAGTAGAGAGGTTCTAAACAGTAATGCAGTTCTTTTCAGCATGATTTTTTTTCTTATCGAAAAGAAATATGTGATCCTGTTAAATCTGTAAACGTTTTAATGCAAAGTGGTATAATTTAATTATACTCTTGTCTTTAAAATCAAGCCTATATGTCTAGCTTGTAAAACATAAAAAAAGTAATGATTTCAAATGAGATTGGGGGGCTGGTATTGGTTATAAAAAAAAAAAAGAAGGAAAACCCTTTACTTTTGTATATGGTTAGAGTTCCCGATGGAATTTCAGTTTGATATGTTAAGGGGGACGTGGTTGAATTAGTAAATGGTTGAAAGACAGTCATTATTAATAATATCATAATTGTAACTAATAGCTTACAAGTGTCTATTACTTTGAAGACCAGTTATCTTTTTATGATATTTAATGTAGCCATCCTAACATTGAAGGGAAATAGAAATTATTGCACTTATTTTTAAAATGAAGAAAATGAACCTCAGAGCATTTAAATTCTTCATTCGAGGTCATGAAGGTTATGCATGTGGGATACAAATTTAATTCTCCTATTGGCAAACCCCTTTAGCCTATCTTGGGCTTTGCTCATTTTCTGGGCAGTCCCCAGCCTAGCAACAGTTCTGGAAAAGTTAGGCATCTATGATGCTGGATGGTAAACTATAACTGCACTTAGAAGTAGTTGCAAAAAAGAACATAAATGCTTTTGCTTACATCCTGAAGCTAGTGTTCGCCATGACTGTGACCCATACATGCCCTTAGCAGGAGAGCTCACCTAGGCACTGTTGCCGTAGAGAAAACATTTGCTTGTGGCTTGTCTAAGCTACCTGTGAGAGTCTATGGTGAGTAGAGAGTCACTCGAAGAGCAGACCCACACTAAGACCCCCCCCATACATAAAATTAATTGTCTGAAGCTGTAAATGTAAAATGGTTCAAATGCAGTGTCAATGTTGATTATAATCTTAGTAGTTAAATGCATTCAGGTGTGTCTTCTCATGTTGATGAACCTCACTTATACTACCCATGAATAGAAAAATTGTAAGGGCCAAAATCAGCATATGGATATCCTCTTGATTTTTCTTATTCTCTCTCTCCTACTGAATATTTGCAGACTCCTCAGACTGTGGCAGAACTTTCATTGGGTACTGACAGTCCATTCTCTTCTGTCTTCATGCTACATTCATGCTCTGAAAGTTAAGCTACCATTTGCATGCTATTTTAATATGTGTAAGAGCCTGCTGATTGTCATGAGCATATATATTAAAAACTGCATCTACTGTGTCACTCCTGTTCTATTTTTAGGCCAGGCTAATAAAGAATTCTCTCTAGTACTACTCCAACGTGCTGCTTGTATGCCCTTCTTGCTTGCTCACTGCTGACTCCATGATGCCTTAGTCAGACAAATTAATCTTCCTTGCTCTTCTAGTCAACATGATTCTTCTCATGGGTTCTAGTGGGTTTCCTGAAAAGCCTCAAAAGATGGCATTAAAACAACACCAAGACATGTAATATTGGAGAAGCATAGGTCATGACATGACAACCCTCCTTTCAGAGATCTCCAGTGGGGTCCCCATCTCCAGGTAAAAGCCATCATCCTATCATTACCTGGCAAACCCTGTCAGCTCTCTGATCTTAACAACTTCTACTTCCCCTCTAGCTCAATTTGCCTTTCTTGCTAATGCTATGCACAAAGACATTTCTGTGGTCTTAGCATTTGCTCATCTCTCTGTCCAGAATGTTTTCCTCATACTTATACATAGGCTAATTCCTTCCTCTCTTTTAAGTTTTTGTTTATATGACTTTTGTACATTGAGATATTGTGTAATACTATTATTAAAATTGCATCACGTGCACACACACACACACACACACACTTTTCATATTATCCTCCTATCTACTATAGTTTCCTCGATAGAAGTTATTTTTAATGTGTCATTTAATTCTTTTTTATCCTTTCTATCTCTTCTTAACAGAATATAAGCTCTTCTGGGGGCAAGAATTGCAGTTTGTTGTTTGTGTGTTTACTGCTGTATTCCCGGATCTGGACTGAGTGCCTGGCCCACGGTATCTTCAATAAATACTTGCTGTATGAAACAACATGTCTAGGCAGTTCCCTAACACTGTTCTTTTTGTGAAGAATGAAGAACAATAAAACAGATAACAGGAGTTTCTAACAATCTAAACTAGAAAACCAATTTTTAACACAAAGTTTTGTTGACTCTCACATGGTATAAAAATATTCTATTTATTGGGAAAGTACATAAAATATAGTTGTTTTTAATTAGTAATTTAAATCAGTATTTATTAATCTCAAAAATATAACATATAATTTAATCTGTTTTCAGGTGCTATTTGGGTTTGCACAAAGATCCTAAAAAGAGTTTCTGACTCAGATGTACAACAGTTAGGTCCACAATCCTTATTGTCTTGAAATTGGCCTTTTTTTTTTTTTTTTTTAATTGACAAACATGACCTAGTTTCAGTTCCAAGGCCATCATTCCTGTAAGCCTATGTGAAATAGTCCCTGTTTTTTAGGGATTTTTGAAGGATTAAATTTTATAGTATTCAAAATTATGGTCTTCACCAATGGCCTGCCCTAAGCCTGTGCCTCAGAAACATAATTCAGTCAAGCAATAATGGCAGCAGGCTTCACTTCAGGCTTTACCTACCAGGAAAGATTGACAGCGTCATGGGAAAGGATGGGTCCGCCTTGAATATAAATGTTGGTAGCATTTATATCTCTGCTACATTAAATGTAGCAGGAAGAACAAAGATAATGGTATCACCTAGATCCAGAGGTGAGCCTGGTTCCCAGTCCCACTGGCCTGATGAGTTTACTTATATAAAACTAAGTTTTCTGATGTATAGTATAAGCATAATACTTTATAGGACTTTTGTTCATGTCCAAAAATTAATATAAAGAAAGCAAATTTGCTAAAAAAAGATAAAACACCAATACATTAATTAAATATAGTTAACAAGAGCACACACAGATTAGTGACGTGATAAAATGTAAGGTATTTTGTGTAGTTAATTGTATAAAAATTAGAATCTTTTCTTAGCAAGAATTATAAAAGATAATACTCATAAACCTTACCATTCTGAGCAAAACATTGTGGATAATGTGGTGGTAATATCTTCTGAGAATAAAGCTGGAGGCATCCCATTACTCAACTTCAAAGCATAGTAACTGAAAGTTAGTATAGTCAGTATAGTTACGGCAGTGACCGAAACAGCATGGTACTGGTACGAAAACAGACACATAGACCAATGAAACAGAATAGAGAGCCCAGAAATAAGGCTGCACACCTACAGCTGTATGATTTTTGACAAAACTGACAAAAACAAGCGATGAAGAAAGGACTCCCTATTCAATAAATGGTACTAGGATAACTGGCTAGCCATATACAGAAGATTGAAACTGGGGCCCTTTCCTTCCACCATATACAAAAATCAACACAAGATGAATTAAAGACTTAAATGTAAAACCTAAAAATATAAAAACCCTGGAAGATAACGTAGGCAATACTGTTCTAAACATAGGAACGAACAAAAATTTCATGACGAAGATACCGAAAGCAATTGCAACAAAATCAAAAATTGACAAATGGGATGTAATTAAAGAGTTTCTGCACAGCAAAAACAACAACAAGGGAGTGGTAATCAGATAACCTACAGAATGGGAGACAATATTTGTAAACTATGCATCCATCAAAGGTCTAATATCCAGAATCAATAAGAAACTTAAGCAAAACCAAACAACCCCACTAAAAAATGGGCAAAGGAAATGAGTAGATGCTTTTCAAAAGAGACATATGTGAAACCAACGAGTATGTAAGAAATGCTCAGCATCTTATTAGAGAAATCCATACCCAAAAGAATATAAGTCACTGTATCACAAAGAAACATTGCATGCGTATGTTCATTGCAGCACTGTTCACAATAGCAAAGACATGAAATCAACCTAAATACCCATCAATGGTCAACTGGATAAAGAAAATGTGGTACCTATGTATCACGGAATACTACACAGCTATAAAAAAGAATGAGATCATGTCCTTTCCAGAAACATGGATGGAGCTTGAGGCCATTATCCTAAGCAATTTTACGCAGGAACAGACAACTAAATACCACATGTTTTCACTTACAAGTGGGAGCTAAACAAGGAGAACACATGGACACAAAGAGGAGAACAACAGACACTTCGGCCAACTTGAGGGTGGAGGATGGGAGGAAGGAGAGGATCAGAAAAAATATCTATTGGGAAATAGGCTTATTACCTGGGTGACAAAATAATCTATATATCAAACCTCTGTGATACACAGTTTGCCTATATAACAAAACTTCCCGTGTACCTCTTAACCTAAAATAAAAGTTATAATAAAAAAAAATCTTCTGAGACTGTGAGAAGTTTAAGAATCAGAAATGTTACTGTGCATATCATGCTATGTGTTTATCCCATGAGTATCATTTTACATTTCTAAAGATAATTTCTTAAGAGCTATATTACTTTAAACAATTAGACAAAATCAATTGATGCAGTTAATTTTTAAATTTCTGAATTACTTTTTAGTAATTTTCATTGTTATAAACTAATATTCCTAGGACAACTTTGTTGTAACTCTTTGCATGTCTTGAAAATGTTAATTATTTCAATAGGAAAAATTCACAAGAGTAGAATTTTTGAAATAAGAAAATCTTTAGTGATTTTGAAATAAATTTCCAAATTTTTCCTCAAGAGAAAGAATGCAATTTGGTAAATTCTCTTTGTAAGAGAATGTGAAAGTTCATGCTCACAACTTTGCCAATATTTTCAATTCTTTTCCAATTTGATAAGTGAAAAATATTACATTGTAATATAATAAAATACTAGTTGTATTAGAAAATTGTAATATAAAGTATTATGTTAAACATCAAACATGTACATAAAATAAAATAATATATGAAAATCACCCTTTATTTTCCAAAAATCATTACTAGTGTAGGTAACAACTTTCTGTGACACTTGGCCACTTGTGTGTGTATGTATCTTTACATTATAATACATAAAGGAGATCATTTGATGTATGTATTTAAATGACTTGCTTTTAATTAACAAAATGTCTTGGCAACTTGTGATAGTGTGTGTTTGTGTTTGTGTGGTTGTGTATATAAAAATTTTCAGTAAATTACTACACTGCTTTCCATACTGTATGTGTAGAATACTTGTTTGTTCTACCATTATATACTTTTATGTTGATTATAATGTTATTAAAAACTGGTATATGTGTACATATACCATATCAGTTTTTATGGTGTATATATGTATATATATACACCATATCAGTTTTTAATAAATGTTTATATGTTGTGCAAAAATATTAATATTTTTAGGTATGGTAGATAATAACCCATACTCCACAGAAACATTACAATTTAAACTTCAGTGGTAATATATAAAAGTATGAACTTCTGCACACTTTTACAATTATTAAATTATTTTTCTACTTGCATTTTCTGATGTCATTTGAAGAACTTTTTATATGCCTACTTAGAAGGCTGTGTATATGGTGAATAAAAGCACAGACTCTGACCAGATTACATCAGTTTTAATTCTAGTTTCTTTGCTTCCTAGCAAAGAGAGTCTGTAAAATGTAACCAGTCTTTGCCTTGATTTCCCAACTGTAAAATGGAGAGGAAATTAGTACCTAGCTAGTAAAGTAGCAGTGAAGACACATGTAAAGTACTAGAGAAAAAACTGGCACAAAATTATCCCCACAATATTTGGTTAGTTTTTAACATTTACTCTTATCTGCCTACTCATATCTTTTGCCCATAGTTTTTTAAAATAAATATTGTTTAATTTTACTAGTCAGAACACTATAGGGTATACTTTTACTCTACCCAAAACATGAATTTCCAAGGAAACCATAATTATTGGGCATCCCATCCATGTAATCATTTCCTCTCTGATCTTCCAGGAGAACACTCTCCCATACACATGTCTTTCATCTCCTCCTCCTCAATCTTCTTCATGAAATGTGTTTTCTTTGCCTGTGTCTCTGTTTTTAACTTTTAAGTTCAGGTGTACTCATGCAGGTTTGTTATAGAGGTAAACTCATGTCATGGGTTTTTTTTGTACAGATTATATTGTTACCCATGTATTAAGCCTAGTGCCCATTAATTATTTTTCTTGATTCTCTCTCTCCTTCTATCCTCCACTTTTCAGTAGGCTCTAACGTCTGTTGTTTCCTTATGTGTCCATTTTTCTTATTGTTATTCTCCCACTTATAAGTGAGAACATGTGGTATTTGGTTTTCTGTTCCTGCAGCAGTTTGCTAAGGATAATGGCCTCCAGCTCCATCCATGTTCATGCAAAGAACATAATATTGTTCTCTTTTATGGCTTCATACTATTCCATGGTATATATGTACCACATTTTTGTTATCCAGTCTACCACTGATGGACATTTAGGTTGATTCCATGTCTTCGCTATTGTGAATACTGCTTCAGTGAACATACACATGAATGTGTCTTTATAATTAAACAATTTATATTCCTTTGGGTATATACATAGCAATGTGATTGCTGGGTTAAATAGTAGTTCTGTTTTTAGGTCTTTGAGGAATTACCACACTGTTTTCCACAATGGTTGGACTAATTTACACTCCCACCAGCAATATAAATTGTTCTCTTTTCTCTGTAACCTCACTAGCATCTGTTATTTTTTTACTTTTTTAAAATAGCCATTCTGACTGGTGTGAAATGGTATCTCACTGCGGTTTTGATTTGCATTTCTATAATGATCAGTGATGTTGAGCTTTTTTTCATATGCCTGTTAGCTGTATTTATGTCTTTTTTTGAAAAGTGTCATTTCATGTCCTTTGCCCACTTTTTAATGGGGTTGTTTTCTTTTCCTGTAAACTTAAGTTTCTTATAGATGCAGTATATTAGACCTTTGTCAGATTCATAGTTTGCAAAAATATTCTCCCATTCTGTAGGTTGTCTGTTTCCTCTGTTGATCATTTCTTTTGCTGTGTAGAAACTCTTTAATTGGATCCCACTTGTCAATTTTGCTTTTGTTGCAACTGCTTTTGGCATTTTATTCATCAAATCTTTTCCCTTCCTATGTCCAGAATGGTATTGCCTAGGTTGTCTTCCAGGGTTTTTACACTTTTGGGTTTTACATTTAAGTTGCTAATCCATGTGGAGTTGATTTTTGTATACATTGTAAGAAAGGAGTCCAATTTCAATTTTCTGCATATGGCTAGCCAGTTTTCCCAGCACCATTTATTGAATAGGGAATCCTTTCCTCCTTGCTTGTTTTTGTCAGCTTTGTTGAAGATGGTTGGTTGTAGATGTGTGGTCTTATTTCTGGGCTCTCTATTTCTGTTCCATTGGTCTATATATCTGTTTTTGTACCATTACCATGTTGTTTTGGTTACTGTAGCTCTGTAGCACAGTTTGAATTCAGGTAGCATGATGCCTCCAGCTTTGTTCTTTTCTCTTAGGATTGCCTTGGATATTTGGGCTCACTTTTGGTTCCATACGAATTTCAAAATAGTTTTTTCTTTTTTTTTATTATACTTTAAGTTTTAGGGTACATGTGCACATTGTGCAGGTTAGTTACATATGTTTACATGTGCCATGCTGGTGCACTGCACCCACTAACTCGTCATCTAGCATTAGGTATATCTCCCGATGCTATCCCTCCCCCCTCCCCCCACCCCACCACAGTCCCCGGAGTGTGATATTCCCCTTCCTGTGTCCATGTGATCTCATTGTTCAACTCCTACTTATGAGTGAGAATATGCGGTGTTTGGTTTTTTGTTCTTGCGATAGTTTACTGAGAATGATGATTTCCAATTTCATCCATGTCCCTACAAAGGACATGAACTCATCATTTTTTATGGCTGCATAGTATTCCATGGTGTATATGTGCCACATTTTCTTAATCCAGTCTATCATTGTTGGACATTTGGGTTGGTTCCAAGTCTTTGCTATTGTGAATACTGCCGCAATAAACATACGTGTGCATGTGTCTTTATAGCAGCATGATTTGTAGTCATTTGGGTATATACCCAGTAATGGGATGGCTGGGTAAAATGGTATTTCTAGTTCTAGATCCCTGAGGAATCGCCACACTGACTTCCACAATGGTTGAACTAGTTTACAGTCCCACCAACAGTGTAAAAGTGTTCCTATTTCTCCACATCCTCTGCAGCACCTGTTGTTTCCTGACTTTTTAATGATTGCCATTCTAACTGGTGTGAGATGGTATCTCATAGTGGTTTTGATTTGCATTTCTCTGATGGCCAGTGATGATGAGCATTTTTTCATGTGTTTTTTGGCTGCATAAATGTCTTCTTTTGAGAAGTGTCTGTTCATGTCCTTCGCCCACTTTTTGATGGGGTTGTTTGTTTTTCTCTTGTACATTTGTTTGAGTTCATTGTAGATTCTGGATATTAGCCCTTTGTCAGATGAGTAGGTTGCGAAAATTTTCTCCCATTCTGTAGGTTGCCTGTTCACTCTGATGGTAGTTTCTTTTGCTGTGCAGAAACTCTTTAGTTTAATTAGATCCCATTTGTCAATTTTGTCTTTTGTTGCCATTGCTTTTGGTGTTTTAGACATGAAGTCCTTGGCCATGCCTATGTCCTGAATGGTAATGCCTAGGTTTTCTTCTAGGGTTTTTATGGTTTTAGGTCTAACGTTTAAATCTTTAATCCATCTTGAATTGATTTTTGTATAAGGTGTAAGGGAGGGATCCAGTTTCAGCTTCCTACATATGGCTAGCCAGTT
Organism: Homo sapiens; assembly: GCF_000001405.40. Lineage (NCBI taxonomy): Eukaryota > Metazoa > Chordata > Mammalia > Primates > Hominidae > Homo > Homo sapiens. The sequence goes on from NC_000002.12 coordinate 116,050,174, forward strand.
TTCCCAGCTCCATTTATTAAATAGGGAATCCTTTCCCCATTGCTTGTTTTTCTCAGGTTTGTCAAAGATCAGATAGTTGTAGTTATGCGGCGTTATTTCTGAGGGCTCTGTTCTGTTCCATTGATCTATATCTCTGTTTTGGTACCAGTACCATGCTGTTTTGGTTACTGTAGCCTTGTAGTATAGTTTGAAGTCAGGTAGTGTGATTCCTCCAGCTTTGTTCTTTTGGCTTAGGATTGACTTGGCAATGCGGGCTCTTTTTTGGTTCCATATGAACTTTAAAGTAGTTTTTTCCAATTCTGTGAAGAAAGTCATTGGTAGCTTGATGGGGATGGCATTGAATCTGTAAATTACCTTGGGCAGTATGGCCATTTTCACGATATTGATTCTTCCTACCCATGAGCATGGAATATTCTTCCATTTGTTTGTATCCTCTTTTATTTCCTTGAGCAGTGGTTTGTAGTTCTCCTTGAAGAGGTCCTTCACATCCCTTGTAAGTTGGATTCCTAGGTATTTTATTCTCTTTGAAGCAATTGTGAATGGGAGTTCACTCATGATTTGGCTCTCTGTTTGTCTGCTGTTGGTGTATAAGAATGCTTGTGATTTTTGTACATTGATTTTGTATCCTGAGACTTTGCTGAAGTTGCTTATCAGCTTAAGGAGATTTTGGGCTGAGAAAATGGGGTTTTCTAGATATACAGTCATGTCATCTGCAAACAGGGACAATTTGACTTCCTCTTTTCCTAATTGAATACCCTTTATTTCCTTCTCCTGCCTAATTGCCCTGGCCAGAACTTCCAACACTATGTTGAATAGGAGTGGTGAGAGAGGGCATCCCTGTCTTGTGCCATTTTTCAAAGGGAATGCTTCCAGTTTTTGCCCATTCAGTATGATATTGGCTGTGGGTTTGTCATAGATAGCTCTTATTATTTTGAAATACGTCCCATCAATACCTAATTTATTGAGAGTTTTCAGCATGAAGGGTTGTTGAATTTTGTCAAAGGCTTTTTCTGCATCTATTGAGATAATCATGTGGTTTTTGTCTTTGGCTCTGTTTATATGCTGGATTACATTTATTCATTTGCATATATTGAACCAGCCTTGCATCCCAGGGATGAAGCCCACTTGATCATGGTGGATAAGCGTTTTGATGTGCTGCTGGATTCGGTTTGCCAGTATTTTATTGAGGATTTTTGCATCAATGTTCATCAAGGATATTGGTCTAAAATTCTCTTTTTTGGTTGTGTCTCTGCCCGGCTTTGGTATCAGGATGATGCTGGCCTCATAAAATGAGTTAGGGAGGATTCCCTCTTTTTCTATTGATTGGAATAGTTTCAGAAGGAATGGTACCAGTTCCTCCTTGTACCTCTGGTAGAATTCGGCTCTGAATCCATCTTGTCCTGGACTCTTTTTGGTTGGTAAACTATTGATTATTGCCACAATTTCAGCTCCTGTTATTGGTCTATTCAGAGATTCAACTTCTTCCTGGTTTAGTGTTGGGAGGGTGTATGTGTCGAGGAATTTATCCATTTCTTCTAGATTTTCTAGTTTATTTGCATAGAGGTGTTTGTAGTATTCTCTGATGGTAGTTTGTATTTCTGTGGGATCGGTGGTGATATCCCCTTTATCATTTTTTATTGTGTCTATTTGATTCTTCTCTCTTTTTTTATTAGTCTTGCTAGCGGTCTATCAATTTTGTTGATCCTTTCAAAAAACCAGCTCCTGGATTCATTAATTTTTTGAAGGGTTTTTTGTGTCTCTATTTCCTTCAGTTCTGCTCTGATTTTAGTTATTTCTTGCCTTCTGCTAGCTTTTGAATGTGTTTGCTCTTGCTTTTCTAGTTCTTTTAATTGTGATGTTAGGGTGTCAATTTTGGATCTTTCCTGCTTTCTCTTGTGGGCATTTAGTGCTATAAATTTCCCTCTACACACTGCTTTGAATGCGTCCCAGAGATTCTGGTATGTTGTGTCTTTGTTCTCGTTGGTTTCAAAGAACATCTTTATTTCTGCCTTCATTTTGTTATGTACCCAGTAGTCATTCAGGAGCAGGTTGTTCAGTTTCCATGTAGTTGAGCGGCTTTGTGTGGGATTCTTAATCCTGAGTTCTAGTTTGATTGCACTGTGGTCTGAGAGATAGTTTTTTATAATTTTTGTTCTTTTACATTTGCTGAGGAGAGCTTTACTTCCAACTATGTGGTCAATTTTGGAATAGGTGTGGTGTGGTGCTGAAAAAAATGTATATTCTGTTGATTTGGGGTGGAGAGTTCTGTAGATGTCTGTTAGGTCTGCTTGATGCAGAGCTGAGTTCAATTCCTGGGTATCCTTGTTGACTTTCTGTCTCGTTGATCTGTCTAATGTTGACAGTGGGGTGTTAAAGTCTCCCATTATTAATGTGTGGAAGTCTAAGTCTCTTTGTAGGTCACTCAGGACTTGCTTTATGAATCTGGGTGCTCCTGTATTGGGTGCATATATATTTAGGATAGTTAGCTCTTCTTGTTGAATTGATCCCTTTACCATTATGTAATGGCCTTCTTTGTCTCTTTTGATCTTTGTTGGTTTAAAGTCTGTTTTATCAGAGACTAGGATTGCAACCCCTGCTTTTTTTGTTTTCCATTTGCTTGGTAGATCTTCCTCCATCCTTTTATTTTGAGCCTATGTGTGTCTCTGCATGTGAGATGGGTTTCCTGAATACAGCACACTGATGGATCTTGACTCTTTATCCAATTTGCCAGTCTGTGTCTTTTAATTGGAGAATTTAGTCCATTTATATTTAAAGTTAATATTGTTATGTGTGAATTTGATCCTGTCATTATGATGATAGCTGGTGATTTTGCTCGTTAGTTGATGCAGTTTCTTCCTAGTCTCGATGGCCTTTACATTTTGGCATGATTTTGCAGCGGCTGGTACCGGTTGTTCCTTTCCATGTTTAGCGCTTCCTTCAGGAGCTCTTTTAGGGCAGGCCTGGTGGTGACAAAATCGGTCAGCATTTGCTTGTCTGTAAAGTATTTTATTTCTCCTTCACTTATGAAGCTTAGTTTGGCTGGATATGAAATTCTGGGTTGAAAATTCTTTTCTTTAAGAATGTTGAATATTGGCCTCCACTCTCTTCTGGCTTGTAGGGTTTCTGCCGAGAGATCCGCTGTTAGTCTGATGGGCTTCCCTTTGAGGGTAACCCGACCTTTCTCTCTGGCTGCCCTTAACATTTTTTCCTTCATTTCAACTTTGGTGAATCTGACAATTATGTGTCTTGGAGTTGCTCTTCTCGAGGAGTATCTTTGTGGTGTTCTCTGTATTTCCTGAATCTGAACGTTGGCCTGCCTTGCTAGATTGGGGAAGTTCTCCTGGATAATATCCTGCAGAGTGTTTTCCAACTTGGTTCCATTCTCCCCATCACTTTCAGGTACACCAATCAGACGTAGATTTGGTCTTTTCACATAGTCCCATATTTCTTGGAGGCTTTGCTCATTTCTTTTTATTCTTTTTTCTCTAAACTTCCCTTCTCGCTTCATTTCATTCATTTCATCTTCCATCGCTGATACCCCTTCTTCCAGTTGATCGCATCGGCTCCTGAGGCTTCTGCATTCTTCAAGTAGTTCTCGAGCCTTGGTTTTCAGCTCCATCAGCTCCTTTAAGCACTTCTCTGTATTGGTTATTCTAGTTATACATTCTTCTAAATTTTTTCAAAGTTTTCAACTTCTTTGCCTTTGGTTTGAATGTCCTCCCGTAGCTCAGAGTAATTTGATCGTCTGAAGCCTTCTTCTCTCAGCTCGTCAAAGTCATTCTCCATCCAGCTTTGTTCTGTTGCTGGTGAGGAACTGCGTTCCTTTGGAGGAGGAGAGGCGCTCTGCGTTTTAGAGTTTCCAGTTTTTCTGTTCTGTTTTTTCCCCATCTTTGTGGTTTTATCTACTTTTGGTCTTTGATGATGGTGATGTACAGATGGGTTTTCGGTGTGGATGTCCTTTCTGTTTGTTAGTTTTCCTTCTAACAGACAGGACCCTCAGCTGCAGGTCTGTTGGAATACCCTGCTGTGTGAGGTGTCAGTGTGCCCCTGCTGGGGGGGTGCCTCCCAGTTAGGCTGCTCGGGGGTCAGGGGTCAGGGACCCACTTGAGGAGGCAGTCTGCCCGTTCTCAGATCTCCAGCTGCGTGCTGGGAGAACCACTGCTCTCTTCAAAGCTGTCAGACAGGGACATTTAAGTCTGCAGAGGTTACTGCTGTCTTTTTGTTTGTCTGTGCCCTGCCCCCAGAGGTGGAGCCTACAGAGGCAGGCAGGCCTCCTTGAGCTGTGGTGGGCTCCACCCAGTTCGAGCTTCCCGGCTGCTTTGTTTAGCTAAGCAAGCCTGGGCAATGGTGGGCGCCCCTCCCCCAGCCTCGCTGCCGCCTTGCAGTTTGATCTCAGACTGCTGTGCTAGCAATCAGCGAGATTCCGTGGGCGTAGGACCCTCTGAGCCAGGTGTGGGATATAGTCTCGTGGTGCGCCGTTTTTTAAGCCGGTCTGAAAAGCGCAATATTCGGGTGGGAGTGACCCGATTTTCCAGGTGCGTCCGTCACCCCTTTGTTTGACTTGGAAAGGGAACTCCCTGACCCCTTGCGCTTCCCAAGTGAGGCAATGCCTCGCCCTGCTTCGGCTCGCGCACGGTGCGCGCACCCACTGGCCTGCACCCACTGTCTGGCACTCCCTAGTGAGATGCACCTGGTACCTCAGATGGAAATGCAGAAATCACCCGTCTTCTGCGTCTCTCACACTGGGAGCTGTAGACTGGAGCTGTTCCTATTCGGCCATCTTGGCTCCTCCCCAAAATAGTTTTTTCTAGTTCTGTAAAGAATATTATTGGTAGTTTGATGGAAATAACATTGACTCTATAAATTGCTTTGGGCAGTTTGGCCATTTTAACTATATTGACTCACCTTTCCATGAACATGGAATGCTTTTCTATTTGTTTGTGTCCTCTCTGATTTCGAGTGGTGTTTTGTAGTTCTCGTAAGAGATCTTTCACCTCCCTGATTAGCTATATCCCTAGATATTTTATTCTTTTTGTGGCAGTTATGAATAAGACTGAATTTCTGATTTGGCTCTTGGCTTGACTGTTGTTGATGTGTAGATATGTTAATGAGTTTTGTATGTTGGTTTTATATTCTGAGAATTCACTGAAGTTGTTTATCAGCTTAAGGAGCTTTTGGGCTGAGACTGTGGAGTTTTCTAGATATAGAATCATGTCATCTGCTAACAGGGATAGTTTGACTTCCTCTCTTCCTAATTGAATGTCCTTTATTTCTTTGTCGTGACTGATTGCTCTAGCCAGGACTTCCAATGTTGAATAGAAGTGGTGTCAGAAGGCATCTTTGCCTTGTGCTGGTTTTCCAAAGGAATGCTTCCAGCTTTTGCTCATTCAGTATGCTGTTGGCTGTGGGTTTGTAATAGGTTGCTTTTATTATTTTGAGGTATATTCCTTCAGTACCAAGTTTATCTAGAGTTTTTAACATGAAAGGATGTTGAATTTTATCAAAAGCCTTTTCTGCATCTGTTGAGATAATCATGTGGATTTTGTCTTTAGTTCTGTTTATGTGACAAATCACATTTATTGATTTGAATATGTTGAACCAACCTTAAATCCCAGGGATAAAGCCTACTTGATTGTATTTTTTTCTTGATTTATAATAATACTTTTTGTGTATTATGGGACCTTTGATATAAATATATTGCAAAGAATCTTCTGCAATCTGTCACTTGATTTTAACCTGGCACCCTTCCTACATGGGATTGCCAATGCTTACATAGTTAAATATATGATTTTTCCTTACAGTTTCCAAATTTGGAATAATATCTTTCCTACATTTTTCTTAATACATAGTTTTTAAAGGTTTTATGTCATTAATTTATTTGTCAACATTTCGAGTTATAAACATGATATTTTTCAAGTAAATTGTTATATATTAGATATACATTCTTTATTGAATTAAAAATCAAGTAATTATATACTAAAATTCCATATATTTTTTACATATATGTCTGTCTCTTAATACATCTTTTCTATTGAAATATTTTTACCAACATACATTTCAATTATTTTAAAATTATAATAGAACTTTATATCAAATAAAATAGTTTCTTGTTTTTACCATTCCTGAATATTTGTTTTCTGTGTGCATCTTTTTTTTACATTCTCTAATAAACTGCTCATTCAATTGTTAAACTTTTAAGTATTACTTTTGCAGTATTTGTACGGTACTTATTTTTTCTCTCAATGTGGCTAGTCCTGATCTCACAATATTTCTAGACTTGTAGTATAGATTGAGAACTGGTTTTTGTGTTTGTTCTCTGCAAATATTTATTTAAGAATGAACAGTTTATTAAAGATATGGTAGAAATTTCCCCAAATCATCTGTTGTCAATTTTTTTTCAATGATGTATATCAGGACTACCTTTTCAGTTTCTACAGTGTTTTTCAGATTATTTAGGTTTCCATTTATTCTAACATTTAAGTTATATTTTCTTAGAAAGTTAACCCTTTGTCTAATTCTCAAAAAATGTGTTACCAAAGAGTTATACAGATTACTAAATATTTTAAAAATTCATATATATCAAAAATGGCTCTTTCCATTTCACTAGAGTGTCCTGTACTTTATAAACATGCAACATATCATTAGCAAAATGGAATAGTTTTATCTCTGTTTTAATGTTTGTTCCAATTATTTTTGTTTCTATTATTATTTTTGTTTCTATTATTTTTGTTTCTATTGCATTTTGTGGAGCCTCTGAAATAGAGTTATAAAAGTAGCAGACTTCTTTACGAGATTACAGATTTTAATTCTAATGATATTTATGCTCTTCTATTATAAACATACGTTTGGCTTTGGAAAATAATTTTTGTATTTATTTAGCTACCTTGAATTCTTAAAACACATTAAATCTTACCACTTCATATATGAAATATCTTATTAGTATCCAATGATGCACTTCTGAGGTTTCTTATTCTATGTTTAGATACTCTAATAGATTAATGGATTTCCTTACACTAAACCTCCCTTGCATTACTCACATAAATCTACACTGGTCATGATATACTGTTATTTAATACTTTACTGAATGACATTGCATATATTTTCTTACATATTTTGCAACCATATTCATAAGTGTTCTACACACCTCTTGTTGATCCTGTTGGCAAAAAAGGAATCCCATTCTCTAAATAGTAAGAGATGGCTGATATATGATACCCAACACTAGACAGATGAGCTTGGGTGGCAGTTCACTAGTTACATATACTCACAGCCTGGGGGAAGGGACTACCACACAGCATGCAGGGCCAAGCAATGGTTCCATCTGGGTGGTGGAGGGCAGGGTAAGTTAACCAACAGGGACTCTGGAGGCAGGCTTTGTAGTAACCAGAGGGTCAGGAGGCCCCTGGTTCCATGAAAGCTATGAGATTGGTTTGTTGGAAAAATTTCATGGACTGGCAAGAAGGTGAAAATCAAGAGATTGCAGCTGGTGTGGCTGATAAGAAAACTGGTCAGAGGAGGCACGTTTCCAGCTGAGTGGGAACCCTATGTGGGTAGAGCAGGGATACTCCTGATCAGGCCTCTGGGGACCCCATGAGGCTAAAAGATATCAAGGACAGACTTGAAATTCTAGATTTTACAATACAACAAGAGATTGATCTATTTTCTTTTTTTGTAATACTTGTGACAGAACTTGGTAATAAATGTATATTAGCCTAATAAAAGAGGTTTCGATCTTTTTCTAAACCTTTTCTAGAATATTCTTAAAATATTATTTCTAATATTAGAATGTTATTTATACAGTATACATTTTCTAGAAAATTTTAAATAATAATGGACTTACTGGTTCTTTAACATAACTCAACTGTACAACCGTCTGATTCTGATAACTTTTTGAATGGCTGAATCACCTTTGCAACTACTTTTATGTGGAAATATTTAATTATTCTAAGATTATTAAAATGTTATAAATTTTGCTTAGAAATAATTTACTCTAGATTTAATTTTTTTGTCATAGATTTGCAGGTGGTGTTTTTATTTATTTTTATGTCTCTTATGTATAATAACAGTATAAGAAACAAAAAATAGTTTTTATTCCTTATCTTGTTTTTTTTTTTAATCTGTTTAAATTAACTGGGTTCATGAAGACTATTCCTTTATCTTTCCTAAAGCCTAGTTTGGATTTATGTATATTCACGTATTTATTCCTTTTTATTTAATTTTGATATCTATTTTTATTTCTTATATCATTATGATTGTTTTTCAATATTTTAAGAAAAATTCTAAATTGATTTATTTATATCTGTTAGAGGTTGAATTTTGTAGAAGCTGAACCTGAGACAGAAAATTCTTTGAAAGTGGTATAGTGAAAAAGACGCCTGGGGGCAGGTACTCTTCAATACCTCACTATCAAGTATAATGTTAATTAAAGTCTTTGCTGGATATCCTGTGTCAGATTAAGAAAGCTGTCTTCTGTTCCTTTGTCTACATCTTTGTCCTGCATTTTTATTCAGGCGGTGAATTACAATGACAGATTTTTGATTGTCATTTTGATCCTTTCATATTGTAGGATTTACCTTTTTCTTCTATGCTCAACTGGAAGCAGAAGCTGGTGAAGGTACACTTAAGTACGATTAAGGCTGCAGTAGTTAATCGATGTCATTGTGCTTATTATTGCAGGCTTCACCTACCAGATTTTAAGCTTCTTGAGAGTAAAGATTGTTTCTAGACATAATGTATTTGGTATGTTTTCACATCTTAGTGTTGGATAAAAAGAAGCACAATAAGTATTGGTGGTTTGGCTAACCATTTTGTATGCATTTTTATTTAACCTTTTCAAGTTGCTATAAAAAGTTTTGTGCTTATCATATGCTTTTTTTATTGTACCCAGAAGTCTTCTGTACTGTTCTCGAATAAACTTGGCAATTTCGTATGTTTTATGTATGAATATAATAGCCAGAAGAATGAGGATGTCTGGCATCTGAGGTTAGAGGCTATGTTTTTCAGGGATATTCTTAGTTTCATCTGAGTTAATTAGTAGCGACATGGACTTCTCACAGGAAAATCCAAAGCTCATGCTTATTTCTTAAGGGTATTAACACAAGTACTAAAAAATTTGCCTGGAGCCTTTCGTACCCCAGGTCATCCTTTTCATAAACAGAAACACATAATTCAAGGAGAGTTACTAGCAAGGAGACAAATTTATAAAACTGAGATGCAAAAATTGCAAATAAAACTACCAAATTTCTGTCTTTCTTAAATGAGGTTGGGGTTGTGTAACATACTAGTGTATATATTTTATTCACTTTCTTAATAAATATTTAATAAACTGTAATCTAAATTGAATAATAATTTTATTAAAGGATATAAATACCATAGCTACCTAGAACAAATATGAGAATTTACCAGCATTATTTGGATTATAACATACACCTTCCCACCGTCCGAAAAATAATACATTTATTTTACTCAGTGGACTCAGTATTTCCATGATCCTATCATTTTTTAAAATCTTGGTGGGACTTAACACGGTCAGCATTCATTATGACATTCTTTTCTTCTGAAACCCAGATCGTACTGAGAGTGTATGATTTTAGTTAAATGAAACGTATTTGGTTATATTACAAAACTGCTCAATGTCTGCTAATGAAATATTTAATTAAGAAATTCAAACTAGATAACACAAAGAAACTCTTTATAATTAAATTATGACTATATACTTCTACATAATATTTACATCTAAAAAAGATGTGTATGTATGTGTATGTGTGCGTGTATATATATATATATGTATATATCCTGAAATTGCATTATACAGCAGATTAACTTGAGTTTTACATCTCCTATTCCCATTTTATATTAAATTACAGGAGGAGATTTGTTGCTATATAAAGCAACTCTATGTATTTTGATAAATTATTTTTTAAGTATTTGTGTTTGTAAGGGATCCAAGCAAACATTGTTATTATGCAGAATTTACCTGAGAATAAAATGCACTGGGTTGGTTCTGTGGCGGTCTTTGACTTCCAAGATCCTAAACTAGTAGATGAGTTGAAGGGGAGATTGAGTGGGTCAACCAGTTCTGAAGCCTTCCTAGTATTTCTGTCCATTGAGTACTAAAGAAAAGGAGCATATTTCATAAAACGATTAAGACCCAATGAAAACTCTTCTCTTGTATATTAAAATATAATCTAAACACTAAAGGAGGATGTTATTTCTTTTCTCATTGCTCTTTATACAGTAGATGCTAAGAGATTCAGCTAACAAAGATAATTATTATGAATCTTCATTGTCCCTATTTATCTAATGTCTGTTCTGGCCCTAGGAACTACAGTTTGAATTAGTCTCTCTACCATTTTTTAGGAACCGCCATTTAACATTGTTGCAGTTTTCTTGGAGCCAGACCAAATAGAAAGAATTCTTTTTTTCAGAGAAGAGATGCATGAGAATATGGAATGAGAACTCCTTAGGATAAATTGTAGCTCGCTGAAAAACAAAGTGATACAGATTTCTGTCACCAAAGAGGATTCTTGACAAATGAACACCTGTGTAGTAATAAGTGTTCATCTTTTATCTCTGTACTCCTGCTAGAAAGTGTCGTTCTAACCCCTTTTGTTCTGACATGGTAGGGGTCAGGATAGTGTACTCTCTTTCATGCTTTTTCATCTTTCTTTCCATTTGCTCCTCTTCATCTTTTCTGGCTAAATTATATTTTGTGTAAAATGGCCAATTAATATTTCATCCAACATTTCAAGTCCTGTTTAATATTTTAAGCATCTGTTCTTCTAAGTTTCTTATGCAAGGACAATTCTTTTCAGTAGCTATTAATAAGCAGTAATTAGCCAGAAGGTAGCACACTTGGTATGAATATTTTGTGATAATTAAGTCCCTGATCTTAGTCTTAAAGTACGAATGTGTAACCATTCAAAATGTTTAAGGTGGACTATGAAGCACATGGACCCATGACTAACAGTGGAAAAATGGAGAGGAAAGAGTGACAAAGAACTGCAATGTAAACACCTGATTCTGAGGGCATTACTGAGAAGCTTTAGCTAGAGATGTGGAACCAAAAGAGAAAGTAGGAACACGACATTTGGTTGGTGCGAGGAACGTGAGAAACATGCCAACAGATGTAAAGTCTTAAGAAAAATATTTTTTTCCAATGGGCAACAGGATTCTGTGCAAGAATAAACTTGACTGACACTTTTTATCACCGAAGTCCTTGACCTGAGATCAATAGAGAACTTGAAATGATTGAAAGCTCTGTAAGGTACTTCTGGTATTTTCACCACTTCAGAAATCCTAACAAATTATACACTTAGCCATGACAAGTTTGCACACACTAACTATAATCCCAAGTGTTTTTGCTTGCTTTAGAGGCACATTAGTATGATATGGGAATGCAGCTTACATGACTATCATTTTAGTAGACTAGAGATGGCATTAAGTAATGTAAGAGGTAGTATACCTTTCAAAAATATGTTCTCCTTCTCCCTACCACATTCATAGGAGGCTTATGCCACCCAGCCCTGTGATTGTAGATTCAGCATGAGAACTGTTTAGGTCAAAGATGCCAGAAGATGGACACAGGGTCTTAAAAAAATGAGTTTATACAGTTTGGTGTTTTCCTTGCATCTTTGCTCTTAACGTGAGGAAAATGTACACCCTCTAGCCTGCTGTTGAAATACACTTTTGGAGTAGAACTTGCTCCAAACAGCTCTTTAAAGCCACGTAGCTTTGCCCACCCTAATCACCAGCCAACCCACAAACACTCGAGGAAAAACAATCCTTACTATATGCTACTGAGATTTTATTTCTTTATTTTTTGCATTGTTTTTGACAACTGTACCTGGTGAGTGCTAAGAAATTGGGCCAGAAAATTATACAAAGCCTAACTCATTTGATAGATAAATAATTTTGGAGTTTATGAATAATAAGTCATTTTGAAAGACTTTTAGGAAGACTCAGAGTTCCCATTTAGATAGGTCATTTCACTGAATCTACAGAACATACATTCTAAATTGGGATGGTGGCAGAAGTTTAAAGATGACAGTAATAGAGGAAAGGGAATTTATATACAAATTCAATACAAATTATGTATTTGTATCATGAATTTGTATATACAAATTCAATATAAATTATGCTTAACATAATATGTATTTGACAGCAATTTGCAAGTACAGAGGTATTACCTCTCAGCTCCAAATTTATTGTCTATTACCTGCTCTGTGATAATAAAAATGGACACTGTAAAACAGTTCTTCTTTACAGCTGGAAGATATCTTCTGTTATAGAAAGGAAAATATTTCCCCTACTGGTTTGTGTGTGCTTCTTGGGACCTTTTCTTCCTCCTGCTATACAGATACAATCCATATTATGCTGTTCCTCGGTAAGTTGGCAGCCTCATTTCTGGCCTGGTTACCACCTCATCACAGTTCTCTTAGGAGGGACGTAGTACACCCCAGGCCTTTTGCTGTTCATTCTGTGAACAGGATCCTCATTCCTTAATTCCCTCTATGCACTTATTAATATGCCCTAGTCTACCTGCATCCCACAGGTGTATCAAGAAGCCCCTGACACAGACAGAGCCCCACAACACTCAGCCATTTAGAAACCCCTGGGTGTGGACTTTCTCTGTGGACCTTTCCACAAGGCTTTGTCACCTCTGCCCCATAGTATTGTCACCCACTTGAAAATCCCAGCCACAATTTTTACCAATCTATACCCTGAACAGGCATTTTCTGCTTGCCTGGCAACTGTAAACCAACTTTGGCCAAGTTCAACCCAGAGAATTACTCCATCATCTGGTGAGCTGCCACCATATCTACTCCATTAAGGTCTGAAACACAATATTGGGAAGAAAATTCCACTTCCAAGTTTGTCTCTTCTTTGGATACTCTCTTTCAGACCTACGGTATTTTTTAAAGAATTATCCTTACCTTTTATTCTTCTGATATAATTGATAATTCTTTATGTTTAATTTTACCATTTAAAATTAATGTGTAATTTATTTATCCTGATTGAATTCTAACTGATACAGATCATTGCTTAATTAATTGTAGACATTAAGAATAATGTCAAGGATGATTCTAAGATGTAGAATCATTGACTGATATAATACATGAAGTAGGAGCAAGTAGGAAAATAAAATCAATTCCAGTTTAAATCTGGATAATGGGAAACATTTGTAGAGCATTCAGAGGTAATTGGCCATCAGGCAATGATATAACATAACTAAAGTTTGATGGAGAGAGGACAGATAGGAGATGCAAATTACTGAGTCATCAGCATTCAAGAGCAAGTCAAAATTATGAGAGTGGAAGTGATTACCTAAACAAAGTATGATGAATGATAAAAGCATAAACTCAAGGACAGAAATCTAGGGAACTCTAATATTTAATAATTTATAAGAAAACTGTAGAAATAGCCATGAGAGGAAATTAGATATTTCCTCAAGTATGGAGTGATCAGTGATGCTAAATATTAGAGAACACTGTTTTAATATGAAGCATGAAGAAACATCCATTGAATTTGGCAATTCAATTCTATTAAAACATTTTTAGTTCTTTTTCTAGAATAGGAACTAAACTATCATGAGTTGGGAAGAAAATGTCAGGTGAGATGACAGAGACCTCTAGGGTATGTTGTTCTTTGTAAAGTTTAAATGAAAAGAGAAAGAGATAAAATATTATCTTCCAGGGCATATGGCATAGGACAAGAAGGATTTAATTTTTAGGGTGAGAGAGCTATAAGCATGTTAACAAAGGAAAAGTAGTTAGAGGGAGAAATTTCAGATGAAAGAGATACAGTAGTAATCAATAGAACTCAATCTCTGGGGAACAGAAGGTGGGGTTAAGAGCACCTGTGGAAGGTTTAGCTTTGAAAAGAATGTGATACCTGATCCTTTGAAATTGGAGGCATGGGAAATGTTTTTGATGTAAAAAATACGTAATATGAGGTAGTAGAAATCAAAGAATGTTATGCTTAATGATTTAAATCTTCTGGATGTAAAGTGATCTGCTGAGATTGATGCAGTTAGGAGAAAGGTAAGGCCCTTTGGAGTAATTAGAAATTGAGTATGTTGAGGAGCTTAGGTTAGAAATGTGTGACTCAATAATATGTAATAAGAACAATCAGTGGCTTGTGTAGCTATGTTCTTCTGTTACTATGTAGATGAAAGAGACTATGTCACTGAATAAGTAATCTTGTAGTAGAATTCTACACAGTACTGAAAGTCAGTTGCAAATCTCTATCTTTGGATAACTTTAGAATCAACATAGAACAAAGCAAAGAGCACAGGCTTGGTAATAAGAAAGTCCTGGATTACACTCCTGACTCTTCCTCTTTCAAGTTGTAGGGTATTGTTTCCTTCTGATCTTGGCTCAACCAGGTAGTAAATATTAAAGTTATTCTTAAATGTATAAGTTTCTACTACGTATCTAGGAGGACTTTCTGGAAGTCTTTTCTGTGTGTGTGTATGTGTGTCTGAGTCTGAGTTTTCTAATCTCTAACATTAGGATAATTCTTACTCCATAAAGTTGTTTGGAAGATCAAATGAACTTATATATATATATATTTAGATGTATATATACACAAATTTTATAAAGTAAGGATAGTAATGAACTAATTAATATATAAACATATGTTAAATAATATTAAATATATTAATATAATTAAATATGTATATATATGGTTCATGGTTTAGTGCATCTACAAGAGACTTAAATTAGTGACTGAAATTAATGGAAAATGTAGATTTCACTATTTATCCCCAACTTCCTTTCTTTAATTCAAACATATAAAGGAGTCCATATGCACATTATATCAACCCCTTAATCTCTTTGATATTGACTTTTACTTTTCAAAATTATTACTGTTACTTAGGACCCAAAAGTTTAAATTAGCAATTAATTGTTCATACTGGCAAGAATTACCAAAAAGCACACAGATATCATTGAGGAGATACTCATGGTATATGCATGGCATTGTGTTTGCATATACCATAAACTTAGTGCCTTGAGTTTTAAATCTTCTTCAGGAGACAAAGGCAAGTCATTCAGTTTATACCAGAAGAGAAGTGAGATGAAATCCCTTCATAAAGTTAGGGAGCTCATCTACATGAATAGCGCTTTAAAAAAAAAAAAAAAAAAGTCTTCGCATGGTGTTTGAGATTTGAATTTTAATGACCCGTATATTCTGTGAAAACTCAAGTAGCAAATTTTATTTAATGCCTTCTCAAGATAATATTGTCCTACTTTCTGATGCTAAAAGTTGGATCCACAAACATGTAGCAGTATGTGCACCATCAAGAGCTTGTTAGAAATACAGACCCTGTCACTCTTCTCCAGGCATACTATCAAATTACATTTTTAAACAAGATCTGAGGTGATTTGCATGCATATTGCCCCAGTTTTCTATTGCTGCTGTAACAAACTTAGTGGAACAATGTGCTGTAACCACAAACTTAGCAGAATAAAACACTGAATACTATCTTATTGAAGATCAGAAGTCTTAAAATCAAGGTGTCAAAAGGTGATTTTTTTTTTTTCCCGGAAGCTGTAGGTGAGAATCTTGCTCCTTGCCTTTTCTAGTTCCTGAAGGCTTTTTGCATTCTTTGGCTTATAGAGTCTCCTCCATCTTCAAGGGCAGCCTGTAACAGTTCAAAACTTTCTCTCTCTTTTACGCCATTTCTATAATGACATCTACTTTCCTTACTATGACTTTACTGCCTCCCTGCGTAAGGGCCCTTTTGATTACATTGGTCCTAACTGGATAACCTAAGATTCTTAGATTAACCCCACCTGCAATATCCCTTTGCTATATAGAGTAACATATACACAGGTTTTAGGAAGTGAGACTTGGGCATATTTGGGGGATGGATGGGCTTTTATTTTGTCTACTGTAAACACTGAAGACAGAGAGAGCACTACCTTAGAAATCTGAAAGAAGCTCATGTAAATATTATCTACAAAAGCTCAAGTTCAACTTAGATACTTTGGGATTTTCATTGAATAAGATCAGCTGAATAGGGGCTTACAAACAAAAATTACCGGTCGATTGAAGAATCAATACAGTATGTGAGAAAGTCAGCAGAAAGAGCAAATAACAAAGAGCAAAATGCAGAATTGGGACATCATAATGCTTATAAATGTGTATTTAAAGAGGATATTCTGAATAAAAAACATGAACATGAATTGCTAAAACAAGTTGGCATGTTAACAGAGTGGTCCAGCAAACTCAGATATGCCATCACATGCAAGAATCTTGAATGGAGAAGCAAATGTCAGTTTCCTACCTACTTTTAATCTAATATAGAATGAATTTATCTAAATCTAAAAATATCATACATGTGAGTTACGTTTATTTTACTACATCAGATACCACCTGGGGGTTCTCTATCTTTCACACAAATGAAGTCAAATGCAAAAAAAAAAAAAAAACTATATACAGATCATGTAGGACTTTTAGTGTGGTCTGTGGTTTGGTGCAAGTCTATGAACAATTTGTTACTGGGCCATGACAAGATGACACAAAAATTGAAAGTGTTTTAAAAACTTTTGTAGTGAGCCTAACTACAACCTTCAAAGTGTGTAATCAGGAAACTTGTCTCAGTGAATATGAAACAAATCAGTGTAAATGTTGTCCATCTTGCGGGGTACATTGTGTCTGATATAACTACCCATGTGACAGTTTAATCTGTTAAACCCAAAACTATAAAATAGCTTAAGCATATAATTGTGTGTACAAGTTGTTTTTATAAACATCATTTTTATCAAACTTTTTAACATTTATAGTTTTAGGTATGTAGTCATATATATAGTTTATATAACATTATAGTTTTATAGTATTCATGAGTTAGGAAAGTATTTTATAGTATTCATAAGTTACGAAAGTATTTTTATTATTTTTTCACCCTAATTTTTATATGGTGAAACAAGTTCACTTTACGCTTTTGTCAAGAATTAGTAAATTAGTTCATACACTCTGGAAAGCAGTTTGGAGATTTCTCAGGAAACTTAGAACTACCGTTTGATCCAGCTATCCTATTACTGGGTATATATCCAAAAGAAAATAAATCACTCAACCAAAAAGACACATGCACCTGTATCTTTATTGCAGCATTATTCACAAGTAGAAAAACCTGGAATCAATCTAGGTATCCATCAATGGTGGATTGGACAAAGGAAGTGTACATATACACCATGGAATACTATGCAGCCATAGAATAGAACAAAATTATGTCCTCTTCAGCCATGTGGATGCAGCTGGAGGCCATTATCCTGAGTGAATTAATGCAGGAACAAAAATTAAATACCACATGCTTTCATTTATAAGTGGAAGCTAAACATTGAGTACTCATGGACATAAATATGGCAACAATAGACACTGCGGACTACTAGAGGGAAAAGTTTGAGGAACTATTGGTTACTCTGCTCAGTATCTGGGTGACAGGATCATTTGTACCTCAAACCTCAGCATCATGCAATATACCCAGGTAACAAACCTGCACATGTACTCTCTGAATCTAAAAAGTTGGAAAAATAATTAGTATACATTTTGGAAAAATGGTTATTTTTAATTTTTACAGGTACATAGTAGGTATATATATTATGGGGCACATGAGATACTTTGGTGAAGGCATGCAATACATAATAATCACGTCAGGGGCAGGGCGTGGTGGCTCACGCCCATAATCCCAGCACTTTGGGAGGCCGAGGTGAGTGGATCACCTGAGGTCAGGAGTTCCAGACCAGCCTGGCCAACATAGTGAATCCCCATCTCCACTAAAAATACAAAATTAGCTGGGCGTGGTCGTGGGCACCTGTAATCCCAGCTACTCGGGAGGCTGAGGCAGGAGAATCACTTGAACCCGGGAGGTGGAGGTTGCAGTGAGCTGAGATTGCGCCATCGCACTCCAGCCTGGGTGACAAGAGTGAAACTCCATCTAAAAAAAAAAAAAAAAAAATCACATCGGGGTATCCATCACCTCAAGCATGTATTCATTATTTGTGTTATAAACAATCCAATTATACTCTTTTAGTAATTTCAAAATATACAACAAATTATTGTTGACTGTAGTCACCCTGTTGTGCTGTCAAATGCTAGATCTTATTCATTTGATCTAGTTATATTTTTCTACCCATTAACCATCTTCCTCCACAACTACCCTTCGCAGCCTCTGATACCCATCCTTCATCTTCTACTCTATCTTCATGAGTTCAACTGTTTTAATTTTTATTTCCCACAAATAAGTGGGAACATGCAACCGTTTGTCTTTCTGTACCTGGCTTATTTCACTTAACATAAGGACCTCCAGTTTCATCCATGTTGTCATAGAAGACAAAATCTCATTTTCTCTAAGGCTGAATAGTTCTCCATTGTGTATAGGTACCATATTTTCTTACCTATTCATCTGCTGACAGACACTTAGGTTGTTTCCAAATCTTGGGTATTGTGAATAGTGCTGCAGTATACAAGGGAGTGCAGATATCTCTTCAGTATATTGACTTCCTTTCTTTTGAGTATATCCAGCATCTCTTAGGAACTTACACAAATTTACAAGAGAAAAGCAACCCCGTTAAAAAGGGGCAAAAGAAATGAAAAGACACTTATTGAAAGAAGACATACATGTATCCAACAAGCATGTGAAAAAAAACCTCAATATCACCGATTGTTAGAAAAATGCAAATCAAAGCCACAATGACATATCATCTCACAGCAGTCAGAGTGGCTATTCTTAAAAAGTCAAAAAAAATTGCTGGCGAGGTTGTAGAGAAAAAGGGAATAGTTACACACTGTTGGTGGGAGTGTAAATTAGTTCAACCATGGTGGAAAGCGGTATGGCAATTCCACAAAAAGCTGAACACAGAACTGCCATTCCATCCATCAATCCCATTATTACACATATACCCAGAGGAATATAAATCAACCTACCATAAAGACACATGCAGGTTCATGTTCATGTTCGTTGCAGCACTATTCACAATAGTAAAGACGTGGAATCAACACAAATGCCCACAAATGACAGACTGGATAAAGAAATGTGGTACATGTACACCATGGAATACTATACAGCTATAAAAAATAATGAGCTCATGTCTTTTGAGGGAACGTGGATGAAGCTGGAGGCTGTTATCCCTAGCAAACTAGTGCAGAAGCAGAAAACAAAATACCGCATGTTCTCACTTATAAGTGGGAGCTAAATGATGAGAACTCGTGAACACAAAGATGGGAAAAATAGACACTGGAGCCTACTTGAGGGTGAAGGGTGGGAGGAGGGAGAGAATCAGAAAAAATAACTAGTGGGTACTAGCCTTAGTACCTGGGTGATTAAATCAT
This sequence comes from Homo sapiens, assembly GCF_000001405.40. NCBI lineage: Eukaryota > Metazoa > Chordata > Mammalia > Primates > Hominidae > Homo > Homo sapiens. Next base: position 116,069,509 of record NC_000002.12, read on the forward strand.
CTGTACAACAAACGCCTGTGACACGAGTTTACCTATAGAACAAACCAGAATATGTACCTCTGAACCTGAAATAAAAGTTCAAAAAAAGAATAATTATTAATGATATAGGTGATCTTGACATCGCACATCTGTGAGAAGATAATCACCAAACCCTTAAAAAGATTGATAGATCATTTTGAGTTTCATTTTCACCAAGAGAAGATGTATGTATAGGAATTTTATAATTAATCTATTTATTTCATCAAAAAACTTAAATTTAACTAATTTGACAAGGTTAATTGTTGAAAATACAACTAGTGATAAAATATTAAAAATGAATTTTAAAAATGGAGCATCAATTGCTACATTTTGAAGGAAAGTTTAAGAGATTCATATGAGCTTATTGAAATTGCTTTAAAACCGTTTCTATTCTCAACACAGGACTGCGAGACTGGTTTTGTACTGTTATCAAACAAAGTACTGAAACAGTTTCGGTATACATTATTGTCTGTGGATAGCAGTATTGCCAACGCAAACTAGATTAAATCAGTTAATAAGTGAGTTTATTTGTCTCATTAATATTTGCTGTTAATATTTACTCAGTGTTTGCAGGCTTTTAATGTGGAGAATCATCATCTCCCTCATAAATTTTTATTTAGTTTCAACTGCATAATGACAAAAAGTTGGTGTATATTTTCTATATTAATTGACTACTCACATTTGCAATAAATGACATATAGATATTTAATTATTTCTCTATGTAATGTTGGTTGTGATTATATTACCATTTAATATGCCTTGTTGGATATAAAAAATGAAAAATCTTGGGCTTTATTTTATAGATTTTTATTGTTTACTTTTTCTAGTAATTCATTTAACTTTTTAAAATGTTTTGGACTGTGATGGATTGGGATTTTTAAAAGTGGTTGTCTATCACGAATAGTTTGATTAATGGTGATCTAGTGGATTTTAGTAAGATAATTACAAATACTTCAGGTGTGGCCCCACAAAGAACAGTAATGGACTCAGAGTTCAATAGCTATAGAAACAGTTACGTGGATATTTCAGGGGAAAGATGAAGAATAAAATACTTTCGTACTGTAGAGATAAAGTACAGAGAAACTTCTTTGTATTTCTTTGAGAACCTAAAGGAAAGAAAAAAAAAACAGAAAATGAGTAGGATTTAAAAGAGCACCTTCGATTTTCTCTCACTTTTGCATAATGACTTTGCCAATAATAGTGGTGAAGAACTTTGGTTCTTTAGAAGAAAAGATACAGATTACAGCTGATTGCACTGCAATATTTTTTCCATCCCACTGAAATTACTCTGGGGACAGCTTGTATAAAAATTGACTCTTCCCCGGAATGCCAAGATGTGTATTTGTTTAGTACTAATGAAAACAATCACACTAATGTACTTTTGAATTTAGTTGGAGATGAATAAAACCCTCAAATTATCTATGAGAAGGTTCGTTAAGTTTTTCTTTTGAGGTTACACTTATATTTTTTCTTATATAAAAAAGTTACACAGAATCAGAACTCATTATCTATGTGAATAACTATTACAATATTTTGAAAGCCTATTAAATATAGACACTTTATATTCACTCAACTTTTACATACATTAGATAGTCGACATGTGTTATCTCTAATTTATGTGAGGATCCTTCTGAATAGACATATATCATCTTTTTGCAGATGGAGAAATTTAAGCAGAAAAAGTTAAATAACACGCCCAGGTAGACTATGATAATGCTGAAGTTAAACCCAGCTCACTTCGATTCCAAAGACCATGCCCTTTCTACTCTAATAGATTGTCACAATATTTTTCACTGCTGTTATTTCATAAATAACTTTTCATAAAAGCAAAATGTGCACATTAAAAAATCTATTTAAAGATATTAAATGAAGAAATATCTGTATCTTTCAATTGGCTACTTGGCATTTTGTGTGATTTTGTTTCATGGAAGCTGTTATGGGACTGGCTTTTCTTTTGACATTTGCTATGTGAAACTAGATCAATGTAAACTACTAATTGGATGATTTATATCTTCGTCTGCTATTGTGAAAAAAATGGCAGTTATATAAAGCTCTCCAAGGAGACATATTTTCCAAAAGCAATAATTGATATGAATGAAATGTAAGCTTTGGATAAAGATTACAGAGATATTTGATTGTTCTGCATTAAGAAATCATTTTTCAAATTAGCATTAAAAGAAATCTATTTTTTCCATGTATCTTCTACATATATGGGTGACTTCCTTTTCCTATAAGATATAGTAGTTGCTTGTGTGGAATATCTAATATGTTTTTTCTTGTCTTCAAAACCATGTGATATTTTTCTACTGATTCTCCTTTTCCAACAATATTTCCTTGAAGTCAACAAATGAGATAAGTGCTTTGATTCTCCCTTCTCACTCACTCAGTAAGTTATCAAGAGTCACCAATTTTGCCTAGCACATTGCATTTTCCTCATTCTATACACAGTTTATCTGATGGGGCTATAATCTTCTTCTTTTTGGGTTATTAGGGCAAAGATTTAGTTCTGTCTCTCCAATGTAAGTAGCCAGTAGCCATATATGCCTACTGAACAATTGCTATCTGTCTGATCCAAATTTCTATTACCTGGAAGCATGCACTATACCCTGGGTTTGAAGTATACATGTAAGTAGATATACATTTAGCCACTTCATTATGTAAATCAAAACACAATGATGCTATTTTTCTTTAATTTTTATTTTACCTTAGTGGAGAAAAGTATAACTGGCACTTCTTTGGACAGCAGTTGGTTGGGGATAGTGATGTGGATTAATGCAGTATTGAACTAAGTTTAGCAGGTCTAGACAAGGATTGAACAGATAATCAGAATTCATTATTAGCATGTTGATTCAAGCAACTCAGCTAATTGGCCACAGACAAAAAAAATAATAGAGGCAGGGCGCGGTGGCTCATGCCTGTAATCTTAGCACTTTGGGAGGCTGAGGCGGAAGGATCATGAGGTCAGGAGTTTGAGATCACCCTGGGAAACATGGGGAAACCCTGTATCTCCTAAAGATACAAAAAGTAGCCGGGCATGGTGGCACGTGCCTGTAGTCCCAGCTAGTCGGGAGGCTGAGGCAGGAGAATCGCTTGAACCTGGGAGGCGGAGGTTGCAGTGAGCCGAGATCAACCATTGCACTCCAGCCTGGGTGACGGGGCAAGACTCCATCTCAATAATAATAATAATAATAATAATAGTGGTAATAAGAATTAGAAAGTGACTTTTTAGTAGCAGTAAGTAACTATCTGGTGATTTTCATTCATACGGGGATATTTGAACATTTTAAATGAGATTATAATATAAAGTTCATTTCTTCATTTTTCTTTGAAAAAGGTGGTATAGGGTTCTCTCAATAATTTACATGAAAACAATTCCTGGTTACTTTACTTAACATCTGCAATATAAAAGAAAGTCCCCAAAGCCACAAATACAACTAATTGGAAGAAATACTACGCAAGAGTGTATAGAAATTCTAACAGGTCTCAGCAAACATATGATAAAAGCTGAAATCCTATACAGCATTCATCATGCATCATGAGTCATGGTCGTTTTTTGGGGGGTGAACGTAAAAAGTAAAATCAGGATATGAAAATGAGCCCCAGAGAACACACTTTTTTTGTTTTGTTTTGTTTTGTTTTTGAGGTGGAGTCTTGCTCTGTAGCCCAGGCTGGAGTGCAATGACACAATCTTAGCATACTGCAACCTCTGCCTCCTGAGTTCAAGTGATTCTCCTGCCTCAGCCTCCTGAGTAGCTGTGATTACAGGCTCCTGCCACCTTGCCCAGTTAATTTTTGTATTTTTAGTAGAGACGGGGTTTCGCCATGTTGGCCAGGCTGGTCTTGAACTCCTGACCTCAGGTGATCCACTCGCCTTGGCCTCCCAAAGTGCTGGGATTACAGGTGTGCACCATCGCACCCAGCTAAGAACACACATTTTGTTGTCTTTGAGAATTCAAATAAAAAGTATGAAATAAATAATTTTTAAAACATCATCAACATTGTGTCCCTCATGCATGATATAATGACAGAAAAAGTTGGTAAAAATTTAGAGTCTTTGGAAGTAAGAAGGTAAATGGTGTCTGATATCACTGAGAATTTTTATTTTTCTTATTGAAATATACATAGGGTAACTTTTATGGAAACTGATCTATCAGTGTATTATGTAGATGCATATTTTCTATTACAAACAAAAACTATAACTTTGATGTGTACTTAAACTTAGCTGAATAAATTATAAAATTCAAGTGATCTATGTAGAACTTTCTGGTTTAGTTATGCTGGTTTTACAGACAGTATCTATAATATACATATAAGAATATAGCTAAGAAGGTATTATGCCATCCTTTCACAGATGACAAAACTGAGGCACAGAAAAGTATCTGATTTGCCAAAGATCACATATGTTGAGCCTGATGGTACTGGAAATTATATCCAGCTCTCTGATTCCAAAGCCCCTTCCCTTTTTACTATGTTATGCTTGTCTTCTATATGAATGCTACTTACGTTTAAATATATTTTCATGCAAGTAAAATACGAATAATTGGAAAAAATCCATCATTTTTTCTAATAAAAACCTTCTAAGTGAAAATTTTCTAGTTAAAGAGATTCTCTATTTTAACTCAATCATTTGACATTTTACTTTTCTGTTGCATTGCCATTGTATTTTATTTTAAGTTCCAGGGTACACTTGCAGGATGTGCAGGCTGATTACGTAGGTGGTTTGCTACACCTATCAACCCGTCATATAGGTATTAAGCCCAGCATGCATTAGCTATTTTTCCTGATGCTCTCCTCCGCCACACCCTCCCCTGACAGGCCTCAGTGTGTGTTGTTCCCATCCCTGTGTCCAGGAATAGAAAACCAAACACCACATGTTCTCACAGCTGAACAAAATTGTTCAGCTCCCACTTAAAAGTGAGAACGTGGGAGTTAGTTACACTGTTGTATGTCTATGTGGTATATTGCATGTATGTCTTCTTTTGGGAAGTGTCTGTTCATGTCCTTTGCCTACTTTTCAATGGAGTTGTTTGTTTTTGTCTCTTATAAATTTAAGTTCTTTGTAGATTCCAGATATTAGACCTTTGTCAGATGGATAGATTGCAAAATTTTTCTCCCATTCTGTAGGTTGCCTGTTCGCTCTGATGATAGTTCCTGCTGCTGTGCAGAAGCTCTTTAGTTTAATTAGATCCCATTTTTCAATTTTTGCTTTTGTTGCAATTGCTTTTGGTGATTTCATCATAAAATCTTTTGCCCATGCCTATTTCCAGAATGGTATTGCCTAGATATTCTTCTAGGATTTTAATAGTTTTGGGTTTTGCATTTAAATCTTTAATCCATCTTGAGTTAATTTTTGTATAAGGTGTAAGGAAAGGGTCCAGTTTCTATTTTCTGCATAAGGCTAGCCAGTTTTCCCAGCACCATTTATTAAATAGGGAATCCTTTCTCCATTGCTTGTTTTTGTCAGGTTTGTCAAAAATCAGATGGTTGTTGAGGTGTGGTTTTATTTCTGAGTTAGCTATTCTGTTTCATGGTCTATGTGCCTGTTTTTGTACCAGTACCATGCTGTTTTGGTTACTGTAGCCTTGTAGTATAGTTTGAAGTCAAGTAACATGATGCCTCCAGCTTTGTTCTTTTTGTCTGTAATTGTCCTGGCTATACAAGCTCTTTTTTGGTTCCATGTGAATTTTAAAATAGCCTTTTTTTTTTTTCCAATTCTGTGAAGAAAGTCAATGGTAGTTTAATAGGAATAGCATTGAATCTGTAAATTGTTTTGAGCAGTAATGCCAGTTTCATAATATTGATTCTTCTTATTCATGAGCCATGAGCATGAAATGTTTTTCCATCGGTTTCTTTCCTCTCTGATTTCGTCAAGCAGTAGTTTGTAGTTCTCCTTGAAGAGGTCCTTCATGTCCCTTGTTAGCTGTATTCCTAGGTATTTTCTTCTCTTTGTGACAATTGCGAATGGGACTTCATTCATGATTTGGCTCTTTGTTTGTCTGTGGTTGGTGTATAGGAATGCTTGTGATTTCTGCACATTGATTTTGTATCCAGAGAATTTGCTGAAGTTTCTTATCAGCTTAAGAAACTTTTGGGCTGAGTTGATGGTGTTTTCTAGATATAGGATCATGTAAATGCAGACAAAGACAATTTGACTTCCTCTCTTCCTATTTGAATACCATTTATTTCTTTCTCTTTCCTGATTGCCCTGGCCAGAACTTCCAAGACTATGTTGAATAAGAGTGGTAAGAGAGGGCATCCTTGTCTTGTGCCAGTTTTTAAGGGAAATGCTTCCAGCTTTTGCCCATTCAGTATGATATTAGCATTGTCATTGTTAAGGTATCAAACTGACTTTTAGAAAATTTGGAACATAAAAAAAAATTTTATCAATATGCTTTACTAATTTGGAGATTTATATTTCTGTCTGCCATACAAAGTGGAAGTCAATAAAACTTCCTAGGGGAACATATTTTCAGCAAGTTGCAACTTACATGAATAAAGTGTAATCTCTTGTTAGAGGATATAGAGACATGCAGTTGTTGTGAATTACATAACCATTTCCAAAAATTCTAATAAAGTGATTCTACTTCCTCTACATGTTTTTCTATGTGGGTGATTTATTTAGTTCTATAAATAAATGTATAAATGAATTTAAAATATACTTTTAATTTTTGTATTTAGTTGTTTGTCAAACATTTAGTATATTTTTATTTGCTTTAAGAGGCACATAATATTTCTCTATTTCTTATTTCATACATTTATTCTAATATTCTAATATTGACCTTTTAAAGTGTTCTATGTAAACATAACTCAACCCATTGTACTCCTGTAATTAATATTCTCCAGTGGTCATGCCATCACCTAAATAATAAAATCAAAGTCTTTAATTTAGCTTTGCATGTCTTTCATAACATGATTTATGCGTAGTATTCTCACTTGATTTCTCACCATTCCCTCCTTTGCCTTTTATATAGCACCGAGCTCTCAACCGTGGTGTTTCTGGCCTTAGAACATTTGCTTAGGTTACTTTCATTCATTAAACACATTTCTTGGATACCTACTCTTGGTGTTAGTAATTTAAAAAATTAAAACATTGCTTCTGCTCTAAAAAAGCACATTATTTAGTGTTCTTTGGAATAATAATAATAATAAAAAAAACTACAGTACAGCACAGAAGCTTCTTAGCCTTCAAGAAAATATATTACACTTCCTAAATATCCCTGGTCTGTTTCTCCTCCCTACTTCCTTCTTTTTCATCTTCAAGTCAAGAAATCAGGTCACTATCATATTTAATCATCTGCCATGCCATGAGGTCTATTAGGGGCTAATGGAAGCACAGGGTATGTGGAAGATGAGGCCGTTTTCCTGGCTTAGTAGACAGTATATCTACAGGAACATAAATGAACCATCTACAGATTGATTTAATGTGAGGATCAGCAAACTTTTGTCTATTCAGGACCAGATTTTAAATATTTTTGGCTTTTAGAGGCATGTAGTCTTTGTCACACCTGTTCAGCTCTATCCTTGTAAGGCAAAACTAGCCATTGAAAATAGGTACATAAATAATGGCGATGGCTGTGTTCCAATAAAACTTTACCAGAAAAATGGGTAACAGACTGACTTTGGCCTTGGGGCTACAGTTTATCCACTACTGATTTAATGGATAGAAAATAAAAGATATAGTTTAAAAAATTACTCAGGTAAATAGTCAGAGAAATCAAATGCATTCTGTGTTAGGCCCAATCAGGAGAGCATACCTGGTTGCAGTAATTACTAAACAAGCACTTGCAGAAAAACTGTCCAAACCAGGCTTTCTCTACAAAGTAGAATAATAAGACTGAAGTCTTAGAGATAGTTATGCAAACAGCATCATTGACCTTAAAAGGCAAGTCAAACATGGAAAATTACCAGAATTAAATTTAGAGTTCTCCATAGAAACGGTACCATAGGATACACACACACACACACGTACACACATACCCACACACAACCACATACATGCATGTATGTTTAAATACAGACATATATATATTTGTTTATATTATATATTATACATAAATATAAACGAATATATATATATATATATATATATATATATATATATATATATATATATATATATATATATGGAGCCTGACAAGTCTCAAGATGTGCAGATGGCAGACTAGAGACCCAGGAAAGCTGATGGTGTAGTTCCAATCTGGAAAAAACAAAAAAAAAATCAGCGTAACAGCTAAAAGTCTGGCAGGCAGGAGGAATTCCCTCTTACTCAGTGGTGGGTCAGCTTTTTGTTTTATTCAGGCTCACCTACATTATGGAGAAAAGTCTGCTTTATTCAGTCTGCTGAATTGAATGTTAAACTCATTCAAAAATACCCTCACAGAAATGCCCAGAATAATGTTATACCACTATTTGGGCATCCCATAGCTCAGTCAAGGTGACATATAAAATTTATCATCTCATAAAGCAAGTTGGTATTTCTAAGGACAGTTTGTATAACAGGAGCCAGGAAAGTCTAATTGCCTTTTACAAAGCACCACTTCACCATAACACATGCCTCTTTCCCAGCCAACCTAGTGAACAAAACCCAACAAATTGACACTAAAAGTTAAAGTTACTTAATACCCCTTGAAAATTCGTGAAAGCAATTGTAGTAATTAGTTCTTCTAGTTTCATGATATTTCCTTTTCCCCAATAGGGTATACACACACACACACACACGATCTAATTGCAAAATCACAAATCTATATATTGACAATGCTTTAGTCTGTTTTGTGCTACTATAAAAGAATATCTGAGATGAGTATTTTAAAATGAACAGAAATTTACTGGCTCCCAGTTTTGGAGGCTGGGAAGTCCAAAGTTGAGGGTTAAACATCTGGGGAGGGTTTTCTTATAGCATTGTTCCATGGTGGAAGGGCAAAGTGAGGATGAGAGAAAGCAAAAGATTGAGATCTCAGCCTCAAACTTTTTATAATCAGCATTAATCTATTCATGAGGATGGAGCTCTCAAGACCTAAAAACCACCCAGTAGGTCCCACCTCCCACCACTGTCGCACTGGGGGTAAAGTTTCCAACACATGCTTTATAGGGGCACATTCGAACCATCACAAACGTATATCATATGTTTTCTATATTGTGAAGAGCACATTGCCTTGTTGTATCTGGCTTTGTATAAACCAAGTTGCAGAGATATTTTATATGTCATTTTAACCTTCTTACTTTAGTATTTTATTAGCAGAATTTGTTAATAGAAAACATTGTAAAATAAAATAGGTATGAGCATAACTACTTTTTAATTTAGCGATAGGGTTTTGCCCTGTTGCTGAGACTAGGCTGGAGTAAAGCGGTGCAATCATAGCTCACTGCAGCCTCAAACTCCTAGGCTCAAGTGATTCTCCAGCCTCAGCCTTCCAGGTAGCTAGGACTATATGCATGCACCACCACACCGGCTAATTTTTAAAATTTTTGTAGAGACAGCATCTTGCTATGTTGCCCAGGCTGGTCTCAAACTCCTGGCCTGAAAGAGTATTCCAGCCTAAACCTCCCAAAATGCTGGGATTACAGGCATTAGCCACCACATCTAGCCAGCATAACTATGTCCTTATTCTAAACTTATTGTGACATAGTATTATCGTGGTCCTTTTTTTGTTTTTTTCATTCTCTTTACCATAGGAAAAGAAGAAAAGTCATTTTATTTATACCATCTACTCAAATGACAAGTGTCAACATTCCATTGCTTAAGTAAAAATTCATTAGAATGAATATCTGGCAGTATCAAATACTGCTTTCTTTCAGATCGCTGCATCTCTGCCATCCAACCTAACCACCATCACCCAGTTTCACTAAAGAAGCAAACATATTACATATTAGCATAAATAAAATGTACGGAGCCATCACTTAAATGTGACATCCTTTTAGATTGACACATATCTATGAAACTGAATTTCTGATGCTAGAACTCTTGAAATCCATTTATTTAATTCTCAGTGGCCCGAAAATTCCTTTACATCTTAGATTTGTTGTCTCATGTTTATAAAAGTGACTGACATCTACCTCCAACCATTATTTTTCTGACAAACAAGATATAGTTTGGGATTTGACAAAACAGCTCTCTTTTATAGGGCTTTTGACAAAAAGAAAAATAAACTTTATAGATTGAAGCATATCTAAAGTCATCAATTTCTGATCCAGTTATAAATATGTCAAATAGCATTCTTCTAAGTAAATAGTGAATATTATTTCTTTATTTTTTCTTACTCTTCTTTCAAAACCTCTGAAGCTGTCCTTAAAGGAATGTAAAATTTAAAGGAGAAAATATGGTTTGCAATTGAGATTTTCTGTTAACATTCAGTCTGCATTGGTTGTATTCAATGCTTTTATTTTTCTTCTGGAAATAGCAGTAAATTTATGTGTTGGTGACATTTCAGAAATCCCGTCTTGGACTATGACTTACACTCTGTATTGCATTATAAATACTGACTTGCTTTCAAATCCCATGTGTGTCTCTCACATAGAAACCAACGTGACAGCGAAATTATTATGCAACTTACAACATTTATTACCCTTGCTGGATATATATATATATATGTGTGTGTGTGTGTGTGTGTGTGTGTGTGTGTGTTACATTCACAACGGCCTCTGGGTTTTGAGGTATGTATATATTTTTTAATTACCTAAGTTCTATACATTTTATATATTTTTTAAAAATTTTTCTGTGCTTAATGTCTGCTATAGAAAAAAATGCACATGTAATTGGGAATTAAGATACCAAATTTCAAGTTAGGATCTGATTCTTTCTGAAGGGGAATCTTTTACATTGCTGCTCTGGATTTATGTATGCTATGAATTTTGGTAGGAAAAGGATTTTTTCTCTAAATTTATTATTAATAATGTCTTAATCTTTCTGTTTTATCCTGTTGGGTTTCAAACCTTTCTTACGTAGTTTTTGGTCATTTTGTTCTACCTTTTCTGTTCTTTTTGTCAATATTCCATTTATAGGTGTGCAAGTGAAAATTCATATCGTGTCAGTAATGACACCGATTTTGTCCTTTCCAATAAATAATGTTGTGCCTTGTTAAGGTATCCAAGTTGATTATTTTGTATGAAATGAAGACACAAACATAAAATTTCAATTGTGCAAAGGTAGTAGTTAAACAGAGCTATTTCTGTCAACAGTGGGGAGACACTGGAGATGTAACAGGTGGGTCAAAGCTCTGCTTGGTTATTTGTTTTGAATCACTTTGCTGAGAACATAAATGTGGAACAGTCGTCTTGCCTTTATAGTGTATAATGCACTAGTAATGAAAATATCTAGTTTATCTTTTTGTCTCCAAACAAAAAAGGCTACTATAACAAATTAACCACAAACTCGGTGGCTTAAAATGACAGGCATATATTCTCTCACAATTCAGGAGACCAAAAGCCTGAAATCAAAGTGTTAACAGGGTTGATTCTTCCTGGGGGCTCTGAAGAATGATCTGTGTCATGGCTCTCTTCTAGCTTCTACTCACTGCTGGCAATCCTTGGTGTTGCTGGGATTGTAGCCATGTGACTTCTGCCTCTGTTTTCACATGGTCTTCTCGGTGTCTCTATATTTTACTTGCTCTATAGGAAACACCTGTTTTTGGATTTAGGGCTCAACCTAAATCAAGGATGATCCCATATTGAGATCCTTACCTTAATCACATCTGCAAAGACTTGTTTTTCTTTTCCCCCCCCCAGAGAAAGTCATACTCGCAGCTTCCAGGTAGAAATGTCTTTTGGGCATAATTCAAACTATTAAAATCTACCCTCTGGCCTCCAAAAATTTACATTTGTTTTAAATGCAAACTATATTTACCACATCTCAATAATCTTGATAGCCTCAACCTATTATATCATGAACTCTAAGTCCAAAATCTCATCTAAATATCAAGTCAGAAAGTCCCAAATCTCATCTAAGTCATATATGAGTGAGACTCTGAGTATGATCCTTTTGGGAGTAGAATTCTTCTCCATCTGTGGCTGTATGGAACTGCAAAACAAGTCATATGCTTCCAAAATACAATAATGGCCCAGGTGTAGAATAGACATTTTTATTCCATGATAGAAGGAACATGGTGGTCATTGGTCACAAGCAAGTTCAAAATCCAGCAGGAAAAAATTTGACTGGATTTCAAAGCCTGAGATCGTCCTCTGTGGCTTGATGTTCTGTCCTCTGGGATGCAGGTGGTCCTGCAAACATCTGTGTCACCCTCAGAGTTATTCTTCCTTTTTCTTCTAGGGTAGTACATATGCAGCTGAGTAGCTCCATGATCCCATTTCCTGCTTACAGAATCGTAGAAGTTCAACAGTCTTTTGTCATTGTTTCCTGTTTGTGTCTCTTTCAGTCCAAGATGGCAATGTTTCTACTGATATACTATTCTTAAAAACCATGTTGGTCTCTTGTATATGTCTTGTGGTATAAGCCATCAGACAATAGTCCTCCACTATCTTTCATGGATAAGCTCATTTCTATTTCTGGCTTCTGCTGAGATATTTGACTAGATGCATGAGTCACACCCTTGGAGTCTTTAGCTAAAGATTGTTAAGCCATACACTTGAACTTCTTTCCAGAGCACAGTTTCTGAACAGTGAATTTCCTATAGATTTTGACACCAATTCTCTAATATCAATTGGGTGTTCTACAATTCAATTCAGTTCTGACGCTAACTACCTGGAATTAGTGCAGACCCCACAAGTTAAGGGTTAACTCTTTCAATTCCAATGTTAACTACTCAGAAATAGCCTCATATCCTGTAAGTTAAAGGGCAAGGTCCTTAACAGGACTGCTCTTACTTCAGATGCCAGCCACGAGAAAGCATCCCCAGGGTACCTGCATTTCCATCTGACTTGGCTACAAATCTGGGAGTTTCTTGGGCTTGTAGCTGCATATCCTCAATCTCTGTCTCTATCTTCACATGGCTTTCTCCTCGGTGTCTTTACTATTCTATAAGAATGTCTGTTAATGTATTTAGGACCCACTCTAAATCCAGAAAGATGTTATCTTGAGATACTTTACATTAAATAAATTACATCCACAAATACCCTTTACCAAATAATATCATATTCTCAGGCTCCAGTGGCTATACACTTTGGAGGAACACAATTCAATTTACTACAACTCCCCACCTTCCTCTCTTCTCTGTCTTATTCTCTCTCATTCCTACTCTTGCTTCCTTTTTCACAAAATTTTTTGATATACTAAAATATCTTTCTTGAAGCCAGTGGTTATTTATGTCAAATTTTACTTATAACTAGGAAACCTGGCTAAATTTTTCAAGGTTTACCACCTCTCCTACAGTTCAAACATTGATATTTGAATTTTGACCCTTTAGTCACCTCAAGACATTAAAACCTTCACTGCTATGGTTGTTGCATTTATTAATATCTACTTTGCACTGATCACCACTTTATAATCACTTCATTCCACTGTACCTTAAATTAACCTTGTTCATAAATGTTTGAACCTATCTGTGTGTTCATATAGATAAAAATATTTTCTATTATATAACGCTATTACATATCAGTGCCAATCAAATCCACTAATTGTTTATAGAATTCCTAATACATGCAAGGCCAAGTGCATACAGCTTGTCAAACTGTTATCCAGGGGTCTGCTGATTTAAAAAAAAAATCACCAAGGGAGCTTGTTGAACCAGCAATTTACAGGCACAACATCAGATCTCTCCAGTAATAAACAATGAAATATGGGGGCTTTCCTCTTTGTAATTCTCATTTGTTGTGTATGCATGCATCATCACACTTAAAAACAAATAACACAATTTAGTGTATCATGTTTTATTTAGAAGAGTGTTGGTAACAAGGACTGTAGCATATTCATCTTTATAGCAAAAATTTGCACCAATGCCATTCATCTTTGAGAACCACATGACATATGAATCCATAGAATCAGGACTGCTGCGTGTATAGGGATACATTTCAAGGATTGTGAAATTGTAAGAATAGTGGTCAGGGTATTCTATAATCACATTGTTTGAGTTGAAGCCCAGTCACATTCTTACTTTGTATTTAATTGGACAAATGTGACCTCCTAGGTAGAGAAATTACAAAGTATTTTCCTCTGAGGTTTGAGAAACACAAACACATAGGTAATCCATATAAAGCAGAAGTCTTTATTAAATTTTAAGTGAGTTGCTAAATACCATATACAATTATTAATAAGTATACAACATGGTTATACCATAGACTTATTATTTCTAAATTTTTCTATATCATGAATGTGAGGAAGGTGATCAGCAATATCTATAATAACAGAACAGCTATGGTTAACATTCGATACTGCATCGTAGAAACTCTACTGGGTTTTATACCCATTATTTCTTATCCTCACAGAACTTTGATGTAGTTGAGAATTATGATTGTTGAAGGTCACAGATAGTCAAGTAGAAGCAGTATGTGAAGTTCAACTATATTCCTCCAAAGTGCATGTCTTTTCCTTGTATGCCCAAGATACTTTAGTGTTCATATAAGATGTTATAAGTCCCTTTGTGCTCAACCTGGCAACGTATTGGTTGACTTCCATATGAGTCACTTTCTATAGTATCAGGAGAAGTAAATTTACAAGAGTATTCCAGGAAGAAAGTTTGTGATTCTAACAGGCATCATGGAGAAAATACCATTGTAGAAATAAGAACAACAGGTTTCTGGGATTCCAAAAAAATGTTTTCACCCCTGATTGGAGTGTCCACCTTTGCTTAAGAAAATGAGACACCTGAAGTCTATTTGGAAAACTGCCAGGATTTTTTTATGGCGAACACATTATATGTTCTTTTAAGTAACCCCATTGGTTGAGTTTGATGGGTTCTTATGTTCACTTTATTGAAGAAGAAACTGAGGCTTTGGAGAGCTATGCTTTTTGATAAGACACTGCTGTGTTCTGAATGTTTGTGTCCTCCCCAGGGTTTATATGTTCAAATTCTAACCCAAGGCAATGGTCTTAGAAATTAGGGCCTTTGGGAGGTAATTAGGTCATAAGGGGGCAGCCCTTATGGACAGGATTAGTGTCCTTAAAAAGAGACCCCAGAGAGCTGCCTTACTCCCTCCACCATGGGAGAATACAGCAAGAAGCTACGTCTATGAACCAAAAAGTGGGCCTGCACCAGACACCCCATCTGCTGGTACCTTGATCTTGAAATTTTACCCTCCAGAACTGTCAGAAATAATAGCTTATTGTTTATAAACCACACAGTTTATGCTGTTTTTGTTATGGCAGCTTGAGCTGACTAAGACAGCTACATAGCTAATGTGTGGTACAAGACACCTGGGACTTTGCTATTCTGATTTTTAAGTTAGCAATCTTTCTTCTGTCACACGTAACATATCCTTCCTTTAGGCTATCTTCAATTTTGTTGGGCTTTTGCCAGGATTCATTGCATACAGTCAACCCATATGTGCTTGTCTTCAAAGTTTGTCATAGAATTTATAATGTTATTGGAAGGAAGGTCAAACAGGGTTAATTTTTGTTGCTTAATCAAAAGAATAAATGCACTTTACTTATCACCCTGGACTATGTTCATTCATTTGTTTAGAAAATATTTATTGAGTATGCCCTTTACCACAGACAGTCCTGTATGAAAGCAGATAAACGGGTATCTATCTGGCCTTCAGGAAGCTTAAAGCATACTGGAGAAGACATGTATAAATCAAATCATCACATAATCTAGTAAAAACTCCATAATGGTCAATCATGATAAAGGTTACATAAATAGACTTTCAGGGTGAATAGGAGGAATTGGACTTGTTGGTAGAGTGAGGAAAGGTTTCTTCCAGGAGAAAAAGCAAAGTGAGGCACCTCCAAGAAGAGGCCACAACATGAGAAACAGACCTTCTAGAAGCTTCAGGTCAATACTGGAGACTAAAAGAAGGCTGGAGTGCTGCCTACAAGGGGCACCTGATGTAAAAAGAGACAAGAAACAAGTGACATCTAGACTTGTTCAGGCTTTCTATTCTATATCGTGCTCACTTATGTCAGAAAGCTTTGTACTTAACTGTAGAGAAAAGAGAAGGCAGTGGAGGGTGTAAAGCAGGAGAGGAATATATTTGAGTAATGGGAAGATTGTTGTGCCTGTGCTGGAGAAACCAGATTAGAAGAAGCAAGTGTTGATCTTGAAAGTCAGGTCAGGAAGAAAATAATTAGAGCTTGAACAAGTGGGAGAAAACAAGTGAGAGTCATTCAGGTGGTAATTCTACAATCAACAGCGATAGATTATATATGGGGCCTAAAAAAAAGCCAGGGGTTAAGGGTGATGCCACAGATTCTGGCCTTAAGATTAGTGGTGACATTTGCTAGTATCATGAGAATAAGAGCAGATTTCAGACGAAGATTGACAATTTAGTTATGTTGAATGAGAGTTTTAGTTTAAAAGATTTAAGACATCTAGTTACACATTAGACATTTAGGTCTAACTCAGAGTTTGAATTTATTTTCCTTTCATTTAGCCTTAGAAGTAATAGACAATAATCATGGCTCTTTTAACATTTGATGGAATTTTGTCTTACAGTATTATAGAAGAGAGAGCTATGCAAATTCCTTGTCAGAAATGATATGTTATCACTCAGTCTTTATTTTTTCTTAATCCACAATGCCTTGGATGCTTATAATTGCAAATAACCAAAAACCCTACTGAAGTAACTCTAACTTATTGAAAAAGAAATATTTTACTTATGGAAATGAGTAAGTGCAGATGTGGGGTGGGCTTCAGGTGCCATATGGTCAGCGCTCCAGCTCCATTTTCCTGAGGTTTCCTCAACTCCTTTCTGTTTTGTCTTCAGACTCAGGCTGGTATTCCTTATGAAAGAAAAGGCCTATAGCGGTACCAAAGTTAACTGTCTGAACACCATGTCATCCAAAGCAAGAAAAGAGCATCTCTATTACAAAATTTTTAAGAAGAGTCCCGAGAATAACTATCTTAGCCTTGGAACACATGTGCCACTCCAGGAGCTAAGAATGGAATAAAATCGCTCAAAGCCACACAGATTCTACTATACACAGGGGCTTATTTGAAAAAGGAAAATGGATATTAGAGAAGCAAACAACAGCTACTCCTAACATTTTTGGGCAGATAAACATCCACACACAAGTTTCTGTAACATATCCCTTTTCCAATATGTTTTTATCAACCTGGGATTTGCTCATTTTCTCTCCAAAAAAAGAGTTTTTCTAAAAAAATGTATTATCCAGTTATAACATCTAGCTCTGATCTTTAGGCTCACTGGATGAACTGTCTTCTTCATCAAGCTCGTAGGCAGCTTCTCAGTGTTCAGTATTTATGGGTAAATAAAACTTTAGTCCAATATATAAATTTTCTTAAAAATTACCTCTGGGTCCCAGCACTCTGGGAGGCCGAGGCGGGCGGATCACGAGGTCAGGAGATCGAGACCATCCTGGCTAACACGGTGAAACCCCGTCTCTACTAAAAATACAAAAAATTAGCCCAGCGTGGTGGCTGGTACCTGTAGTCCCAGCTACTCTGGAGGCTGAGGCAGGAGAATGGTGTGAACCCGGGAGGCGGAGCTTGCAGCGAGCCGAGATCAGGCCACTGCAGTCCAGCCTGGGCGACAGAGCCAGACTCCGCCTCAAAAAAAACAAACAAAAAAAAACCTTTGGGAGAAGGAGCAGTTGGAAACAAGAAACAGTGGTAAGTTGTCTATAACACACACACACAGGATATCCTATGGGCAACAGTAACAAAGCAACAAAGCCTCTCTGTATTGTTGAAGTGAGTTCTTCAGTCCACTGGCTGGGCCCTTGTTCTGCTCTGCAGGAAGAACTTTCCTGTACATTTTAATCTTCTCCATGGTCACAGGTACTGCACTTTGGCGAGGCTTTTCCTTTAAGAAATCTTAATAAGCAGTCCATTTCCATGTGATAATGATTATTCAGAGGCCTGGAGATCATCCCATAGCTTGAAAAATTGTAAGCCATTGGAAGTCAGTCTTGAGGTTACTGGTGATACACTGTCCTTAAGTATTCAGCAGCCTTCAGGTCTACTTTGGTTGCCCTACAAAGGCAGGAAGGACCCCCCACTCAAAAGTTAGTTTGAATGTTGAGACTGATGTTGCCACACATAGAAGAAGGTGTGAAAAGGATGTGTATACACTGGGGCTTTTGTGGGAAGGGTGGCGCAGGCCTCCCAAGCCGCTCCTAACAAAGCTTTAAAAGGGCCAGGAAAGAGGCTGGCTGAGGTGGTTTATTGTGGTTAGGGGTTCTCACAGGTGAGCCACAGCTTGCATGGTTTAAATCTCCGCTGGCTTCAAAAGAGGTGGCAGCCAGGCTTTCTCATCAGCTTCCCCAGAAGTGGGCCACAATGGGGAGAGGTAAGGATAAGGCTTAAAAGATGTCAGCTATCAAATATTTTCTTTAAAAAGCAGTCAGACTCTTTATCTACACGGTTTATAGTAACTTCTAATGTTTTTCATGTACTAGAGGTCGTAGACTCTTACCTGGCCAACATTTGCAGCTACTAATGAGCTTGAGGTTTTCTGTCCACTCTCAACAAGTGCGTCTATCTTTCTAATCTTCAACTGAAATGTGTTTTGGGGCACATTGAACAAAGTGAACCTAGGGAAACAAGGTAAAGGTAAATTGCCCTTTCAACCCAGGCTGCTTCCCAGCTTTTTCTCACACTGAAGTGATTATTTCCTACAACAAACAGAGATTACTCTGCTGGAGTTGTGTGAGGAGGCTTTGGGGATCCGGCTTTTCCTGTGTCACAGTCTTAAACCCATCATAATTTTAACTTTACTGTTTCCATTAGAAAAGATTTGAGGTAGAAAATGTAGTTCTTAAATCTTAAATGTTTCAAAATGTTGAGTGTCATCAACATGGAATGCAGGCCACAGGCAGAAAGGCCTCTCATTGTTAAGCTGCGGATCTTCCTCTGCTTCTCTGCAGAACAGTTTCAAAGCCGCTTATCTCTGTGATGAATGAACTTATTGAAAGTACCAAAAATAGCAAGCAAGTAACACTACCCTGACTTTTGAGCCATGTCCCCTAATGCTGTGACCTTTATAAGCACAACATCCATGTCCAAACTTATTTTTTTATTTTTTCTTAATTGATACATGATATTTTACATATTTGTGGGGTACATGTGATAGTTTGTTACATGCATAGAATGTAATGATCAAGCCAGGGTATATAAGGTGTGCATCACCTCAAATATTTATTATTTCTATATGTTGGGAGCATTTCAAGTCATGTAGGTATTTTGAAATATACAATACTTTGTTCATTATAGTCATCCTACTCTGCTATGGAACATTAGAACATATTCCTTCTAACTGTATGTTTGTTCCCATTAACCAACCTCTTTTTATCTTCCCTACCCCTCACACATGGCTTCTTCAGTCTCTGATATCTATTGTTTTATTCCCTATCTTCAGGAGATCCACTTTTTTTAGCTCCCCTATGTGAGTGAGAATATGGGATAGTTGTCTTTTTGTGCCTGGCTGATTTCACTTAACATGATGACCTCCAGTTTCATTCATGTCCCTGCAAATGACAGGATTTCATTCTTTTTTATTGCTGAATAGTATTTTGTTGTGTATGTGTAGCACATTTTCTTTATCAATTCATCCGTTGATGGATACTTAGGTTGATTCAATATCTTTGCTCTTATTAATAATGCTGCAATAAACATAAGGCTGCAGGTATCCCTTTGATATGCTGATTTCCTTTCCTTTGCATAAATACCCAAGTAGTGGGTTTAGTTCTGTTTTTAGTTCTTTGAGAAATCTGCATACTGGTTCCCACAGTGGCTGTACTAATTCACAAGCCTACCAACAATGTATAAACGTTCATTTTTCTTTCATCATTAGCATCTGTTTTGTTTTGTCTTTCTAATAATAACCATTCTAGTTGGGGTAAGATGATATCTCATTGTGGTGTTCATTTGCATTTCCCTGATCCTGAGTGATGTTGAACATTGGTTTATATACCTGTTGGCCATTTGTAAGTCTTTTTTCGAGAAATGTGTTTATGTCGTTTGCCCACATTTTAATGCAATTCTTTTGGGTTTCCTTTTTTTGTTTTTGTTTTTTTTTTTAGTATTGAAATGAGTTCCTTGTATATTCTGCATATTAGTCCCTTGTCTGATGAATAGTTTGCAAATATTTTCCCCCATTCATTCTACAGGTTTTCTCTTTTTTTTTTTTTTTTTTTTTTTTTTTTTTGAGACGGAGTCTCGCTCTGTCGCCCAGGCTGGAGTGCAGTGGCGGGATCTCGGCTCACTGCAAGCTCCGCCTCCCGGGTTCCCGCCATTCTCCTGCCTCAGCCTCCCGAGTAGCTGGGACTACAGGCGCCGCCACCACGCCCGGCTAATTTTTTGTATTTTTAGTAGAGACGGGGTTTCACCGTTTTAGCCGGGATGGTCTCGATCTCCTGACCTCGTGATCCGCCCGCCTCGGCCTCCCAAAGTGCTGGGATTACAGGCGTGAGCCACCGCGCCCGGCCTACAGGTTTTCTCTTAACTCTGTTGATTATTTTCTTTGCTGTGCAGAAGCCTTTAAGTTTAACATAGTCCCATTTGTCTATTTTTGTTTTTCTTTCCTGTGCTTTTTAAGTCTTAACCATAAAATTTTGCCTAGACCAATGTGCTGAAATGATTCTCCTATGTTTTCTCCCAGCACCTTTATAGTTTTGGGTCATATGTGACGTCTTTAATCCATCTTGAATTGATTTTTGTTTATGAAAAGAGATGGGGGTTGAGTTTCATTCTTTTGCATAAGGAAATCCAGTTTTCCCAGCATTATTTATTGAAGGGTGTATCCTTTCTCCAATGTATATTCTAGGTGCCTTGTCAAAAATCAATTGGCTTTAAATATGTGGAATCTGAGTTCTTTGGTTTTTTGTCTTGTTTTGTTTTTTGAGACAGAGTCTCACTTTGTCACCCAAGTGCAGTGGTGCGATCTCGGCTCACTGCAACCTCCGCCTTCCGGGTTCAAGCTATTCTTCTGCCTCAGCCTCCCAAGTAGCTGGGATTACAGGCACCTGCCACCATGCCCAGCTAATGTTTTTGTTGTTGTTGTTGTTGTTGTTGTTGTTTTGTATTTTCAGTAGAGACAGGGTTTCATCTTGTTGGCCAGGATGGTCTCGATCTCCTGACCTCATGATCTGCCCGCCTTGGCCTCCCAAAGTGCTGGGATTACAGGCCTGAGCCACTGCACCCAGCCTATCTGAGTTCTTTATTCTGTTCCTTTAGCCTATATATCTGTTTTCATAACAATGCCATGCTATTTTCTTTACTATAGCCTTGTAATATACTTTGAAGTCAGGTAGTATAATTGTTCTTACTTTGTTTTGCTCAGTATTGCTTTGGGTATTTGGGCTCAATTTTGGTTCCATATTAGCTTTCAGAATTTTTTTTCTATTTCTGTGAAAAAGGATGTAAATAGCTTGACAGGAATTCCATTGAATCTATAGATTGGGTAGTATAGTCACTTTCAATAATATTAACTATGCTGATCCATGAACATGGGATGTTTTTCTATTTGTGTGTATTCTCTTGAATTTCTTTCATCAGTTTTTTTAATTTTTTTTTCTTGTGAAAGTATTTCACCCCCTTGGTTAAATTTATTTCTGAGTATTTTATTTGTAGCTATTATAAGTGGAATTGCCTTTTTGATTTCTTTCTCAGCTCGTTCATTATTCACATATAGAAACACTAATGACATTTTTAGTGTTGTTAATTTTGTATCCTGCAGCTTTACTGAATTTATCAGATCTAAATTTTGTGGTGGGGTCTTTAGGTTTTTCTAGATATAAGATCATGTCTTCTGCAAAGAGAGACAATTTGACTTCCTTTTTCCAATTTGACTGATTTTTTTTTTCTCTTGCCTGACCACTCTGGCTATAATAATCTCCAATACTATGTTGAGTAACAGTGGAAAAAATGGGCATCCTTGTCTAGTTTCTAGTTCTTAGAAAAAAGGCTTTTAGCTTTTCCACATTCATTATTTGGTTGTCATATATGGCCTTTATTATGTTGAGGTATGTTCCTTTTATACTCACTTTATTCAATGTTGTTTTTTCTTTATCAACGGGATATTTTATTTTATCAAATGCTTATTTTTCATGTATAAAAATGATCAGATATTTTTTGTCCTTCATTCTGTTGATGTAACGTATTACATTTATTGATTTGCGTATAGTGAATAATCCTTGTATCCCTGGAATAAATCCCACCTGATCATGGTGTACTTTTTTTATGTGCTGTTGGGTTCAGTTTTCCAGTATTTTGTTGAAGATATTTTGTGTCCATGTTCATCAGAGATATTGATCTAATGTTTTCTTTCTTTTTATTTTTTAATATGTCTTTGTCTGGTGTCAATATCAAGATAATGTGGACTTACAGAATGGGCTAGAGAGAATTCCCTCCTCTTCAATTTTTTGGAAGAGTTTGAGGCAAATTGATGTTGGTTAATATTTTTGGTAGAATTCAGCAGTGAGGCCACACCATTTCTTCCCAATTCAATCTTGGTCAGTTGCATATGTCCAAAAATGTATACAATTTTTCTAGATTTTCCAGTTTGTTGGTTTATAGTAATTCATGATAGTGTTTGATTATCTTCTGTATTTATGTGATATCATTTGCATGTTGTTTACTTTCTGTATATTTGTATAGTTTTAAAAACTCCTCTTGGTATTGATTTCTTGTTTTATTTCATGTCATCTCAGAAGGTATTTCAAATAATTTTAATATTTAAAAATTCATTGCCACTTGGTTTTTGGCCTAACATATGGTATATCCCAGAGAATGTTCCATGTGCTGATCAGAAGAATGCAGGGTTTGTGCAAAATGTTTTGCAGATAAATGTCTGTTAGGTCCATTTGGTTTAAAGTGCAGTTTAAATCCAGTGTTTCTTGGTTGAATTTATGTCTAGATGATCTGTTTAATGTCAAGAATGAGGAGTTTAACTCCCCCACTATTATTGTATTGGAGTCTATCTCGCCTTTTAGATCTAGCATTATTTGGTTTATATATCTAGGAGTTCCAGCATTGAGTGTATATATATTTAGATTTGTTATATCCTCTTGATGGATTGACACCTTTATCATTATGTAATGACCTTATTTCTTTCTTTTTACTGTTTTTGACTTAAAGTGCATTTAGCTGATGTAAGTATAGCTACTCCTGCTTGATTTAGATTTCTATGGAATAGCTTTTTCTATTCCTTTACTTTCACTCTATATACGTCTTTACTGATAAAGTGAGTTTCTTGTAGGCACCACATGATTGCATCATTTTTAAAAACTACATTCAGCCAGTATATATCTTTAAAGTGGAAAATTTAATCTCTTTACATTCCAGGTCATTATTGATATGTGAGGTTTTATCCCTGTCATGTTGTTAATTGTTTTCTGGTAGTTTTGTATATCCCTTTTTTCTTTTTTATTTCTCTGTTGTTTATCATCAGGGTTTGGTGGTTTTTTGAAATAACATTTGAGTTTTCTCTTCCTCATTTATGTCTTTGTTCTACTAAGGAGTTTTATATTTTCATATGTTTCCACAATAGTATATATCATCTTTTCATTTCCAGGTTTGGGACTCTCTAAAGCATTTCTTGTAGGGACAATCTAATGGTGAAAAAAAAATTTCTCAGTTTTGGCTTATCTGGGAAAGATTGATTTCTTATTCATTTATGAAGGATAACTTTGATGGCTATATTATTCTTGACTGACTGATTTTTCTTTCAGCACTTTGAATATATCATCTCATTCTCCCCTGGCCTGTAAGGTTTTTTGTTTGTTTGTTTTTCCTGAGAAATCCACTGTTATTCTTTCTTCTGCTTAATCTAGTCTGTTGTTGAAACTCTGGAATACATTTTTTTTTTAAATTTCATATATTATTAAGTTCGGGGATTTTCTTTTTTTTAATGGTATCTATATCTTTGGTAAATTTCTCATTCATATCCTGAATTTTTTTTCTGATTTCTTTATATTGTTTATGTGTTCAATTGATTTCACTGAGCATTTTTATTCATATTCAATTTCTGGCATTTCATCATTTCTTTTTTCCTGAAATTTTTTGTTAGAGAATTATAATTCTTTGGATGTGTCCAATTTTCCTGCTTTTCACATATGTGGCATCTTTCCATTTATATCTGCACATCTGGTGAAATGGTCACTTATTTCATTCTTTGGATTGTCTTTCATAGGGGAAGAATTTTACTGACTATGTGTCTATGTTGATTGAGTATGGTATTTTTAATTCTGGGTACATACAGTAATGCAGTCTTTGAATTATATATTCAGCTGTGAATAGCATCAGTAGTATTTGTGAATTCTTTAGTGGCTTGGGTATCATTGTTAGTGGAGGCTGTGGTGAACCTTTGCTAGGGATAAAGATGCCAGGTGGGCCAGTCTTTGAACCCCAGTAGTGGCAGCTGCAGGCCAAATATTTATTTTTCTGGGCACCTAGGTGGTTTATTCAGGCACTGGTGTTAGCAGGTCCAGGTGGCCTGATCCTTGGGCTTTCAGGGAGCTTACTCAGGTGCCAGCAATGGAGGTGGTGGGCCAGATGGGTGGGTGGGTCCATAAGCCCACGAATAGCATGTATGGCATGAACAATGGTAGTAGCACTGATGTGGCAATTCTTAGGCTCCCCGGTGGCTCTTGTTAATAGGGCTGTGATGGGCTAGGCATGCCAGTTTCCTGGAACCCAGTTGGTGCATGCAGGCAAGTGCTAGCAGTGGTGTTGGTGGCAGGCTGTGTGGGCCCATCTTCAGGTTCCCAGGAGGAGTGCACAGGTGCTAGCAGAGGTGGACCAGCCAGGGTGCTCCCCAGGTCCCTGGGTGGCATGCTCAGGCACTGGTGGGGGATGATGCCAGGCCAAGCAGGCCTGAACTCACGCCCTCTGGTGGTGCACATGGGTGCAGGCTACAGTAGGTAGGGTAGGGCAATCTGCAGTGGTAGAGAGAGAAAGCCTGTTCTTACAGTGTGTGAAATTTTGCAGCAGTCCTGCTGCTGGGAGGCAATGAGTTGCTGTCAGTGGGAGCAGACTCAAGCAGGCAGACAAGCAGCCTTCAGGTTCTGGGGAGTCTATATTTGGCTCCCCAGTGGCAGCAGCAGCTGTGGTGGTATTCAGGGATATCCCGTACTTAGGACATACTTAGGGCATATATTAGAGCACAGAAGCCATGCTGCTTGTTGTCAGTAGCCCCATATAGGCAGCTTTCAGGCTCTGAGAGTTGCTCACTTTGGCTCCTGGCAGTAGCCACAGCCATGGTGGTGTGCAGGAGGAGTTAGTCCTCAGAGCACAAGCTAGAGCAGAGACTGCTGCTGTTGGGGTTGGAGTTGCTGTCAGCAGCCCCAGGAAAGCAGCTCTTAACCCCTGGGGAGTTTCCACAGCTTAGGTTTCCTTTTTCCTAGGGCAGCCTCCCTGGTGTGCTGTACCACCCTTTCCCTGGGGTGTAGAACTCTGTGTGGCCTACAGTTATGGGGACGCTGCCACATTGTTGGGTCTACCTGGTGTTGCACCACTGCAGCCCTCCAAGTGGACATGGGGAATTTCAGGGAGGGCTCCCAAGATGTGGAGATGCAGGGGCTGTTGAGCACCAGGGCAGGATGCAGTCTGATGGAGACTGGACTCTCAACATGGCATTGTGCTGCAGTTTCTTAGGTCTCCAGGGGTGTGTATGACCTAGCATGAACTCCCTCTCTGGAGCAGTGCCTTTGTGGTATCTCCAGGCAACTGCCTATGCTAATCTAAGGGGCTATGTGGGTCATGGGCCTCTCCTGTGCCTAGGATTGCAGGAACCCTCGGTGGGAATGTGGACTGCTGAGGATCTCTCACTTACCCTTTCCTTGCACCAGGGGGTTGGGGACAGTCTTGAGGATCCCAGCTGATCCTGGCTACACTGGCTAACTCCTTTATCCTCTCCTGTGCCTCAGATGTTTTCTGTCACTTCTCTGCTGTATTCAATGTTCTGTCTTATATGCTCTTTTTGAGAGTGAATATCTATTCATAATTTTAGTTCTTTCTGGAGGAGGCAACTGTCAAATGCCTGTAGTTAGCCATCTTTACCCTATTCACTCCATGTTGTGATCTTTTCCTAATTTGGTCTTGAGGTCTGTCTATGGACAGTGACCATATGCTAAGCTATCTACTCTCTATAAGAACCCTGATAGGGGAAGTTAATTTCAGGTGTATGTGTCAAGTGAGACACATGAGGAAGTGAAAAAAATGCATGAAACAGAAGAAATGCATTATTAGGGATCTCAGAGATGTTAGGGTGGCTAATGGGAAGTCCAGAGGCAGTAGGGGGCTCCACTAGCATGAGAGGACCTAGGGGACTATGCCTTTCTCAAGGTCCATAGGAATTACCTTTTTGGCTTTTCTGTGTCGTTTGTGGATGGGCTAATTTAAAGAAAACATATCAGAAAGTGGGAAACTTATTTACATGACGCTGGTGTTAATGATTAAGCGTCTTTTGTGATCAGTAGTTGTAGGATGTGTTGCGTTTTGGGTTAGTGAGATGAGGAATAAGTGGGCTACACTACAGGCAACCACAGGGAAGGGAAATTTTAGTGAGGCCAAAGGTGACAGGGTCGACAGGGATTCAGACAACTAAAATGGATGCTGAGGCAGCAACTACATTAAAGCGATTTATGACCAAACTTTCCAGAGACCACTCACTAACAATTGTATCACCAATGTAGAAAAATCTTCAATTTCTCACTTGAGGTAGAAAATTCTACACTCTTCTCCTGCATAACATAATTGAGGACAGTCTATTAACAACACATCACTCCCAATCTTACTAATATTAAGTGGGGTGATTTTGCTTTTAAGAAACAAAAAACTGTATTCAAAATGAATTAAGCTATAAATTAAGCTATAAATATAACTTTTTTTGTCTTAAAGAATTGAAAGGGATTAATAGGTAGGCAAGCTTCAGACATATCAAGAATTCAGCTCCATTTCTCTGCTATTCTGTCGACACTCATCTCCTGAGTGTTGCTTTTTTCTGGGCCCAGTGCTGAACAGTGCAAGGCAGAAGTACTAGGCCTTATAGTGCCCAAAGCAACAGAGTGGCAAATTATGATTTTCTCAATTTTCCCATCAAATATTCTCAGATTTCAGGTCAAATGCCCATCCCAAATGGAAACTTAGGGCCGGTATGGCAGAAGGCACTGTTGGAGTTCGCCTTGTTACCTGGGGTGAATTCTAGAACCTGGGGTGAATTCTACTACCATTTCTAGAACCTGAGGTGAATTCTACTACCTAAAAACAATGAATTTCCAATAAAATTATACAGACAACAAACTGGTATCCAGTGGATTTGGTACTAAATAAAAGTATTTGTCCAATAAGAAGATAGTACATTTTCAGAGTTTAAACTGTTAATTGATTTCCATGTTAAGTTACATGAGACATAATTGCCCCTCATTTTGTTTCTAGTGTTTACACAGGTTCAACCTGTGCTAGATAATCTTTCCAGTATGTTCCTGTCCTGAAGCGACTTCCAGGGAGGCTCTGGAATTTTCCTTTATGCTTGTTGGTAAGAAATATCTGATCTACCTGGAGATAGACAAGACTTGGGCTAGGAAAATTAAATGAATGACCTTTAAAGTCCCTCTTGTCCATTCAGGGGCATGAATATTAGTATCCAGGTTATCCGTTCATGTATGAAAAATTGTTTTCTGTGGTTTCTCCTGAAAACTTTTTATAATCAGTTATAAACTTTTAATACAACCTACTTTTCTTTCATCAAATAGTTTCTTCTAAGAATTGTACAAAGCTTCCACTTTTATAACATTATGCATTTAAGAAGGCTTTTTAAATAAAAATTGGAATGAACTCCTTTGAAAGTTTATGCTAAAGTTGTGTCCTTCTGAAATGAACTCTTTCTTCTCTTTTAATGGTTCTTTCTGTGATGAAATTGGAATAATTACTTTGGTTAACTTTTCCACTTCTAAATTAGAGCCACCTGGATAAACGATATGTTTCTTTTTTTCAAAAGCAAAGCTTTTTAAAATGTGACTTTTTTCCTACTCCCTTATAATCTCTGTACCATCAACTCTGAGGAAATCAGTGACTTCATTTCTGTTAACCCATACCCTCGGCTCAAAGTCAATATCAGTTCTGTGTCCCACTTAGGTGTGTATCATAACAAATATTATATTTCTGTATTTCAAATATGTTTCTTCCCTGTGTTATTTTCCTTCTCTTTCTGCTGTCGGATAAGAGATAGACAGTGAATTGCCTCAAGCAAAGATATTCAAGGTTGAATCCTGCATGAGGGTGTCACCGAGAAGACCACTTCAAGGGGCGTCTTTTCCTCATTAGCACAAAGGGGCCATATGCTCACCAAGCTGTGCATACATATATTTGCATCTGTCCAGAATGAGACACCTTTTTCAGTTTGAATAAATACCCTCTCCTAGAGTTGTAGGTCTAGTTGTACAATTTTTCAGAGTTCCATATCAGTTAGGGATTTTATGGCAAACAATAAAAATTTACTCTGGTTAACTTACAGGACAGAAAAGGCATTTGATGTAAGATATTGGAGTAGCTTAGAGAATCGTTCAGTGTACCACTGAAATATCAGCGGCAGGAAAAGCAGAATTTGCCAAGAGCTGATATTTCTCTTATTTTGTCGTAACTGTAGTTTTACAGTTATAACTTATCTGGGGAGATTATGATTAGCCCAGTTTGATCATATGTTCATCCTCTGGCCAGAGAGGGCGGACAAGAGTCAGAGGAACATGATCAGAGGAGAAGGTCTGCTTTATTCAAAGTCTTTCCAGGATTTCATAAAAGAGAGGAGTTTTTCATTAAAGAAAAGGGAAGCACTGTTACCAAAAGAATGGGGAAAGAATGCTGAGTATGTAAGAATAGTAAACGTCTGCTTGTGGCAGACATGAAGACATGCAGCTCAGCATCTCCTTCAAGAAATGGCTCATTGCCCAGCTCTGGGAAGTGTGGGGACTGCTAACACCTCAAGGCCCACCTCAGCTTTTGAGTGCTAGTTACTCAGAAGTGGCCATGACTGACAGTGGCAAGGGAGAATCTTCCCAAAGGGAAAAGCTTTAGGCACTACACCTGGGCATGCTCTGTGTGGAAAGGAAAGTGGTTCAGGATTAGAATATATAGACTCACATAAAGTTGCAAATAACCTGGCTGGTTTGTCAGGGCTCTAGAATAGAATCATTGGAAGATCAAAGACAAAAAGGTCTAAGGTAGAGACAAAAGGATGAACATATAAGAGTAGAGACAATGTGTGAAGATCACTGCATCACATATTAGTACCCAGCAGAGAACACACTGCAGAGACACTGCCAACCAAGTACAATAAATGGGTCAGCCAGTTGAAGTCAGCAGCCATCCCAGTGCTTGCTCAATGACTCACTAATGCAGTGGCCATGAAGTCAGAGATGGAGGCTATGCAACAGCCCAAAAGCAGAGATTCCCACAAACCAGGGCCTAAATAACTACAGCTATTTCTGAGCGTCCAACCTGCCAGCAACAGAGACAATTTGTCCCCCATATTACTACTATTCAAGGAGACTAGAAAGCCATTTGGTGGCATTTATGTATTCTTATAGGAACACTTTTTGTTCTTATAGATACTTACTGCAGATATTGGTTTGCGTTTCCTCCCTGCGGAGCCTCAGTTAGCACCACCATCCAGAGGCTCCCAGAGTGCCTAATATGTACTCATACAGTCCCATCTAACGCAGCTTCTGACCAGGAGAGTCACTTACAGCAAAGGATGAGCAGTAGTCCCATGACCAAGAGATCCACTGGTTGTCTCATACACACCAATCAGTGGAAGCTGCCTGACGGAGGGATGGAATGGTCTGTTGAATGTGCAAATGAAGTACTAGTTGGGAATTAGTACACCAGGAATTAGAGACCTCTCTATGGCATTGTATCTCCAATAGGAAAAATACATATATCTTCATAGGGGATACACAGGGAATCAAGAGGTTGAATCAGGAGTGGCTCATGTACTAGCATTTTTAATGACTTACTGGGAAGTTGTGTGCTTCTCATTCCTACAATTCCTGGCTTTTCAAGTTTAGAGGTCGTGATACCCAAAAGGGGTACACTGTTGCCAGTAGACACAACAATTCTACTAAACTAAAAGATATGGCCATCACCTGGCACTTTAGATACCCATGTCTAAGGAACAGAAGGCCATAAAAGGAGGCATCATCTTATCAGACCACTGAACAGGATTAGTAAAAGAAGATAGAGCAGTTCTTATGTAATAGGGGCAGTAGAAATAAGTGTGGAATAGAGGGTATCCACTGAGTACTTCTGGGTACTATTTTGACCAATTGTGTTAGGTTGGTGCAAACTAATTGCAGTTTTTGCCATTACTTTAATGGGAAAAATTAAATAAATGGCATAAATAAAAATTAATGGCATTCATTAAAGTAATGGCAAAAACCGCAATTTCTTTTGCTCCAACCTAATAACAATGAAAGAGTAAGGGCAGGAAACTAGGCTGAGAAGAATAGGTTTACCAAGAACTCAGATCCCTCAAGAATGAGGGTTCTGAACACAGCATAAGGTAGTCTACCCACCAATATAAGTAGATGTAATACCTAAGGGAAATGGGAGTTTGAATGGTTAGAGGAGGAAAGAGATGGGCAAAGTACAGTTGCAGCCCTGAAATGAGAAGTTAAAAGGAGAATGCAATTTTAGCCACTACTTTTTTTTTCCTAAATTTCCTCCCAGGAGTAGCTATTCCCCAAATGAATATGGATGAAGTGAATCTGCAGGCCACAGGGATGGATAAGACAGACACACAGAGAGAGAACTCAAGTGCTCCTTCAAGTAAGGACCTGCTTTTCCCAACTATGAAGAGTGTAGTCAACTGGCAGCTTCCTGCTGTTAACTTTAGGTGTGCTTTACCTTCTGAGCTGAGGTCATGTGCTCCTGCTGGTGGTCTTAGTCAATGACTGGGCAAGACCATGACACAGAGTCTAGCAATGTCTGCTCACTGCAGAACTACTGTGATATTGGCCCTAGCCCCCGCTGGACTCGACACGATTTTGTTATGTTTGCATCACAGGCTCTCAACACAGCATGCCCAATCCTGTCCATCCCATTTGCTTTCACAGATGTGATCCCACATAAGCTTTCACCCTCCTAATTCCATCTTACTGTCATTTTCTGTAGGAGCCAACCACCATACTACTAAAAATATATACATTTTTTAATTTTCCAGAGGGAGTTAATGATTCAGAATAAGATAATTTTGACTCTTAGGAAACTGTTCTTCCTGTTGCAATGTCACATACCTCATGCCTTTGTTTAGTTTGGAAAAAAATGTAACATTTCTCTAAAATACATCTAAAATATAATCTCTAAAATACATTCTCTAAAATACTCCATACATCTTTTAGAATTTAGGATGACTCGGTCTGTATCAGCATGGAAGCATTATGTTCTTTTCAGTTGTCCAGATTATCATCTTTACAAAATCTAGCTACCCAATAAGAATACAAAAAGTTCAGGTATGCCAAGCAAAATGGGCGGCAGTGTCAATGCCCAAACATGTTCTCTTATTTTCTTTTCTCTAACCTTTAAAATAACTTCTTGAGAACATTTAAAATATTTTTTTACATTCAAGCATGAGTTTTAATTATGGTTGATTCTGGGTTACCTCAGATGCTAAAAAAAAAAAAAAATGTTTTTTAGTGGAAAGAACTCAAGTTAAAAACTTCTGACTAAAAGTCAGAACCAGCAAAGTTAAATCCTGAGTTTTATCTCCTTATCCAGCAAGTGACATTGAGAAAGATACTTAATCTTTTTGTTCCTTTAGTTTCTAATGTGTAAAATACAATAATTATGATACCTACCTCAAGCTTTTTCTCCAAGGCCTGATAAGATAACCAGGGTTTCTGGAACACAGAACTCAATCAAGAACTAATAGTTTTCTGAAATTACAGTAGGCAAGTAGGGGCCAACATCTGGAAAAGGAAAGATGCAGTGAACTTTCACACCTAGTATGAGCCAGGCATGTGGTTATTTGCATTGTGTGTTTGACAACATTTTTTTCAATGTACATAATAACCTTGTGAGTTGACTATAAATATCCTTACTTTATGGCTAGAAAATATAGGTCTCTGAAAGGTGAAATAATTTGCCCAATGTGATATGCTACTCAGGTAGTGAGGATAGTAAAGTTTTCGAATTAGCAACAAAGTCATTAATAATAATTAGATGCCAAAAGTGAATAAGAATGCTAATGCTAGATTGAGGTATGCTTTCTCATCTCTGCTCTACCCTTACATATATGGTGAACACATACATTCACTGTGTGTTTTTATAAGAGGTAGAGATGGAGCTTGCTTTTAAAGGACAACATGCTTGTGGGTATAAAGTTAATCAATGAAAGCATTTATTACTACAAAATTGTATTGCTTTTAAAGATATATCAAAAAATAAAAATAAGTTGGAAATATTAATGCATTAGAGATTTTGTGGGTTTGCTGCACCCATCAACCCATCACCTACATTAGGTATTTCTCCTCATGCTAATCCTCCCCTAGCCCCCCATCCTCTGACAGGCCCTGGTGTGTGATGTTCCCCTCCCTGTGTCCATGTGTTCTCATTGTTCATCTCCCACTTATGAGTGAGAACATGTGGTGATTGGTTTTCTGTTGTTGTGTTAGTTTGCTGAGAATGATGGTTTCCAGCTTCATCTATGTTCCAGCAAAGGACATGAACTCATCTTTTTATGGCTGCATAGTATTCCATGGTGTATATGCGTGACATTTTCTTTATCCAGTCTATCATTGATGGGCATTTGAGTTGGTTTCAAATCTTTGCTATTGTGAACAGTGCTGCAATAAACATACGTGTGGAGTTGGTATCTCATTGTGGTTTTGGTTTGCATTTCTCTAATGACCAGTGATGATGAGCTTTTTTTCATATGTTTTTTGGCCACATAAATGTATTATTTGAAAATTTTCTGTTCATATCCTTCACCCACTTTTTGATGGGGTTGTTTTTTTCTTGTAAATTTGTTTAAGTTCTTTGTAGATTCTGGATATTAGCCCTTTGTGAGATTGATAGATTGCAAAAATTTTCTCCCATTCTGTAGGTTGCCTATTCACTCTGATGATAGCTTATTTTGCTGTGCAGAAGATCTTTAGTTTAGGTCCCATTTGTCAATTTTGGCTTTTGTTGCCATTGCTTTTAGTGTTTTAGTCATGAAATCTTTGCCCATGCCTATATCCTGAATGGTATTGCCTAGGTTTTCTTCTAGAATTTTTATGATTTTAGGTCTTATGTTTAAGTCTTTAATCCATCTTGAATTAATTTTTGTGTAAGGTATAAGGAAGGGGTCCAGTTTCGGTTTTCTGCATATGGCTAGCCAGTTTTCCCAACACCATTTATTAAATCGGGAGTCCTTTCCCCATTGCTTGTTTTTGTCAGGTTTGTCAAAGATCAGATGGTTGTAGATGCGTGACATTGTTTCTGAGGCCTCTGTTCTGTTCCATTGATCTATATATCTGTTTTGGTACCGGTATCATGCTGTTTTGGTTACTGTAGCATTGTCGTATAATTTGAAGTCAGGTAGCGTCATGCCTCCAGCTTTGTTCTTTTTGCTTAGGATTATCTTGGCTATATGGGCTCTTTTTTCATTCCATATGAAATTTAGAGTAGTTTTTTCTAATTATATGAAGAAAGTCAATGGTAGCTTGATGGGGATAGCATTGAATATCTAAATTACTTGGGGCAGTTTGGCCATTTTCACGATATTGATTCTTCTTATCCACGAGCATGGAATGTTTTTCCATTTGTTTGTGTCCTCTCTGATTTCCTTGAGCAGTAGTTTGTAGTTCTCCTTAAGAGTTCCCTCACATCCCTTGTAAATTGTATTACTAGGTATTTTATTCTCTTTGCAGCAATTGTGAATGGGAGTTCACTCATGATTTGGCTTTCTGTTTATCTATTATTGGCATATAGGAATGTTTGTGTTTTTTGTACATTGATTTTGTATCCTGAGGCTTTGCTGAAGTTGCTTATCAGCTTAAGGAGATTTTGGGTTGAGACAATGGGGTTTTCTAAATATACAATCATGCCATCTGCAAACAGAGACAATTAAAAGTGGTTGATGAATGGACACTTACCTCCACAATGAAATACTAACAGTTCTCAAAATGTGCCAAACTCAGTCATGTCTCCTCCTCTGCATATGGCTCACATCTGTGATTTCTTAGAAAAAACTTTTCTCCCTGATTTGCTTGACCAAGACTTATTCATGCTTCAATGCAAGCATCAACTTCTCATAGGTTTTTTGGAATATTATCCCACCCCACTTCCCAAACCATGATAAAATCAAATTACCTGGGCCCAATGTCTTTTTCAAAGCATACTTTTATGATAACATTTAATAATGAATGTACAATTTAATGAACAATATTGTTCGAGGGCAGGAAGTAGATGTGTATTAAATGTGTTTGAGGATGTTGGGAGAAGGAGCTATTACAGCTATAACTGGCTCAGACTGGCTGGCTGGACTATCAGATTCAATGACCTTGACCAACATTCTGTTGTAAACACTGTGAGTGCTCCACTCAGATCTCTTATATCCGTTTTTCTTTTCTTTGTCACCCTCCCCACCATTTGCTATGCTTGTGTTTCTAAAGACCTGTGCCGCCTCCCAGAGAGAGTGGGGAACAAGGCCTGGAACGTCACGTCCTCCTCCTCTTTCTTTGGTATGGCCTTTCTCAGAGACAGGCTGAAACCTGGAGTGGACTATAAGAGCCCAGCTCCCACTTTTAATGAGGACAAGGTCTTAGAAGTTCAGGCTGAAGCCAAGACTTTCCTCTGAAATCACCGTGTTGCCTGCTCTTCTCCTTCCTTGTCCTCCTCATGCAGTCTTGTTACTGTTTTCTCGTAACTGTATTTTCATGATGAATTTATCTTTATCCTATCTTCTCATTTTATTGTAGTTTGACAGTACATCCTATTCTAGGTTGAAAACATTTTCCTCTCACAATTCTGAAGGTATCTTTTCATTGTCTTTCTGTATTCATTGTTGTTAAGAAAAAGTCTGAGCTCATTCAATTTTTCATATCTTCATAAATGACTGTTTTTCTTTTTTGAGAATTTTAGGGCATTTATCCTTAGCATTCTGCAATTTAAAATTGATACATAGAACTTTTTTATTTTTATGCATCTTGCCTTTAATTTGACCATGGATTCCTTCAGATATCATAAATTTTCATAAATTAATTATTGAATAAATTTTTCCCCATCATTTTTTTTCTAAGTCTCTCTTTCTGAAACTTCTGTATGGTGGGTCCTCTTTGTTTCTCATTTCTTTCTTCATTTTCTTGTCATCTTTTGTTATATCCACTGAGACATTTCTTTACCTTACTCTCCTGTATAGTTTATCATTTGTTTTATTTTGAAAATGGTATTTTAATATAAGGGTTCATAACTTTTCTGTTTCATAATATCCTGTTCTTGTCTGTACATAAAAAGTATACATTTTCCTGCACCTATTTTTAAAGTTATTTTTCTTTTCTTTTGTTTAATTATCAGCGTTTTTCATGTTGCAGGGTTTCTTCAAAATTCTATGGATCCTTCATTTTGGATTTATATTTATGTCTAGAGCAACAGAAGGGCCAATTTGCTCACAGTTTGTAGACAGGCTATTGACAGGGAGGCTCCGTGTCATTGTGCTCCAGAGTGGAGCTGGCGGCTGTGCTGCGGGGAGCCCTTAATGTCAGATTAGGGAGGGCTCTCCTCAGCAGGGCCTCTACACAGACATTAAATACAGGAGAACATTTTGTCTAGCCCTAGATTCGTGACCACAAAAGCTTTGTGGGTTACATGAATTGAACTACTCCCATGGATATGTATTTATTTACGCCTACAATTTAAGTTTGGATGCTCACTCTGGCCCACACTGTAGCTAAGATTTCTGAATGTAAAGTGTCTCTGAAGCTCTGCTGGCAGCTGGGCATCCTCTGTGACTATTGCCTCAGGATGCATGCCCAAGGCTGGGGCTGAATCTTTCAATAGTACTTCTGACCCTTTCCATCTTCCAATAATTGTCGAAATTTTTGTCCATGGACCATTCTCTTCTATGCTCTGTTAAGGGTTAACGCCATTTTATACTTTCCATTTTTATCTTTTTATGGAATACTGGAAAGGAGAAGCAATGATGTAGTGTTTCTATCTGCCTTCTTTACTTTTAGAAATTTACAACTTCTACCATTACTGTTATTACTACTATTGATTCTAGTTATGGTACTATTATTAGCACGTAAGTGGACCTAATGTTGGTTTATAGTATTGTTTTAGCCAGATCAGGCTGCAATAACAAAATACCATGAACTGGGTGGCTTATAAACAACAGACATTTATTTCTCATAACTCTGCAGGCTACGAACTCCAGGATCAAAGTCCCAGCAAGTCTGGTGTCTGGCTGGCTTCTTGGCTTGTAGATGACTATCTTCTTTTTCTGCCCTCACATGGCCAAGAGAAGCACACTGTTTTGTAAGGGCACTAACCCCATTCATGAGAACTTCACCATTATGACCTGATCACCTCTCAAAAGCCCCACCTCCCAATACCATTACATTAAAGGTGGGGTTTCAACATATCAGTATTGGGGGAACACAAATTTTCAGTCTGTGAAAAGTATTTTGTGGCAAGGCCTTGTGTATTTTCTCATTTTTTTATCACCTGACCTTAATAACGTATTACTATCTCCAGTAAACATAAAAGGAAATAAGAGATTCAGAGAGGTACTGACAGAGCTCGAATTTATAATTAATTCTCTCTGACTATAAAGGCCATGCCCATTCTATTATGTAAAGCTAAGGTTATTCTGTGCTTCACAGCAGGTAATGTTTATAGTTTATTTTAATGGTTTGCAAATTTGTGGCCTATTAAATGACATCATTTGCAAAACAATGAAGAGATTATTTGATCTAGATATTTTCCTGAAGTTTATTTTGTTTTCTGCATGGTGATGTTGTCTTTTTATGTTTTTACTTGCATTGCATTTACAGCAAATGCTAACAAACTGGAAATATATTACCTGTAGGAATCTTGCACATTTGAAATGTATGGTAAAATGTAAGCTGGAACTACATTTAACTACCCTGTAGGTTCTGATTACTGATAAACAGAATTCTGTAAGGCATCAGACACAATGTCTTAAGATAACTTTATATATTAATATATTTTTTCCTTGTGTAGTAAATATGGTCAGAACATCCACTGATAGGCATTTTGGCAAGATTTATTTTGAAAGTATTTTTTGAATTTGTTTTCTAAAACCTTGGCATTTATAATATCTAAATAGCTGATTATAGCAATGTACTTATTTTAGGTTAGGCTTTCTTAAACTGACTCATTGAACAGTCTTGTCTATACATGTGTACACTAATCCACCCTTATCCATGGAGGATACTTTCCAAGACCCCCAGTGAATGCCTGAAACTGTTGATGGTACTGAACCCAATATATGCTATATTTTTCCTCTGTATACATACCTATGATAAAGTTCAATTTATAAATTATGCACAATAAGAGATTGAAAAATTAACAAATAAAATGGAACAATTATAACAATATGCCAGGATCACTACTTTTGGGCTTTGGGGCCATTATTAAGTCAAATAAGGGTTAATCAAACACAAGTACTGCAATAAAAGGACTGTTAATCTGATAACCCAGATAGCTACAAAATGATTATCAGGTATATAGAATACAGCCTGGATATGTTTTACAAAGGGATGACTTGTGTCCCAGGTGAAATGAGGAAATAATATGACATTGAATCCAACTACTCAGAATGATGCACAATGTATGAGTTGTTTATTTCTGGAATTGTTCATTTAATATTTTTGGACTGTGGTTGACCTCAGGGTAACTGAAACCATGGAAAGCAAAACCACAAATTAGAAGGAACAATGGGCCAGGTACGGTTGCCCACACTTTGGGAGCCTGAGGCGGGTGGATCACCTGAGGTCAGGAGTTCGAGACAAGCCTGGCCAATATGGTGAAACCCTGTCTCTAATAAAAATACAAAAATTAGCCAGGCGTGGTGGTGGGCACCTGTAATACCAGCTACTTGGGAGTTGAGGCAGGAGAATCGCTTCAACCCAGCAGAAGGAGGTTGCAGTGAGCTGAGATTGCACCACTGCATTCCAGCCTGGGTGACAAGAGCAAAACTCCATCTCAAAAAAAAAAAAAAAAAAAAGAAGTAATTGTACTTATAAGCATTGAGTTTCAAAGCAGGTATTTTATATCCTTCTTTTGATGATATAGATTAATGACAAAGAAAAATAAAACGTAAGTCTAAAACGGCCATGTAAAATAATCTTTTTACTCAGATTTAAATTTAATTTCTTCCTAATTTTATTTTTGAGACGAAGTCTCACTCTGTCACCCAGGCTGGAGTGCAATGGCACGATCTCAGCTCACTGCAACTTCTGCCTCCCAGGTTCAAGCGATTCTCCTACCTTAGCTGAGTAGCTGGGATTACAGTTGTGTGTCCCCATGCCCGGCTATTTTTTGTATTTTTGGTAGAGACGGGGTTTCACCATGTTGGCCAGGCTGATCTCCAAATCCTGGCCTCAAGTCATCTGCCTGCCTCAGCCTCCCAAATTACTGGGATTACAGGTGTGAGCCACCATTCCTGGCCCCTAATTTTCTTTTCAATTCCTTAGTTGTGACCTTGTGAAGGTTCTTAATCTCTATGCACTTTCATATTCCTCATTTTCAAAATAAGAGAATTGAAATAGATCAATAAACAGTTTAATTTTTTCAAAATATACCCCTTTTGTTAAGAATACTATGCAGAAGTCTAACATTTAAAATATTAGATAACAGCAGAACTCCTCTGATTGAAGCAAGATGGAAGCAGGTGTGAGGAAGAGACAGGAGTCCAGCTTTTTTCCTTCAACTCACTGCACATGGCAGCTTCAGAGGACCCTCTGCTAAACTTTAGAGGACTAAGAACTACTCACAAATGTAATGTATAAGTATGCTTCAGTCTCTAAATTTTGCAACATGTTGAACACAGAGTGATGAGTTTTGAAGAAAGAGGAAAATAAGAAAAACCACCGATGGAAATAGAAAAGTATCAAAGTGATTGTTCATACCTCTATTCCACTGGTTTTTGTTGTTGTTGTTCTTGTTTTTTTTTCTTTCTGGAGCTATCTGTAACTAAATCTTTCTGCAACTGTCGTTATTTAGGGCTATCTGTACAAGACTTTCTAGGACTAAATTATTGCATTTTTCCCATAATGACATGGATTTCCTACCTCTTTTGCTTGTTCCTAGATCAATTTTGAACTCAGCAATATTATCTGAATCATGAAACATAATCAGGTGAATGAATCCTAGATGCCTGATAGAGACACACTTATTGTTGAAGTGAAGTGATGAAGATTGTATTGTAACAATTACAAAGCTGAACTCGACTATTTTTCTGGTACCTGTGTCCTGGGCTATAGTTGTAGGTTAAGATAGGAATCTGTCAATTGTAGACACTTATCTGTCAATTGTAGACACAAAAAATATTGTCAATTGTAGACACTAAAAATATTAAGCAATAAATTTTAAAATGTAGAAATTATTTTTAAAGTTTCCTTATATGAAAATCTTCTAAGTTCACATGAGACATTTTGTAAAACAGTGTTCAGTTTTGAAAAGTTGTATTTCACTGAGCACGAAAATACACATTTCAGTGTGATAGGGTAGTATGCTGAGTTGAGTCTTTTTGGGATCAAAGATCAAAGGCACAAATCTGTTAAACGAAAAATTCAATAAAGGCTCAGTATGAATCCGAATATATCTCGATATACTTCATAAGTTCTTAGTACTTGTGGGATGTAAGAATTTTTCCAGTCGCTCAAAAATTCATGTTGCAGAAGGCAATTTTATCCAAATCATAAATCCCTACATCAACGTTTTAGAGTTCCCAATTATCTAAATATTCATTCCTCCAGAGATAATAACATGCAGTTGGTAAATGTTCAAGAGAATTCAATTTTAAAAGTTGCATCTTGGAGGTGACAAAATACTACATGTAACATCTAATATCAATCATACCTTGATGCCAAAACAATGATGATTCAGAGCATTATGCACACTCAAGGATGAGCATCTCAAATCACACACCATAAAATGTATCATTAAGGTTTGTGTTTGTCATAGGAATGTCAGCCATTCTCTAGGTCTATATTGTCATAATAAGCTTGCCAACAGCCATGAAATGAAACAAAATCTAAGGGAAGAAATAAGATTTTCTATGATTGTATTTTGTTATAAATTGCACACTAGGAATGAGAGGTTATTTTTTCCCTTAGTCTCTAGGGTGTTTTCTGAAAACGCAAATAAAATGTCAAGCTTTCTGCTCTCCTCTGGTATTTTACACCACTATTCTCCGCTACTAAAACAGAGGCATCCCTACAGCCAATGACAACACTTGTGCCTATTGTTTTCACTTCCAGATGTCGGTTGTTAGAATGGTGATAAGGAATCCAAGCTAGGTTTCTTCTAAGAACAGCATAGGAGGAAATTCAGTCTCATCCTTCTTGTCAACAGCTCCTATCTCTTGAAGGGAGAGGGGAGCACATTTTCAGCAAGAGATCCTCTTCATTTCACTATGGGTCTCAAGAGTTCCTGGAGAGACGAAATAAGTGTTTCCAGGAAAAATACTGAGGAGCCTGCCCCAGTTCCTAGGAACCATGAAAAACACTATATTGACAATTTTCTGATTTGGGGCATTTGTATCAACTTAATTTATAGTTATTGGTTGTTATGTACTGCAAATTTTGTTCTACATCTTTTCATTGGAGTCACTATCTTGTTCAGACACCTTAACCTGAATCTGTTTTTTCCTGCTTTGTTAAGTGCTGTAAGCATTCAGAAGAGGAAAGGATTGCTTCCAGAAGGAAGAAACCTTATCTTTTCAAAAGAAGGCACAAAATCTCCTATTGTGTACCTCTCTGGCTAGTCAGTGAGGGTGCAAATAAAAATAAGACATAACTTTTCTTCTGTAAGTGCTCAATTTGTGGTTGGAATCAAGGAAGATTTAAGGATGAAAGGGCATTCGAGCTGAATCTAAGAAGATGCTGTAATAGTTTCCTCGGGCTTCTGTAACAAAGTACCACAGTATTGGAGGCTTAAAACAACAGAAATGTATTTTCTCACAGTTTAGGCTAAAAGTCTGGAATAAAGGCATTGGCAAGGTTGAATTCTTCCTGGGGGCTCGGAGGGAGAATCTGCCCTGTGCCTCTTTTCTAGCTTCCGGTGGTTGCTGCATTCCTTGGTGTACCTTAGCTTTGGGCAGGATAACTCCAATTTCTGTTTCCACCTGTGTTTCTGTCTTACATCCCTTCTCCTGTTCTTATAACACCAGTCATATTTGATTAATGACTGACCCTATTTCCATATAAGAACATATCTAAGGTTTAGCGAATGACTCTTGGGAGACACAGCTCCACCCAGTTTTGACGGACACGATTTATATAACTGGAAATATAAGGGTTTTTATATCATTCTTTTTTCAACAAGTATTTGAATACCGCCCTTATTCCACTTAAAATGAAAAAGTATGAAAGTAAATCACATAGATATGGTCACTATAGTCAATGAAAAGGGAAAGATGGAAAGAAATGTATTTCACTCCTAGTTATCTGTGGTGAACACTTTTCGAAGACATGTTTTGCCACAGCTAGGTTAAAGCCTTTGTACATCACGTTGAGACACCTGGAATTTTGCCTTCCTAACACAGAGCTGGAAGAAAAATGTTAGCATCCTTCCCGACTGGAGGAGCTCGGGTGTAGTCTTTAATTGGGAGATGCGGGAAAAGGATCATGGTTTTCTTGGCAAAACCCACCTAGAGTAGAACTTTTGTTAAGCTGAACTAGGGGTGAGAAGAAGAAAGAGAGCATGGTATGACTGAAGAGCTGCAGATTCAAACAGTTCTTACTGAGATGTAGCAGATTTTCTTGAATAAATGTTTCTTCATCGGCTGTGTACCCTAAGAACATTTTCCAGAGACTTTAAAAAGTTGCTTTGTTTTGTTATGAAGTTCCCTAGTTATGGTTATTTCCCTGACAGGTAAGTCAGCAGAGCTCCTGATGGTGCCATTCCAGACCTGGAATTTCCAGATAATGTCAGATATCTTTGTACATCTTCACCTCTTTACTACTTGGGAGTGATTGCAGTAACAAGCTACTATGATGGCAAAGAGTAAGGAATTTGGTTAGAGAGATGCATGGCACTCGTGGGACATCTAACCATGACACCCCCTAAGAATTACTAACAGTGTGATGATCTGAATTGTGATTTCGTTGTCTTCATATTGTTTATCCCTGTGTTATCTGATTCATTTAGTCCATTTTATTTTTCATCTTTGTTACTCCCATTGTGAGGTAACCATGTTGAATATGGGGACTCTTCCTCTCTCCTTTAATTAATGGTACAGCAAGGGGAACTGCACCTGGAAGCTAGTAGAAGCATTGTACATAATGGTTGACTAACTGACTAGCCTGGTTGTAATTAAGATAAGGAGGGCCGGGTGCGGTGGCTCACGCCTGTCATCCCAACACTTTGGGAGGCTGAGGTGGGCGGATCACAAGGTCAGGAGACCAAGACCATCCTGGCTAACACAGTGAAACCCCGTCTCTACTAAAAATACAAAACAATTAGCTGGGCATGGTGGTGGGCACATGTAGTCCCAGCTACTCGGGAGGCTGAGGCAGGAGAATGGCGTGAGCCAAGATGGCGCCACTGCACTCCAGCCTGGGCGACAGAGCGAGACTCCGTCTCAGAAAACAAAAAAAAGGGAGAAGTGAGTAGATTTGAGATATATTTCAAAAATAAAATTGAAACAGCTTAGTGATATATGTTGTATACAAAGAGTCAAGAAGAGGAAGCTGCCAAGGACTTAGGTTAGGGGACTCTAGTCACAGAAGTGGAGACCTCTAGCAGCCGCCTAGCATTGGCATGGAAGACAGGGGATCTGAGTTAATGACTTTGGTCTGAGTTTTCTCTCTGAGTCTTTGTGCTTCATTTTGCATACCTGTAGGTATAGTGTCTGGAGATACAATCTTCAAAATTCCTTCAAATGCTAAGCTTCTTCTACTGAAATAGTGTCGATTTGTTTTAAGGAAAATGGGTAGTTTGCCATTCATCTTCTTAGACTAAAATATTTTGACGATAGAGATATGTGTACTTAGTATAAAGCCACATGTATCATTAGTTCAACAGTGAGCAAATAAAAAGACAATAGCATCAGAGTACTAAATACACCTAGTTAGGGTAGTATATTTTGGGAAAATAGGGGGAATAAAAATCAAGCCTATATAAATAAAATTTTTACTTGACATCTTCTTTAGAAAATCTCAAACCCTTCTTCATAGTAATTGTTACCATGGAATTAAAACAGTAATTTTTATTTTAAATTATTCAAACGCCCTTTGTATACCAGGTGTAGTCAGTTAAATTATTTTTGTTGTTTTACAAACTACCATTTAAATAACAACTCAATTTCCATTATGTTTAGCCAAATTCTCTTAAATTTCTATGATGTAAAATTATAAAAATACAATATGAACTGTTAAAGTGTATGACCTTTGCTTATCATACAATTGTTTAGTCTTCTGTGTTTCTGTATATACTGGTTTTTTTTTTTTTTTTGTAAAAAGGACAACCGATAAGTAGTGTTTATAGTGGTTATTTAGATACTATTGTATTCTTAGATAAGATTGTCTTTGTTTAAATATTGCTTTTCTTTAGATAAGATGTACCCGTTGAAGGACACATTTTAACAAAAACAGTGAGATAGAAACTTCAAATGTCACGAATTCTAAAATACAGGTTTTTATTTATAGTGGCTGTCTTTTATACGTAGAGCATAGTTTTTTTTAGAGCTTTTTCTGGACTTTCTTGAACTTTATAAATTGCTGTTCTTCTGGTTCTTTTGAGGACAAATAAAAGCTTTATTATATTTAGAAGTTCCAGTTTCTCATTCATGGAATATGTATCCTAGAATTCACTCTCTTCTAGAAGAAATTTTTTATGGGGCTAATCCATTCTAGGCTTATAGCTCATTTCTCACCCTTGGATTACTTTATACTGAACTTATGATTTAGTTCTTATTTATTTGA
Organism: Homo sapiens; assembly: GCF_000001405.40. NCBI lineage: Eukaryota > Metazoa > Chordata > Mammalia > Primates > Hominidae > Homo > Homo sapiens. The sequence continues at coordinate 116,113,682 of NC_000002.12, forward strand.
TTCTATTCTTTCTTATTTCTCAGATGTCTTTCTATTTATTGGTATACTTCCACACTTAATAGATTGTTTAAATTCAAGATTTCCAAAGCATTTATATGATATTTACTTTTGCATTAATCAGATTTGCAATGGTCAAATTATTACAGTTGATTAATAGTTTGTAAGGGTATGGAATAATAAATTCAACAGCATATTTCTTTAAACTTCGAACATGATACTCTACTGTCTTCTAATATCCAGAAGTGCAGATGTGAAGCTCAGACATAAAATGTATGTCTTTTAGTAGAAAATAGACAAACATGTTTTAGTTGAGAAAATATAGACATAATTCGTATCTTTTAGTAGAGAACATAAAAAATAAAAACAACTGTTTATGAAAAGAGTCAACTGTAAAATATTTGAACACATTTATTCTGGGCCAAGTACGAGTGACCATGGCCCATGACACAGTCCTCCGGAGGTCCTGAGAACATGTGCCCAAGGTGGTTGGGGCACAGCTCGGTTATATATATTTTAGGAAGGCATGAGACATTGATCAAATACACCTAAGAAATACATTGGTTTGGTTCAGAAAGGTGGGACAACTCGAAGTGGGGGCTTCCAGGCTATAGGTAAATTTAAACATTTTCTGGTCAGCTATTGGTTGAGTTTGTCTAAAGACCTGGGATCGATAGAAAGGAAGGTTCAGGTTAAAGATAAAGGATTGTGGAGACCAAGTTTTATTGTGCAGAGGAAGCTCTTAGATAGCAGACTTCAGAGAGAGCAGGTTGTAAATTGTTTTTTTTTATCATACTTAAGAGGGTGCCTGGCTCTTAGTTGATGATCTCCTGGATCTGGGAAGGAAGGGAGGAAAACAAAGAACAAAGGGGGTAGGTGATTCTTTGTAGACTGTGGATTTTTCCCACAAGAGACTTTGCAGGGCAATTTTAAGGTATGGCAAGGTAATATATTATGCAGTTAGATATTTTTTTCCTAGTCTTATAATGTTATGCCAGAGTCAGATTGAAAAGTAAGTCCCAATATGTAGGGTCAAATAAAACCCATCTGATGAGAATTTATGGCTTGTAGGACACGACCCCCCAGACCTCTCAGATAGGAATTTGGGCAAGATAAAAAATCAGAGCTTAATCCTCACAACCAATCAACCAACAAAAAGTTCTGAAAGGATCTTCTCTTTATCATTAATGTTCTTAAATTCTATAAATGTGTCCCTAGATGTGAGTCTTTTACTATTCTTCCTACTCAGTACTTAATAGGTCCTCTTATTATGAATATTTTCAGCTTTCTTCAGCTTGAAATTTTAAAAACAATAATAATTTAATTAGCTAGTTTATTCCTTTATTTATGCATTCATTCTTTCCCTTGTTGATTTTTTTTTATTCCTGTGAATAAATCCATTGGATGGATTTTGGAATTTCTGGTGTTCTTTTTGCTCTTGAATAATTCATCCTCTCTTGCACACACGTGTGCACACATACACATACAAGCTATTTGCAGGATTTGCTCAAATTTACCTTTCATTTCTTATGGCTTTTACATCTATACACTTTTAATGATAACTTTCTAAAACAAAACAATATCTGTTTTATTCAATAACAACTCCTTTTTTCATAGCACCTGAAATTAGTTTCAGGTATACATCATAACTAACCTTGCTGAAAAGAATAATTAAATTAAAAAAAATGTTCTTGCCTTCTAAAGCTTTTATTTCTTCTAGAGTCAATATTGATACTCACCAAATAATTCAAGTCCTCTACCATCTGGGCACTTCCTAGGAATTTTTTATTTAATTAAGCCTTTTAATGAATATATATCAATAGGTTTGAGACTTGATGTGTTTCCATTCCTGTTTGTGAGTAGGACCATGAAGTTAGTACTAGTCTGTGTAATCTGATGGGAAGCAACGTGTGTTGCTTCTAGGTAAAGCATTTAATTGTTAGTGCATGGGCCGTTTTATCTTCTGCCATAATAACAAGCCAGATTTAAGATGACATTATTGTCATTTGAAATATCAGAGTTGTTTATTCAGCATAATTTTCCCTATCCTGATTAACAGTCTTTTATTCGTTAGTGTTTTTTTCTTGTACAGTTGGTTTTTATTCTTAACTCTTTTCAATGATGTACTAGGTTGGTAGTTAACAGAGCTGCTATGAGTTTACCCTCTTGTTATATAAACCTCTTTACACAATAGTTCTCTATTTTTCCAGAATTGGAGAGTAGATTCTGACTTCCATGTAAATGGGTAGGACATGTCACTACAAGATTTATTCTTGTTTGAGTGGGTGCTCAGCAACTAGACACGCAAAGCTAAGCCTCGATACTTAAATAAAGAACATGCTCTGAGTTTCTCAAACTCATTCAATGGCCCTTAATACGTATGAGTGAATAAGCCAACTTCTTTAGAGTAGTTTTTTAGGATTGTTCTTACAGCTGAATGCTACTGTTACTGTCACTATATTTTTAGATTGTAATGAGGTAGGGGAGGTTTGGAGGAATTAACTGTCACACTTTCCTCTAAATATTCCTCTAATTAATATCATCTAAAAGACAGCTCATACTTGCCAACTCTCACCTCAGACACTCTGAGGCTCAGTTCGAGCGGTGACGGTGACTTTCCCACTACATAATGCTGTACTTTTCAGCAGATGTTTTTAACTGTAGTTTTCTGTTCTCTGGGTTGTCCATCAATAACATCTCAAATGAGTTCTGTTTTTAGAAGCCTGTGAATATTATCAGTCTACTGATGTGGCCTGATGTCTGTCCCCAAAACTTCTGATAAGCACTATGATTATTATTATTATTGCATTTCTTTACTATTTAATCGAATTTTGAGAGTAAAAGAGGATGATTCTACCTCCCTGAATCAGAAGCCTGTGTGCATCTTATGAATTCTTCAATTTGTTGTAAATTTGTAAAGATTTTCAACTATAGATTTTGTTGTAACCTTGTGACAAGGAACTTTGGAAAGCTACCATATATTTTTGTCAAATAGTCTTGCATTGAGCTTTTAAAACAGCTTCATATTATTTCATTTGTTGAAAATCCCAGAAGATAATTTTCAAATGACCATCAATAAAATTTTTCCATTCACTCACAGTAATGGATGTTGAAAAAGTAAAGTATTAAGGAGCCTGGTGAACATTAAAGAAATCAGGACTATAATGTAGCTGTTGTTGATTGTAGACCTTGCTTTCTCAACTACTGACGGTGGGAGAGTTCACTTCTCTCTCTGATCTTGTCTTTTATTTTCTATAACTTTAATGGGATTAGATGATTTCAGACTTTTTAAAAAAATCTGGATCTGGTGTTTCATGATTTCATGATTTTAAGATGCTGATAAATTTTAGTCACTGCTATTCTAATAAGAAGAAAATGTCAATACAGTAGACAACCAGAATAGTACACACTTTCAGCTGTTCTTAAATGTGGAAACAAGATTCTAGAACTCACACAGAAGGAGGTTGTTTGCACCTTCTGTCTTTAAACTAGTTTTTCTCTGTTGTAACTCTTTTAAAAATAGATTTTAGTTGCACAGTTTATTACAAAAATTTTAAAGACTATGAAGATATAGAAAAACATTATGTAGAAGTTACTGAAGTGGATTATGCAAGCTGAGTCTAGTCTTAAGTTTTGTACACTGTCTCATTATAAAATCTAAGTGACTTAAAATTAGATAGATAACAGAATTCTTTCTGATCACTTATGACCGTGTTTGTCCCTACTGATTGTTCCCTGATTATCTCATCCTGCTCATGTAGAAGTCACACTGAAATGCTTGAAGTTCCCCAGACTTGCTGCCCTGTCAAATACACGTCTTAGCACACACTGTTCTCTTTATAGCAATGCTTTATAGGAACACACCTTCTCATCTTTTTAATCAAACCACTCTTTGCCAAATTATCAAGAAGACATCTCCTTTAGGAAATTCTCCCACCCTCCAACTCAACTCTATCATGAACTGGATAGGTATCCTTCCTTTGCATTCTTTAGTACACTGTATTACCTCTACAAAGGAGCTCCATAACAGCAAAAATTGTGTTTGTATGTCTTTTTTTCCTAGCATCTAGTGCAAAGACTGAATATTAACATATTTTTGTTGCATGGATAAGAGTTAATATTTCTATCTACCCTCCCTATTCATCCATCTTCCTCAAAGGGTATGAAATGATGTCTAAAATAAGTAAGTATGTATTTACTTATTAAATTTATTTACTTATTAAAAAAAGATAAGTAGCTATTTTCTTTCTTTTTTCTCTTCCATATCCAGGTTCTCATATGACTCTTCCACTTCTGCTACTACTACTAATGATAGTAACATCTTAATTGAATCTTTCTACTTATCAGAATTGGTCTTTGTGCTGCATCAGCACCTTCTGGCTCCAAGAAAAGTTTCCATTAATTTATTCATTTCAATCTGGTTGAGATTCTTCGTATTTCCCCTTCAAGATATTGTCTCTCACTCTTTTTTTAAATTTAATTTTATTCCATTCTCACTGTTAATATAAGAAAATATAGTTTATTTTTAACAACATGATTGAGGCATAATTGAAATATAATACATTTCAAATATACATCTAAAGCTACCACCACAACCAACATAATGAATATAGTGACCACCCTTGTATTAGTCTGTTTCTCACACTGCTGTAACATACCTGAGAGTGGGTAATTTATGGAGAAATGAGGTTTCGTGGACTCACGGTTCTGTGGGCTGCACAGGAGGCATGGCTGGGGAGGCCTCATGAAACTTACAATCAGGGCAGAAGGCAAAGGGAAAGCAAGCATGTCTTCACATGGCAGAGCTGGGGAGGGACAAAGAGTGAAGGGTGAAGTGCTACACATTTTTACACAACTAGACCTCGTGAGAACTCACTCACAATCATAAGAACAGCAAGGAGGAAATTAGCCCACATGATTCAATCACTTCCTACAAGGTCCTTCCCCCAACATTGGGATTTACCATTTTACATGAGATTTGGGTGAGGATACAGAGCCAAACCATATCATTCCACTCATGGACCCTCTGAACTCTCATGTCCTTCTCACATTTCAAATCACAATCATGCCTTCCCAACGGTCCCCCAAAGTGTTAACTAATTTCAACACTAACTCAAGTGTCCAAATTCCAAATCTCATCTGAGACAAGCCAAGTCCCCTCTACACATGAGCCTGTAAAATCAAAAACATGTTAATTACTTCCAAGATACAATGAGGGTACAGGCATTGGGTAAGTGTGTCCATTACAAAAGGGAAAAAGTGACCAAAACAAAGGGGCTACAGACCCCATGTGATACGGTTTGGCTCTGTGTCCCCACCAAAATCTCATCTTGAATTGTACTCCTGTAATTCCCATGTGGGAGAGACACAGTGGGAGATAATTTGAATCATGAGCATGCTTTCCCCCATACTGTTCAAGTGATAGTGAATAAGTCTCACAAGAGCTGACGGTTTTATCACGGGTTTCCGCTTTTGCATCTTCCTCATTTTTCTCTTGCTGCCACCGTGTAGGAAGTACCTTTCCCCTCCTGCCATGATTCTGAGGCCTCCCCAGCCATGCAGAACTGTAAGTCCAATTAAACCACTTTTTCTTCCCAGTGTCGGGTATGTCTTTATCAGCAGTGTGAAAACAGACTAAAACAGGAAATTGGTACCAGTAGAGTGAGGCATTGCTGAAATGATACCTGAAAATGCAGAAGCGACTTTGGAACTGGGTATCAGGCAGAGGTTGGAAAAGTTGGGAGGGCTCAGAAGAAGGCAGAAAAATGTAGGATAATTTGGAACCTCCTAGAGACTTGCTGAATGGCTTTGACAAAAATGCTGATAGTGATGTCAAAAATAAGGTCCAGGCTGACGTGGTCTCAGATGGAGATGAGGAACTTGTTAGGAACTGGAGCAAAGGGGACTCTTGTTATGTTTTAGCAAAGAGACTGGTGGCATTTTGCCCCTGCCCTAGAGATTTGTGGACCTTTAAACTTGAGAGAGATGATTTAGGGCATCTGGTGGAAGAAGTTTCTTTTTTTTTTCTTTTCTTTTATTATTATCATACTTTAACTTTTAGGGTACATGTGCACAATGTGCAGGTTAGTTACATATGTATACATGTGCCATGCTGGTGTGCTGCACCCATTAACTCGTCATTTAGCATTAGGTATATCTCCTAATGCTATCCCTCCCCCCTCCCCCACCCGACAACAGTCCCCAGAGTGTGATGTTCCCCTTCCTGTGTCCATGTGTTCTCATTGTTCAATTCCCACCTATGAGTGAGAATATGTGGTGTTTGGTTTTTTGTCCTTGCGATAGTTTACTGAGAATGATGATTTCCAATTTCATCCACGTCCCTACAAAGGACATGAACTCATCCTTTTTTATGACTGCATAGTATTCCATGGTGTATATGTGCCACATTTTCTTAATCCAGTCTATCATTGTTGGACATTTGGGTTGGTTCCAAGTCTTTGCTATTGTGAATAGTGCCGCAATAAACATACATGTGCCTGTGTCTTTATAGCAGCATGATTTATAGTCCTTTGGGTATATACCCAGTAATGGGATGGCTGGGTCAAATGGTATTTCTAGTTCTAGATCCCTTAGGAATTGCCACACTGACTTCCACAATGGTTGAACTAGTTTACAGTCCCACCAACAGTGTAAAAGTGTTCCTATTTCTCCACATCCTCTCCAGCACCTGTTGTTTCCTGACTTTTTAATGATCGCCATTCTAACTGGTGTGAGATGATATCTCATTGTGGTTTTGATTTGCATTTCTCTGATGGCCAGTGATGGTGAGCGTTTTTTCATGTGTTTTTTGGCTGCATAAATGTCTTCTTTTGAGAAGTGTCTGTTCATATCCTTCGCCCACTTTTTGATGGGGTTGTTTGTTTTTTCTTGTAAATTTGTTTGAGTTCATTGTAGATTCTGGATATTAGCCCTTTGTCAGATGAGTAGGTTGCAAAAATTTTCTCCCATGTTGTAGGTTGCCTGTTCACTCTGATGGTAGTTTCTTTTGCTGTGCAGAAGCTCTTTAGTTTAATTGGATCCCATTTGTCAATTTTGGCTTTTGTTGCCATTGCTTTTGGTGTTTTAGACATGAAGTCCTTGCCCATGCCTATGTCCTGAATGGTAATGCCTAGGTTTTCTTCTAGGGTTTTTACGGTTTTAGGTCTAACGTTTAAGTCTTTAATCCATCTTGAATTAATTTTTGTATAAGGGGTAAGGAAGGGATCCAGTTTCAGCTTTCTACATATGGCTAGCCAGTTTTCCCAGCATCATTTATTAAATAGGGAATCCTTTCCCCATTGCTTATTTTTGTCAGGTTTGTCAAAGATCAGATAGTTGTAGATATGCGGCGTTATTTCTGAGGGCTCTGTTCTGTTCCACTGATCTATATCTCTGTTTTGGTAATAGTACCATGCTGTTTTGGTTACTGTAGCCTTGTAGTATAGTTTGAAGTCAGGTAGCGTGATGTCTCCAGCTTTGTTCTTTTGGCTTAGGATTGACTTGGCGATGCGAGCTCTTTTTTGGTTCCATATGAACTTTAAAGTAGTTTTTTCCGATTCTGTCAAGAAAGTCATTGGTAGCTTGATGGGGATGGCATTGAATCTATAAATTATCTTGGGCAGTATGGCCATTTTCATGATATTGATTCTTCCTACCCATGAGCATGGAATGTTCTTCCATTTCTTTGTATCCTCTTGTATTTCATTGAGCAGTGGTTTGTAGTTCTCCTTGAAGAGGTCCTTCACGTCCCTTGTAAGTTGGATTCCTAGGTATTTTATTCTCTTTGAAGCAATTGTGAATGGGAGTTCACTCATGATTTGGCTCTCTGCTTGTCTGTTATTGGTGTATAAGAATGCTTGTGATTTTTGTATATTGATTTTGTATCCTGAGACTTTGCTGAAGTTGCTTATCAGCTTAAGGAGATTTTGGGCTGAGACGATGGGGTTTTCTAGATACACAATCATGTCATCTGCAAACAGGGACAATTTCACTTTCTCTTTTCCTAATTGAATACCCTTTATTTCCTTCTCCTGCCTAATTGCCCTGGCCAGAACTTCCAACACTATGTTGAAGAGGAGTGGTGAGAGAGGGCATCCCTGACTTGTGCCAGTTTTCAAAGGGAATGCTTCCAGTTTTTGCCCATTCAGTATGATATTGGCTGTGGGTTTGTCCTAGATAGCTCTTATTATTTTGAGATACGTCCCATCAATACCTAATTTGTTGAGAGTTTTTAGCATGAAGGGTTGTTGAATTTTGTCAAAGGCCTTTTCTGCATCTATTGAGATAATCATGTGGTTTTTGTCTTTGGTTCTGTTTATATGCTGGATTACATTTATTGATTTGCGTATATTGAACCAGCCTTGCATCCCAGGGATGAAGCCCACTTGATCATGGTGGATAAGCTTTTTGATGTGCTGCTGGATTCGGTTTGCCAGTATTTTATTGAGGATTTTTGCATCAATGTTCATCAAGGATATTGGTCTAAAATTCTCTTTTTTGGTTGTGTCTCTGCCCGGCTTTGGTATCAGAATGATGCTGGCCTCATAAAATGAGTTAAGGAGGATTCCCTCTTTTTCTATTGATTGGAATAGTTTCAGAAGGAATGGTACCAGTTCCTGCTTGTACCTCTGGTAGAATTCGGCTGTGAATCCATCTGGTCCCGGACTCTTTTTGGTTGGTAAACTATTGATTACTGCCACAATTTCAGAGCCTGTTATTGGTCTATTCAGAGATTCAACTTCTTCCTGGTTTAGTGTTGGGAGGGTGTATGTGTCGAGGAATTTATCTATTTCTTCTAAATTTTCTAGTTTATTTGTGTAGAGTTGTTTGTAGTATTCTCTGATGGTAGTTTGTATTTCTGTGGAATCAGTGGTGGTATCCCCTTTATCATTTTTTATTGCGTCTATTTGATTCTTCTCTCTTTTCTTTATTAGTCTTGCTAGCGGTCTATCAATTTTGTTGATCCTTTCAAAAAACCAGCTCCTGGATTCATTGATTTTTTGAAGGGTTTTGTGTGTCTCTATTTCCTTCAGTTCTGCTCTGATTTTAGTTATTTCTTGCCTTCTGCTAGCTTTTGAATGTGTTTGCTCTTGCTTTTCTAGTTCTTTTAATTGTGATGTTAGGGTGTCAATTTTGGATCTTTCCTGCTTTCTCTTGTGGGCATTTAGTGCTATAAATTTCCCTCTACACACTGCTTTGAATGCGTCCCAGAGATTCTGGTATGTTGTGTCTTTGTTCTCATTGGTTTCAAAGAACATCTTTATTTCTGCCTTCATTTTGTTATGTACCTAGTAGTCATTCAGGAGCAGGTTGTTCAGTTTCCATGTAGTTGTGCGGTTTTGAGTGAGTTTCTTAATCCTGAGTTCTAGTTTGATTGCACTGTGGTCTGAGAGACAGTTTGTTATAATTTCTGTTCTTTTACATTTCCTGAGGAGAGCTTTACTTCCAACTATGTGGTCAATTTTGGAATAGGTGTGGTGTGGTGCTGAAAAAAATGTATATTCTGTTGATTTGGGGTGGACGGTTCTGTAGATGTCTATTAGGTCTGCTTGATGCAGAGCTGAGTTCAATTCCTGGGAATCCTTATTAACTTTCTGTCTCGTTGATCTGTCTAATGTTGACAGTGGGGTGTTAAAGTCCCCATTATTATTGTGTGGGTGTCTAAGTCTCTTTGTAGGTCACTCAGGACTTGCTTTATGAATCTGGGTGCTCCTGTATTGGGTGCATATATATTTAGGATAGTTAGCTCTTCTTGTTGAATTATTCCCTTTACCATTATGTAATGGCCTTCTTTGTCTCTTTTGATCTTTGTTGGTTTAAAGTCTGTTTTATCAGAGACTAGGATTGCAACCCCTGCTTTTTTTGTTTTCCATTTGCTTGGTAGATCTCTGGTGGAAGAAGTTTCTAAGCAGCAAAGCATTCAAAAGGTGACTCGGGTGCTGATAAAAGCATTCAGTTCTAAACTGGAATCAGAGCACACAAATTCAGAGAATTTGCAGCCTGACAGTGCAGTAGAAAGGAAAAACTTATTTTTTTGAGGAGAAATTGAAGCTGGCTGCAGAAATTTGCATAAGTAACAAGGAACTGAATGTTAATCTCCAAGGCAATGGAGAAAATGTCTCCAGGGCATGTCATAGGTCTTCATGGCAGCCCCTCACATCACAGACATGGAAGCCTAGGAGGAAAAAAATGGTTTTGTGGACTGGACCCAGGGTCCCTGTACTGAGTGCAGTCTAGGGACTTGGTGCCCTGTGTCCCAGCTGCTCCAGCCATAGCTAAAAGGGGCCAAGGTACAGCTTGGCCCATGGTTTCAGAGGGTGCAATCCCAAACCTTGGCAGCTTCCATATGGTGTCGAGCCTGCCGGTATGCAGAAGTCAAGAATTGACGTTTGGGAACCTCCACCTAGATTGCAGAAGATGTATGGAAACACCTGGATACCCAGGTAAATGTTTCCTCCAGGGGTGGGGCCCTCATGGAGAACCTCTGCTAGGGCAGTGCATAATGGAAATGTGAGGTGGGTGCCCCCAGACAGTCCCTTCTGGGGCACTGCCTAGTGAAGCTGTGAGAAGAGTGCCACTGTCCTCCAGACCCAGAATGGTAAATCCACAGACAGCTTGCACCGTGCACCTGGAAAACCTCAGAACACTCAATGGCAGCCTGTGAAAGCAGCCAGGAGCAGGGCTATACCCCTGCAAAGCCACAGGGGCGGCGCTTCCCAAGACTATTAGAACCTACCTCTTGCATCAACATGACCTGGATGTGAGACAGGGAGTCAAAGATCATTTTAGAGCTTTAGAATTTGACTGCCCTGCTGGATTTAGGACTTGCATGGACCCTGTAAGCCCTTTGTTTCGGCCAATTTCTCCCATTTGGAATGGCTGTATTTACCCAATGCCTGTATCCCTGTTGTATCTAGGAAGTAACTAGCTTGCTTTTGATTTTACAGGCTCATAGGCAGAAGGGACTTGCCTTGTCTCAGATGAGACTTTGGACTGAGGACTTGGGGTTAGTGCTGAAATGAGTTAAGACTTTGGGGGACTGTTGGGAAGGCATGATTGGATTTGAAATGTGAGGACATGAGATTTGGAGGGGCCAAGGGCAGAATGATATGCTTTGGCTCTGTATCCCCACCCACATCTCATCTTGAAGTGTACTCCTGTAACTCCTATGTGTTGTGGGAGGGACCTGGTGGGAGATCATTTGAACATAGGGATGCTTTCCCCAATACTGTTCTTGAGGTAGTGAATAAGTCTCATGAGACCTGATGGTTTTATCACGGGTTTCTGCTTTTGCATCTTCCTTATTTTTCTCTTGTCGCCACCATGTAAGGAGAGCCTTTCACCTCCTACCATGATTCTGAGGCCTCCCCAGCCATGTGGAACTGTAAGTCCTATTAAACCTTTTTTTCTTCCCAGTCTCAGATATGTTTTTATCAGCAGCATGAAAACAGACTAATACATCATGCAAGTCCAAAACCTAGCAGGGCAGTTATTAAATCTTAAGGCTCCAAAACAATCTCTTTTGACCCCCTGTCTCACATCCAAGCCACACTGATGCAAGGAGTGGGCTTCTAAGGCCTTGAGCAGCTCTGCTTCTGTGACTCTGCAGATTATAGCCCCCACAGCTGCTTTCCCTGGCTGGTGTTGAGTGTCTGCTGCTTTTCCAGGTATACGGTGCAAACTATCACTGGATCTACCATACTGCATCCTAGAGGACAGTGGCCCTCTTCTCATAGTGCCATTAGGCAGTGGCCCAGTGGTGGACTCTGTGTGGGGACTCCAATCCTACATTTCCCCTCAACACTGCCTTACCAGAGGTTCTCCATGAGGGCTCCACCCCTGCAGCAAATTTCTGCCTGGAAACCCAGGTGTTTCCATACATCCTCTGAAATCTCAGTATAGGTTCCCAAAGCTCAACTCATCTTCTGCCCACCTGCAGGTCCAACACCACATGGAAGCCACAAAGGCATGAGGCTTGTACCCTTTGAGGCAATGACTCAAGCTGTATCTTGGCCCCATTTAGCCACAGCTGGATCTGGAGCAGCTGGGATGCAGGGTGCCATGTCCTGAGGCTAGACAGAGCAGCAGGGGCCTGGACCTGGCCCACAAAACCATTTTTTCCATCTAGGCCTCCAGGCCTGCAATGGAAGGCTGCTGCAAAGGTCTTTGAAATTCCCTGGAGGCATTTTTCCCATTGTCTTGGCTATTAACCTTCAGATCTTCTTTGCTTATGCAAATTTCTGAAGCTTTGAATTCTTCCCCAGAACATTTCTGTTTGTTTGTTTGTTTCTCCCACATTTCTGGGTTGCATATTTGCTGAGCTTTTATGCTCTGCTTCCCTTTTAAATAGAGGTTCTTCTTTCAGGTAATTTGTTTATGCAAATGAGTGTTGACTTTTAGAAGCAGCCAGGTCACTTCTTGAACACTTTGCTTCTTAAAAATTTATTCTGCCAGATATTCTAAATCTTCTTTCTCCAAAGTCCCACAGATCTCTAGATCAGGGGCATAATGCCGTCAGTCTCTTTGCTAAAGCATAGCGAAAGTGACCTTTACTCTAGTTCATAATAAGTTCCTCATCTCCATCTGAGACCACCTGAGTCTGGACTTTACTGTCCATACCACTATCAGCTTGTTGGTTACAACCATGCAACAAGTCTTTAGGAAGTTCCAAACTTTCCCTCATCTTCCTGCCTTCTTCTCATACCTCCCGACTGTTCCAACATCTTCCTGTTACCCAGTTCCATAGTTGCTTACACATTTTCATGTATCTTTATTGCAACACCCCACTTCTCTTGTTTTAATTTTCTGTATTAGGCTATTCTCACACTGCCATACAGACATATCTGAGACTGGGTAATTTATGGAGAAAAGAGGTTTAATTGACTTACAGTTCTGTGGGCTATACAGGAGGTATGGCTGGGGAGGCCTCAGAAAACTTAAAATCATGGTGAAAGGTTCAGGGGAAGCAGGCACAATATCCATATGGCGGAGCAGGAGAGAATGAGTGAAGGGGGATATGCTACACACTCTTAACTCACTATCGCAAGAACAGCAGGGGGAAGTTTGCCTCCATGATCCAATCATCTCCCACCAGGTCTCTCCCCCTATTTGGGAATTACAATTCGACATGAGATTTAGTTGGGGACACAGAGGCAAACCATATCAACCCTCAAAAGTTAAAACATTATATTTCATACACACACACACACACACACACACACACACACACACACACACACATATAAGTGAAATATGCTAGTGATAGATATTATTTCCAGAATAAAATAATACTAAGAAAAACAGGTTAGGTCTCTGTGCAAGCATTAAATATGACAGCTCTGATGATAGACTCGGGACATTCACAATCAGTGTGATGTATAAAAGTGACTGAATCTGTCAGAATCTGTTTACTCAGCCACAAAATCTATATACTGGTAGTACTTACCTTGAGTTCATAATGTAGATTAAATGAGGTGTTGCCTGGTAAATCTTCACCATCGAAAGCACTTAGAATCACCTAACACATTTAATGATGACCCTCCACCCCAAATATGCTGAGTAATAGGGAAAAAAGGAATGAAAGAGAGTGGATCAATTGGCAGAAAACCTATATCACCCCAGAGCCCATGGCTACTCCCTAGAATCCCATCTGAACCCATTCGGGAGGTGTGGTGAGGTGCCTCCTTTTAAACACATTTTTTTTTTTTTAGTAACCAAAAGATAAACTCTTAATAGAGATATTATTATACATTTTTATATCTTAATTATTGTGATCATTACAGACACATATTGGACCTACCCTGCCTAATATTAGAATCTGTGTGGCTTTCAACACTGTCTCTGATTTATTTATTGAAAGAAATACAAGTAATATGTATTTTGAAAGGTTTGTACCAAAATTAACTCCTTCAGTTCAAATTTTGTGCTGTCACTAAAATAATACAGCAGAGTGCATTATTTTGCACTGAATTATGTAACGAAGACTTCCCTCTTTTCTTTGTGACCATTACGTCTAGAGGGCCATCTACCACCCTGATGTCTCTGTATTAGACAGCTGAGTGGTTTCCCTGAATTATTTTTACCATTATATTTCTTGAAAATCTCTGTGGACAGTTTTCAACAGACCACATTTAATGGTAAATGAATCTCTGAGGGAGAAGAGAGGAAGAGGGAAAGTCGTTTGATAAATAAAAAATAAAGTGATGCTTTCTATCTTCAACTCTACACTGTTTTTCCATGTAGATATGGTAGACGGAATTATAAAATGACCTAAGAGACATTACTTATTTGTGATGGCAGGTGAGAGCAGACGTGATGAGAAGGAAAAGCAAGAGTGATAACTTAAAGCGTGGGAATTCAGGTAGGGAGTTTAGAGGGTGAGTTGAACTTAGGAAGGGCTAAGAATAAAATATCGCTCGTGGTGATTTCGTCTACTGAACATAATATATAAATACGTGCCAAGTTATTAAACATAAACATATATGAGTATGTTATGAGTGATTCTTTTTGATCCTTCAACATTTTTGTATTTTTCAAATTTTCTAAAATGCTATTATTGTGAAAAAAATTATACGCAACCTCTTGCTTAAAATACCTTAGAAACAATTTCACACCCAATTTAACTTTAAACTAGCCTTAACTTTACAGAGAAAAAATAATTTTAAAAATGTAGAGTTTAAAAAGAAGCCCTCTCTTATTTCATTAACTATGAAAATTTATTAGAATACATTGTCATATAATTTCTAGTCTAGAAAGGACATCGAGGGGTCATCTACTTCATTTCCTTATCATCACACAAGATGCCTCTTAAATTATCCAAGAAAGATTAGAATCCATCCCATTTTAGACCTTTTGAGAACTTGCCATGTCTTTGCTGGCACTTTTTAGCACTTAATAATGTTTTGCTGACAGAATATTTTAAATTCTGTATTTAATGGTAACCTGGAAAAAGAAGTTTTGAAAGACTGATTTGGAAAGCAGAGAATACTCTTAGCACTGAAACACAATCTCTGAATTGTTTTTATCCTTCAAAATCAAGTGAAATTACTACAAAGACTGAATGATTTCTATCTCCTTAAGAACAGTTTTTCTTCCATTAAGGAAGTGTCCTCTAATTCAGCAATGCTTGCTTCCCACGGGATTAGCATTGTCACTGGGAGGAGCATGGGAAACCCATGGGGCAGGACCATTGACCATGCAGCAAGCATTTGCCAGTCTCAGTACTAGGCTCTTTTGGCATGCATTTATTTTGTTCTCAAAACACATGCTAGCCTATATGTTTTTAATCCCATTCTACAAACTACTCAGCCAAGCACCTATGTGATCTTCAGCTTCCTTTGTAGGAAATACTTCCATAGTGGCCTCTGGTCAAGAGAGAATCAAAAGGAGTTAACTCACCACAGAGCTCATAGTGTTCCTTACATAATATGACTTTCCCAGTGGCCACGTGTGCTCATAATGGTCTCAGTCTAAAACTGGCAGAAATTATGCATCTGTCAACACCTGGCTAAATACAGCTTCTTCTCTGTGGCACCTTTACTAAATGTTCTCACCACCCTGAAAATGTCTTTATTTGGGCCATCCTCAAATATGTAATTCTAATTTACGGACTGTAACAATGAACCTAAATTCTTTTTTGAGAGCTGGGGCTACCAAATATATACTTGTGACTTTAGAACCATAAACATATTTGATATTCGATGGATGGATTATGAGTGATTTTTTTCATCCTTCAACATTTTTGTATTATTCAAATTTTCTAAAATACTTTGTATTACTTGTGAAATAAAAAAAAAAATTATATGCAAGTTGAATAAATGACATGAGAAAGAGAAAAGTAGCCCATGATGGCCCAGGGTAGGCCTGGAACTCATACATTGGCTTTGTTGTATTCCAATGGATATGATTCCACAGAACACCAATATCAGACAAGGGCACTCAGTGACTGTGAAGAATCAAAACAAAAACATAACATCGCTTAAACCACAACAGTGGCCAAATATCCTCCATCCTGGCTAATATGAGTGATTAGTGTTTCTTTTACAATCACAGCTTTAACTTCTCTGTGTTCTTCTCACTTTCTAGGTAAACATTTTTAAGATACTCAGCATAGAATAACCCATATTGTGACAGCATCCCATCCAGAGTCAAGCTCTATTTCACTGAGTCCTCATCAAAATCACCTAACACAAGCCTGATTACTATTCTAAGTCCTGTTAACAATTTCTTTTGTGATACCTCACCAGTCCCCATTGTTCAATATTTCTGCGTTCCTAGTGGCATTGGTTGAAGGGCATTAAGAGAATGATTGAATGAATGAGTGACATTTATCCACATAGACATGATTATTTATATTAAACTCTAAGTTCTGTGTAATTAGAATTATATTAAACTCTAAGTTCTGTGTAATGAAGGATGGCACCTTTCTCCTCTATCTCTAATATCTCACTTAAAAGAGTCATAAAATAAATGTGGAATAAACAAAATAGTCTTGAGTCTTTTGCTGCCTTTGTTAGCCCTCTGTCTGCTAGGATCACTCTGTGGAAGGTGCATTCTATGCCATTGCCACTGTATTTTAACATTTACTATGCTTTTATGATCCTGATATTGATAAAAACTATAAGCAACCCATATACATGACTTTGAAAAAATCAATGTAGTGCCTTTATTCTAATAAAATAAAAATAAAGTAACTTATAATAAAATAAAGTATAATCCAGTAAGAAAAATGCTTAGAATATCTACACTAAGGATCCAGGTGTTTGCAACAACTTAGAAAGAATGAGTTCAGATTTAAGAAATGTAACAAAATATTTAACACTGAATATTATCACTTTTTCTTTGACATTTTAAAAATAAACACCAAATAAACGCATTTATTTTCATACAAAGAATCACATAAAAGATATAGTATCTACTATTATAGGTTTGTTGTATTGAAAATTCAAATATGAGTGATGCTACATTCAGTGACATTATTTTCCAAATTGATTAATAAAATCTTGATTATGCCCTTAAAAATAATGAATATCTTTACCTTAACATTCATGATTGTTGTAGTCCTAGAAATTTTAATATAAATTAAATTCATAAAAATATTTGTGTTTACTTATACAACAGAGTTATGTTATTGCCTCTGAAATTTATTAATATGTATGTGTATGTATATATATTTTTATAGGACCATCTGGTGGGAATTCACATTTATGTAAAATGTAGCATTTCATTTTTGTATAGAAGAATCCTACACATTGCACAGCATCTAGAATGCCTGACACTTGCCCATTTGATGCCATATTATTGACCTCAAACATGATGTCAATCAATATTGGCCCCATAAATTTCCAGAACACCACCTCTACACAGTCCTACAATTTCCAAAATACTTTAGCCTATGAACTCTCCTTATTCCTTCTGATCACTAAAAAGACCATAGATTTGGGGTGATGAAAAGGACACTGAATCACTGTAGTCTTCCTAAAACCCCATAACCTCAGTCTAATTATGATTAAAACATCAGTCAAATCCCAATTGAGGGGCAAACTACAAAATACTGAGCAGTACCCCTTTAAGCTGTCATGAAAACCATGGAAACATCGAGAAACAGAGACAGTATGGCGGAGACTAAAGGGCATATGACAACTAAATGGAATGTGGTTCTCTGGATGAAACTCCAGAACAGAAAAAGGACATTATTGATAAAACTGGTGAAATCTCAATTAAGTCTTGGGTTTGGTTAATAGTAATAGGTCAGTGTTGTTTTTTTCATTTTGTGAAACATACATGGGCCACAGAAGAGATAACATTGTTGGAAACTGAAACTGGGCACTAGGTGCATGGAAACCCACTGCTCTAATGTTGCAACTGTTTGGTCAACCTGAAAATTTTCCAAAATAAAAGTTGATTAAAAATATAAGCACATGCCTGTAATCTCGGGAGACTGAGGCAGGAGAATCACTTGAACCCAGGAGGCAGAGGTTGCCGTGAGCCGAGATAGCAGCATTGCACTCTAGCCTGGGTGACAGAGGGAGACTTCATCTCAAAAAATAATAATAATAATAAGTGGAGAGTACACCTGATGTAATTACCACCCCTGTGGCAAGCTAAGTAAGTAAATATAAAGTTTGTAACAGTCCTCAAAGCTATACAGAATAATTATGCAAAATATTTTAGAAACTATTTTATAAAATGATAACGTATGACTATACTTTTTAAAAAGTGAATTTAGCTACACTGTATAAAAGTTGACATTTATATAATATCAAAATAGGTAGAGATGTAATCAGTTCAATGGAAAAAGTTAGAAAAACTAGCTTATTTAGAATCTCCTGGCAGGGACAATAAAGCTGTTTAAGTGACTAAGCATCTTAATTACTGCTGTACATACAGCCACTGCTTCTTTAGTGTTGTGCTATTGAATTTTTTTGCCATGCTACAAACATAATTATTTTGAAAGTATTACATTGTAGCAACAGGTTCAAGCCAACTTTTAGCAGTAGAATTGTAGGATCAAAAATGTGTGTATATTTTTTAGAACTTAGTGTGAGCGGTATTGACAAAATGTCCACCAAAACTGTTGCATCAATTTAAACTCCCAATTTTTTTTTAAAGACCATTGATGTTAGCTTAGGATGTGAATGTATGTAAAATATATTAAGCCAGTCTAGCTTATTTATACTTAAAAAAAAATTAACACGTTTAAATATGCTCAATGCAAAATTACTAATTTCAATCTATGTTTTAATTCAGTGCAATAAAATCTTTTAATCTACTTAAAATGATGAATTGGGCATCGTAAATTCAAATCAAATAAAAAAATGCTCCTTTTCCTGAAAGTAAAAATTTCTTCTACCTGCAGGTGTTTTGGTTTTGCAAAAGTCTTTTTTCCCTTTTCTTAATGACTGTCATTTTATAATGACTTTAATGATAAACCTCATTTGTAATCATCTCTAATTTGGGGTTATATAGCCTGCTTCTTATGATATGTGTCAACAATGACACATAATTGCTGTCTCCTGGGATTCATTAACAGAACAATATCATCTCCTCTGTTCAGATTTTCAGAGGGACCTTAGTTCCCTGGGTGAGGTAATTCTTTTATCTTTTCTTTTTTATTTTTTTATTTTTTTTATTTTTTTGAGACAGAGGCTCAATCTGTTGCCCAGGCTGGAGCGCAATGGCGTGATCTCAGTTCACTGCAACCTCTACCTCCCGGGTTCAAGCAATTCTCCTACCTCAGCCTCCCATAGCTGGGATTACAGGGGCATGCCATCATGCCAGGCTAATTTTGTATTTTTAGTAGAGACAGTGTTTCACCACGTTGGCCAGGCTGGTATTAAGCTCCTGACCTCAGGCGATCCACCTCCCTCGGCCTTGCAAAGTGCGGAGATTACAGGCATGAGCCACCCGCGCCAGGCCGGGTAAGGTTAATTCTATCTCAGTTTGTCTTCATGTGAAATTAAGAGTAACAATCATTTTAAAACCCAGTCTTATCAGATAGCACTTGAAAAATGCAAGGAGAATATCCCATTGGGAAAGCAGAGATGATTGAATAACAAGAACAAGTTTAACTGGCTAGTTCTATGGAGATATTATAAAGCAATAGTCCTCCAGAAACTTATTTGGAAAACAGGTTTCCTTTTTTGCACACATATTTATAAAGCATTGATGGCTACAGAGTTCTTTCATATACATTTTCTTTCTTAATCTCGGCTTCGTAACCCTAGGAGATGCCAATTTCTCTGTGGTTATTTTATGGAAGAATTTATTGTATGTATTCTCTTAGAGGCAAAAGATTTGTGGAAATGGTGCAGTGGGACCTTTAAAGGAACTCTTAAAGACTCGATAGACTGCTACTTTCCTAAAATAACAAAACACCATCTGTCAGACAGAATTTGTGTGAAGAGAGAATAATAACGTTTCATTTACTGCATACACCAGGAGAGCTGATAAATCTTCTTGAGGTCATGGATGTTTTTTGGAACAGTTTCAATTTACATTTTATTTGTGAAGATAGCTGTCAGGAGGCACGTTGGAAGCAGTCAGTGGTGTGTCATCACAATGCCGGCTGCTCACCGCACACCACGGCGAGGGAGAACACTCGGTGTGTGAGACGGGAACACCGGGCCAGAGGGCCAGGGCCCGAGGGACAAGGGTGTTGAGTCAGTTTTCCTAAGGGCCACATGCTTGGGATATTTTAGGGAAAAACATAAAGGAAAGAAAGTAGGTGTGGTAGATAGATGTAGTTCAATTTATTTCGCTCTTTGAGTTCTGTTCTGAAGGCATGGCAATAGCAACACTGACAAGTAAAATTGTTGATTATTTGTCTTCAGGGACTCAGTGCTACGGTGAAAATATTGAACACATGTGATAAGGAAGGTAATGAGCTAGATAATGGTAACATTCTGATGAGTATGGTAGGCTCTCTGTCCTTGAGGGACTCACAGCATAGCGAAGAAGTCAAGAAACCAAAATAGGCAAGTCCGAGAAAATCTATGATGTATGCGCATAAAATTATACGTCCTATGGGAGTAGTTTATTTCACTCTACCCAGAGCATTGGAAAATGTTTTCCAAAAAAGATGATACCTGAGCTGAATCTGAAGGACAAATATGAATGAAGGTGGATGGGCAGTGGAGGCAGAAGTAATGCCAGAAGCAGAGGCAATGCTACAAACAGACATTCTACCTCCTCCTCCTTATCATCATCAAAGTCACCATCATAGAAATAATAATGCTAATACTCATAATAGTATTTAATAATAGTATTTAGGACTTGGCAAATGTTTTATAAGCATCATTTTATTTAATTTTGTTTTTAATTTTTAAAATAGATTTAGAGGGTACAATTATAGTTTTGTTACATGGATATAGTGGTGGTTAAGTCTGGGCTTTTAGAGTAACCATCACCTGAATTTGTGAACGTTGTAATTTTGTAATTTTCATCCCACACTTCATCCCACCCTCTCACCCTCTCATCCTTCCCGAGTCTCCAGTGTCTATTATTCCACACTTTATGTCCATGTATACACATTATTTACCTCCCACTTATAAGTGAGAATGTGGTATTTCATGTTCTGTTTTGAGTAATTTTACTTAAGATAAAACTTTCAGTTCTGTCAGGCATGGTGGCTCACACCTATAATCTCAGCACTTTGGGAGGCGGAGGCGGAAGGATCACTTGAGGCCAGGAGTTGGAGACAACCCTGGGTGATATGATGAAACCCCATCTCTACTAAAAATACAAAAACTAGCCAGGCATGGTGGCTCACACCTGTAGTCCCAGCAACTCAGGAAGCTGAGGCTTGAGAATCCTTTGAACCTGGGAGGTGGAGGTTGCAGCGAGCCAAGATCTTGCTACTGCACTCCAGCCTGGGTGACAGAGTGAGACTCCATCTCAAACAAATAAATGACAAAAACCCTTCCAGTTCCATTTATATTGCTGCAAAATGCATAATTTCATTCTTTTTATGGATAAGTAGTATTCCATTGTATATGTATAACACATTTTTTAAATCCAATCATCTGCTGAAAGTAGGTGCCTTAGTAGTCCTATGCATTGAAAGAGAACTGAACTTCAAGAGATAAAGTAATATGACCAAGAAATAAGCACTCAGTAGTTGGGTTTGAACTTATTTAAATCCACACAGTCTGACTCTGAATATGAATTGAAAATCACTACACTATTCTGCCCCTGCATGTATCCTGTGCATGTGTGTGGGCAGAGGGAGCGAGGAAGCAGAGTGTGGCTAGCAATTTGCTATAAGGCAGAGTGTAGTTGGAGTTGGAGTAGAGAAATATGTGGAGATCGGGTCATATTGATCTAAAGAGTTTAAAATTTATAGAAAATGAGGGAAGCATGATGTATTTTAAGTAGAAAAGGTAATAATGGCTTTCAGTAGCCATTTGCTTAAAGTAGTTTTTATTCTAATGTTTTATTTGCAGTGCTAAGGACAGCAAATTGCTTTATGAAACTAAATTTACATGGGTGTTTCTTTTAAAATTTAATATAATTTAAGCCAGAAAATACATTAGCAATAACTGCTATTATAAGTCATAGAAAGTCCTAGTAATTTCTGGTCATTATAGGATTGGTTGAAGATTCATCTTGAGTAATGTAGATCTTAAATTATAACCATATTTAAAAGTAAATTTAATGCATAACTTTAAAACAGATTCAAGAATAAAACTAGTTCCATTAAGATTTTTCCTAGAATTTTTTTAGGAGTGAGATATAGGTAAGAAATTAAAATCTCATTATTTTTTTCCATTCTGAAGAACGAACTTTAATTTTTTCATCAGTTGGCTTATTTTGAAGTGCTACTTGACATAAAATGGACTGTTTATTTTTAGTGTAGGGGGCAGCCTCATAAACTCCTAGGTAGCTATTGTCAAGATTGTATTTATTCATCCAAAATTGATTATAAACCATTCTCTATGAGAAGTAGGGCAACATAGAACTGATCCTTCCTACTATGATTTTTGTATTTGTGAATTCACATTCTTGCCAAAATGTATTTAGAACCCCCAAATCAATACTCTTGGTTCAATCATGATCATTTATTGACATTTGCAAAATGGCAAAAATCTGAGGTAAGTGAAACTCACCTTCCAGCTGAGGTAGAACAAAGCAACCCTGAGTCTTCTTATTTCAGCTGTCATACTATAGGCATGTGTCCTTTTTCGCAGGTTTTTTACGGCTACATTTTTCACATTTTTGTGTTTCCTCGTAGTGATTTGCTGTCTGAAATGGCCCCCAAGCATAGTGCTAAAGTTCCATCTGGCGTTTCTATGCACAAGAAGTCTGTAATGTGCTTTATGGGGAAAACATGTACATTAGATGAACTTTATTCAGGTATAAGTTATAGTACTGTTGGCTGTGAGTTCAATATTCATGACTCAACAGTACATATTAAATGAGGTATCTTCATACTGAAACATACCCAGAATAAGGCCATATATTGATTG
Source organism: Homo sapiens (assembly GCF_000001405.40). NCBI lineage: Eukaryota > Metazoa > Chordata > Mammalia > Primates > Hominidae > Homo > Homo sapiens. The sequence goes on from NC_000002.12 coordinate 116,136,643, forward strand.
GTTAAGAAAGTATCACGGTCAGAGGCTCATGAAACCCTAACCCAGTATCTCCTCTAGGAGCAATGGTTCTGGATTTGCTATTTCAGTGTTCATTGTGACTTTATAAAGCATAACTACAGTGAAAAGTGAGAACTGACAGTCTCTCTCTCTTTCTCTCTCTCTCTCTATATATATATGTATATATACACACACACACATACATATATACACATATATACATATATAAACATATATAGATATATATATGTTTACATGTATACATGTATATATATGTTTACATGTATACATGTGTATATATGTTTATCTAGAACCATTGCTCCTAGAGGAGATACTGGGTTGGGTTTCATGAGCCTCTGACCATGATACTTTCTTAACCAATCAATGTATGACCTCATTTTGGGTATGTTTCAGTATATATATACATATATATGTATATATTTATTAATAAATGCATATATATGTATATGTGTGTATATGCATGTATATATTTATATGTTCATATATGTGTATATATGTATATATATATTTATATACACATATATACATATATTATTTATTTTTTTATTTTTTTAAGACAGAATCTTGCTCTGGCTCACCCAGGCTGGAGTGCAGTGGCACGGTATCAGCTCACTGCAGCCTCCGCCTCTCAGGTTCAAGCGATTCTCCTGTCTCAGTCTCTTGAGTAGCTGGGATTACAGGCACCAGGCACCACACCTGGCTAATTTTGTATTTTTAGTAGAGATGCGGTTTCACCATCAACATGGCCAGCCTGGTTTCGAGCTCCTGACCTCAGGTGATCCACCCACCTTGGCCTCCCAAGGTACTAGGATTTCAAGTGTGAGCCACTGCGCCTGGCCGAGAATAGACTATATTTTAACACACTCTTTGCTTAATGATGAATAAGAGATGAGTGAGAGAAGACAAATATCCTGGAGTGTGACAGATGATCCCGATGGTAGCAGAAGAGTGAGAGCAGGCAGCAGTGGGGGCTGTCCTCACATTGTGAGGATGGAGAGAAGTGCTGATGCCCTGGTTTATTGATTTGCTCGCTTCTGAGGCAGTTCCCAGTGACCTTCATGTGTATCGGCACTTAGGAACTTCATTTATTCTTACTGTAATACAAAGAAGTAGCATAACTTGATAGAGGCTTAGAGGTTACTTAATCTCTAGACTCTTATTTTCAAACAGAGCAAGTGAGTCCCAGTGAGGGATGATGAGTTTATTGGAAAACTAGGTTCTCTTACTTTTAATTCATTTCATCTGCCATATATCATCATTTCTCTTAAGGCATTTTAAACTCTTTCTATGCAGCTTATCTGTGCTATAAATTTATTTAAACATGATTTGTCCAATTTAGTTGTAAGAAAAAATGGTCTGAGTTAAATGGTCGGCCAACCCGTTGATGTCTTAAACAAACGCTACTATTTTTAGTGGTCTCCAGGTCTGAAACTGCCAACAAATCAGTTGGGCATCTTTTCGACTCTATAAGTAGTCCATATCACACCTTCTATAGATGGGAAAACACAGTAGACTTTGAAAATGAATTTTTTCCCGTTTTACTAAGCATATGAACTATCATTAATTTAGGTTTTAGCATAGACAAATAATGGGATTTTATTGTATTGTATGAAAATCTTTTCACTTCTCTTGACTGACTTATTTATTATATTTTCTCTGTGACTAAGAACAGATTCTCAGCTGGGTACCATGGTTTATGCCTGTACTCCCAGGGCTTTGGTAGGCCGAGGCAGGTGGGGGATCACTCGAGGCCAGGAGTTTATGACCAGCCTAGTCAACATAGTGAGACATTGAAGACCTTCTCTCTCTCTCTCTCTCTCTCTCACACACACACACACTTTCTCCTGCACTATCTCTCTCTCTCTCTCACATACACATTCTCTCTCTCTCCATTTATATAAATTTGTGGGAACAGATTCTCTTTCAGTATAAATACAAAAGGACTTAATGAAATCAGAAAAATTATTAGTACTGTAATTTGCATATGTGTAGGTGTGTCTGAATCATCTTTTGGTTCTCAGTATTTTCCAGCAGGTCCATTGCAAGATTTAGACTGTGGATCCAGACCACCCCAATAGAATTTCCTTGTACAATTTGGGTTTTTATATTTAGTTGTATTTTGCATTTTACTTTTTATTATCTTTTTAAATATGTTTCTTGCTAACTTTTATTCCCGACATTCTGAGTATATTTAGAAAATTTTCAGAAGATTCTATATATACAAATCAAATATCTGATTTAAACCATTATGTGGGCAAAGGGATTATAGTGCTAGATTACATATTTATGTTTCACCTACATCAGTATTTACAGGTTAATAAATAATAGGATGTTATAAAATAAATATACTAGATTACTAACAGAATTTTCAAAAAAATCAAAAAAGAAAAATAATAGAAAATAGGGTGTATTACACAAAATTATGGTGAATATTATTTCAGAAAACATTTGTTTTAACTTTTTATATGAGTGCATGCATATTATACTGGATAGCAATATAAAAGATATTTTTCTATGAATCATTGTATCTGTCTGTGTCCAATCAGGACAGACTTTCTTAGTATCATTTTTGGAGACTGAGTTTCACTCTTGTCGCCTAGGCTGGAGTGCACTGGCACGATCTCGGCTCACTGCAACCTCTCCCTCCTGGGTTCAAGTGATTCTCCTGCCTCAGCCTCCCAAATAGCTGGGATTACAGGTGCCCACCACCACGCCCAGCTAATTTTTTGTATTTTTAGTAGAGACAGGGTTTCACCATGTTGGCCAGGCTGGTCTCGAGCTCCTGACCTCGTGATTTGCCCGCCTTAGCCTCCCAAAGGGTTGGGATTACAGGTGTGAGCCACTGCGCCCAGCCTAATTTTTGTATTTTTAGTAGAGATGGAGTTTCACCATGTTGGCCAGGTGATCCTCCCGCCTCGGCCTCCTAAAGTGCTGGGATTACAGGTGTAGCCACAGTACTTGGCCAGGATAGACTTTAATAAAGAATGTTTACTAGGTATTCAGAAAGTGAAAAGACAAAAAAACCAAGAATGAGATGGTGTTCAGTTGCGGCTGGAGTTGCTGGGCTTGAAGAGGAGCCCTCATGGGGCCGAGGGCCCAGGCTCTGAGGAGGGAGCTTCCGCTGATGGTGCTAGTGTCTCCCAGAGGGCACAGTGGTGCTGGGTCTGCAAGTGCTGCAAAGACTGCGTATTAGAATCAGCTGCTGCTACTTGAAAACCCAACCTGCTTGGGTCTTTGAGAAACACTTGACAGCAACACTTGACACTTCCAAAACAAGGAAGAGGAAGAGCATGAGAAAGCTTTCCAGTCACTCTCTCATACCTCCTCTTTGCAGACTCCAACAGGAAATCAGTGGACAAAGGATAAATACAGTTTGCGGTGTCTCAGCGCTAGCACCACAAAGCAGACTAGAATGGTGGGATTGAAGGTGAGGGACATTAATTTAGTAACAGACATAATTATGCTCAAAGAACCCCATCTAGGCCAGGCGCGGTGGCTCACGCTTATAATCCCAGTACTTTGGGAGGCCGAAGTGAGTGGGTCACCTGAAGGTAGGAATTCAAGACCAGCCTGGCCAACATGGCGAAACCCCATCTCTACTAAAAAATACAAAAAATTGGGGAAGGGGGGAGGGAAAGCATTAGGAGATATACCTAATGTAAATGACGAGTTAATGGATACAGCATACCAACATGGCACATGTATACATATGTAACAAACCTGCATGTTGTGCACGTGTACCCTAGAACTTAAAGTATAATTTAAAAAAATTTTAAACTATTTCTTATTAAAAAAAAAATACAAAAAATTAGTCTGGTGTGGTGGCGGGCACCTGTAATCCCAGCTACTCGGGAGGCTGAGGCAGGAGAATCACTTCAATCCGGGAGGTAGAGGTTGCAGTGAGCTGAGATCGTGCCACTGTACTCCAGCCTGGGTGAGACAGAGTGAGACTCCATCAAAAAAAAAAAAAAAAAAAAAAAGCCCTGTCTAGATATTTTAAAAATTTACTCTTCCCTTCCACGGGGTATGAGACCAAGTCTACATGCTGTGCCAATTAATATAAGTCAAATGTTCTTCTATTTGAAGTAACTGTTTCAATTACATATATCTACTAAAGTATATAATGACCAGAAATCATTTACCTGATTGTCATGTTTTCTCATAATTGTAGATGTCCTCAAGTCCTTACTCTCTGAGTCATGTTATTTTCTGACTGATATGCTTTGGTCAGAATGAGAAGATGGAGACAAGACTGGACTTTAAATTTTCAAAACAAATAGCAAAAAACAGTGGTAAAAATATAACAGCAGAATGTGGAATCTGAAAAAAAAAGAGGAAGGTTTATAGGCATTATGCTGAAAGTGGGGCAAAATGAAGAGACTGAGTGTAGGGCCAAATATGAAATCTGTTGATCAGAATATACCTGGGTTGCAGTATCTGCGAATGGGAATATTAAAGAAAAATGGAGGTTGTGGCAATCAAGAAGTCAAATGGAACAAGCACTGTAGGAATTCTCTGAGGTTGGCTCTAAGATTTAATCTACACCAGATGGCAATTTACCCATTAAATTTTTTTTGTGACTAACTCCTTTTGACATTAGGTGAGTGAATTGTATAATTGGTTTGCGAAGCAGTGTTCTTTTCCATTTCAACAATAATTCATCTTTTTTCCCCTACTCTCCTATTAAATGAGATAATAATTTCAAGGTATATACAAACTTTTGAGGCAGTGAATACTTTTTTTCCTAGATTTATTTCATAAATGAATATTTCTTTAAGTTATAAGATCACTTTTATAGATAATAGTGAATAGACCCCATGTAAATACTATGCAGTTTCTTAAAGAAGTGTTTGATTAAAGTGACAGATAAAGTCATAGAAAGTTCTTTTAAAGCAGGAGACCTTCTTTGGAATATCATTAATTTGAGATCCTGGAGCTTGGCCAGTGTGTGAGTGATGTGAGTTCAGCCTTGTGGTATAGAATTTGAAAGTCAGTTATGAATTATGAGAATTGTCACTCGAGTCTGTGTGAAGAGGCCACCAAACAGGCTTTGTGTGAGCAGCAAGGCTGTTAATTTCACCTGGGTGCAGGCGGGCTGAGTCCAAAAAGAGAGTCAGCAAAGGGAGATAAGGGTGGGGCCGTTTTATAAGATTTGGGTAGGTAAAGGAAAATTACAGTCAAAGGGGGGTTCTCTGGCAGGCAGGGGTGGGGGTCACAAGGTGCTCAGTTGGGGAGCTTTTGAGCCAGGATGAGCCAGCAGAAGGAATTTCACAAGGTAATATCATCAGTTAAGGCAGGGACCAGCCATTTTCACTTCTTTTGTGGTGGAATGTCATCAATTAAGGCAGGAACCAGTCATTTTCACTTCTTTTGTGATTCTTCACTTGCTTTGGGCCATCTGGGCGTATATGTGCAGGTCACAGGGGATACGATGGCTTAGCTTGGGCTCAGAGGCCTGACAAGAATGATGATGGGTATTGGCATGGGAGGTAAAAGGCCAGGAAAGGCATGTTTTGAATCAATGTACTGATGGACTTGTTTAAGTTGAATGCAGATGGAAAGCTAGTTTCACTTTTTCATTGAATCATACGTTGTTCTCAGAAACTAGTGGCTCATTCTCTAATTGACTAAACCAGGTACCCAGAGGAAACATGGATTGTTGAAAATATACAAGTGTTATCTTGAGACCTTGTAAACAGCCCAGGGAGTATTGATAAGTCCAATAAGTTAAACAACAATGGTGTTTTCAGTACCATCATGAGGTCCTTCTTGCTACATTAAAAACCCAGATTTGAAGAGGGTCTTTGCTGCCACCAAAACAAGTCCTTTTAAAAAAGTAATGAAATAGCATAGGCCTTAATTCTAGGATTGTCAATCAGAATGCTAAGCATTCTGATTTCCGTGGACAGTTCATGGCACAAGAGTAGAATATATGTTTTAATGAAATTTTCCACACTGTGGTGGGCCTGTTGAAGATAAATAAAACCGGATGTTAGTTACAATGGTGAAAACAGACGTTATTCATAACTACTGAGAGGGAAAGAGCAGAGTTGCATTCCGATTTGCATAGAAGTGATGGTGCATTTTCATGAGAGAATGAGGGAGTGGAGGGGGAGCAAGCAGGCACTCAAGTAGTGTCAGGGAAGTGAAAAATTACAAAGGTTGGTCAGTGTAAATGTAATTAGTCTAGCTGTGTCTGTTAACTGGCAATGATCACAGTTAGGATTCTATCCTCCCACAGGGACTGGGAGGTAGAGACCCTATCCTTCCTTGGAAATGCAATCATTATTACATTTTAAAGTAATGGCTTTCAGGTCCTTGGGAAAGACACTTCTGAGTTGTAGGAGAGGCATATACATCTCAAAAGGACAGAGACGTATTCACAATGTTAAGCTATGTTTAGCAAAGGATCTAAATAAGCAGGTCAGGTGCCTATTCATCCAGGGTTCCCTAAAACAAACAGTAAATTCTTTTGACAGCCCTGAGCTTTTCGAGGCAGGAATTTAAAAGAAAGCTGGGTGGTTACGGAGACACAACGAATGATCTTACGGTGATAGAAGCCCTGCTAAAGTTTAGTCAATTCTCTTAGAGCAGAGTTTTAGATGAAGTTATTATGAGCTGACAGTTCTTGCAATTCTCAACCCAGGGTCAATTTACATCCTGCAAATCAAGGAAGTTTCTTGGAGGCCCCAGAATCTGAGGCCTCCTTAGAGTGTTACCTCAAAACTGGGCATTATAAAAAAAATGTATGTAATTGTTCTATGTATTGTATCATCTGAGTTGAAGATTCTACTTGGTGTGGGCACGGAGGACCACAGGTGGTAAGATACTGGACATGGAATACTCATTTTTCCAAGTGGAACATTAAGGTCCTCATCTTTATCAGAAGCCATGGTTCTCATCTAGTTGCATGTTTTATGTAATTATATCCTGTGGAAAGAGAGGAATTTAGTGTTCAGAATATTTCTGCTAGATCATGGACTCTTGGAAATATATGCCCAGAGTAACAGAGGACACCCAGGAAATGACACTAACAATTATAGGGAGCCAGACTGTCCATGCATTGTGCCTAGAGTCTCTGGACTTTCACTGGAGTAATTTGGCATTTTATCTATTAATCAAGGAGGATATTTAAAGTTTCTGGAGATGCCAGAATCTACCAAGATACATTAAACAATTTGAGCAAGTATTTTCCATAGTTATGTACAAGATTTAGGTTTTTTTGGTTTTTTGTTTGTTTGTTTGTTTGTTTTTTATACTTTAAGTTTTAAGGCACATGTGCACAATGTGCAGGTTTGTTACATATGTATACATGTGCCATGTTGGTGTGCTGCACCCATTAACTCGTCATTTACACAAGATTTAGTTTCGAAATGAACATGACATTTAAAAAATGGACATCATAGTAGAGCTACTCTGTATTTCCATCACAAAGGAACCAGCTCATTTTTTCTTCTTATAATATTTCTCGCCTTACAGTCTAGTAATTTGCTTTAGAATTTTCTAGAAAAGTGACAGAGCTAGCTAAATTATAGACACTGAATTTTTTTTTTTCCTTCTCTTGAGGTAGCAAAGTTGAACTTGCTTGGTTGTATTAAATCTTTGTTGGATAGGAAACTAGTTACCAGCCGGGCACGGTGGCTCATGCCTGTAATCCCAACCCTTTGGGAGGCTGAGGTGGGCGGATCACAAAGTCACGAGTTCGATACCAGCCTGGCCAACATGGCAAAACTCCATCTCTACTAAAAATACAAAGATTAGCCAGGCGTGGTGGTGGGCACCTGTAATCCCAGCTCCTCAGGAGGCTGAGGCAAGAGAATCACTTGAACCCGGGAGGTGGAGGTTGCAGTGAGCTGAGATTGTGCCGTTGCACTCCAGGCTGGGCAACAAGAACAAGACTCCAACTCAAAACAAAAACAAAAACAAAAAACCAGCTATCACAGCAATTATGTAAGGCGTACTTCTTTTAGTACGTCTCTTGTTGATGCTTCATGGCCCTTCAAGCCTTCTTCCATCATAGCACTTACCACAGTAAATTATAATAATAATACACTACCCTGTCTCCCTCCCTGAACTGTAAGCAAGTTGAAGACACAAGTTGATCACCTTTACCTAGCACCCAGAATAGTGCCTATTGGTTATATTAAATCTTTGTTGGATAGAAAATTAGTTACTGGATGGGCGCGGTGGCTCACACCTGTAATCCCAGCACTTTGGGTGGCCGAGGTGGGCAGATCACGATGTCAGGAGTTTGAGACCAGCTTGGCCAACATGGCAAAACCTCGACTCTACTAAAAATACAAAAATTAGCCAGGCATGGTGACAGGCACCTGTAATCCCAGCCACAGGGGAGGCTGAGGAACACACTGGAAATACTGGGCCCGTACAAAAACAGCCTTTTAAGTAAATGTCCTGGTTGAGTAAAAGGAAATGAATAAGCTACTATTTCTCCATAGGCAACCATATGTTATCCATTTATTTCTGAAACTATATGTGAGGATTGTCTTGCATGAACCTAGGTTCTATGCAAAATCTCAAAAGTGATGTTATAAACTGTTAACTGAATCTCAGCCCAGATGAGGCAGATGGCTCCGTTGCTTGGCCGTTTTTATGTTTTTCAGAGTCTTCCAAAGAGCTTGCCAAAAATTCTGCAAGGAATTATCCCAATGGCCTTTAGATAGTTTCTTTTCTTCACGAAGACCCTTGTGCCATCATATATATCTCATAAGACAAATAATAAAGAGTAGTACCTGTGACTATTAAAAAATCTAATTCCTTATTTTTTTTTGAAGTATAGTGGGGACTGGGCCATAAGATATTCTATCAACTTACTCTCAATAACTTACAACAACCCAAGGATTTTCTAGTGTAGGTATGTGAGGGTGGGGGTAGAGAAGTGTTGATAAATGTAAGAAGGAAAGAATCATAGTGGAAGTTTTCGATATTTGAAGTCCTAAATATCTACTGTGAAGTGTTTATAAGTTTTACCAGGTTAGCAGCCATATTGTGTGAGTAGCATTCGCAATGAAATGTAGTCCTCTCAGAGCAAAGGATGTTGGACTCTCCTCAAAATCACCTATTTTTTTTTTTTGAATAATGTTTGGTCTGGAAAAGACACAGTATATATAGCTATATGTCAAAACAAGTTTTATTTTGCCCAACAGAGCTGAGAACATGTCATATTTAAGATATCCTAAAGTAAGGTGCAGCCCTCCCATGCAAGCCGGAGTGAAGGGATGTCTAGCAGATTCTGCTTCCAATATACCTGTTCTAAAGATTTAACCACCTTACTGTGGTCTGCAGCTTTGCCTTTTTATTGTCTCAAGAGATGTTGCTTGATAACTTTGTAAAATCCTATGTGGACTTCCAGACCTAGCTCCAATTCTGTCTCCTTCGTAAACCCTTCTCTAGCAGCTTAGACTTTCCATCGCTGTTACAATTCAATCCTAAATCATCCTTTAATATGTCAGTGTTGATTGAATGTAATATTGTGCACAAGCAGGCTTTACACCTTGTACAATTCAAGGTGAATTTTATTAATAGAATATATACAGTCTACTCTTCAGCAAGTTGGTGAGCTTGTACTCCTCAATATCTACTACTTGAAAATTCCTCCAAGTAATATTAAGTGTTTTACAGGGGTCAAAAACCCACTCCATAAGTTCAACAGACTTGTTTTTATCACAAGATTTATCAGATTCTTTAATATGCCCCTGAACATTATGAATATATAAGATGGGGGACTGATAAATCTACATCTAGATTTGTCTATCTACTGCCATCTAATTCATAAACCTCCTTGGCCACATAATGCTTTTTAATGTGTTTTTTTTTTTCCTTTGGCAGAACACTTGAAGACATTATTTTTCTATGGAGCATATTTGGTAAATATTAAGGACTTTTTGAGTACATTGAACATATTAACTATCATTTCACTTGATGTAAATCAAGTACACAATTACGTTCAAGGTTAATTTGGGTACTAAAGAGACAGAGATAACATTTACTGAGTCCTGAATATGGACAATGTACTATATTAAGGACTGCATACATGTTGGCCTGGTTAATCTGTACAATATTCCTATGTTATTTTGGGGATTTACTCATTACATGGTTGAGGAACTAAATTCAAAGTGTAATGTTTCTGAGGTCAAACAACTGAGAGTTGTCAAAGTTTGCGTATAATCTTGGGTTACTCTACAGTTTATGAAATGTGCAGTGAACCCCCTATTCATTTCTGTTATTTATGTTGCACAACCATACATATTTTGTATATTTTATATGACTAACATGAGAAAGGCTTGTTAGTTAACCCACTTAAGAAAGTTAACATGAGAAACCCTCCAACAGAAATTTGATAATTACTGTGTTTTTTTTTTTTTTTTTTTTTTTGAGACGGAGTCTCACTCTGTCGCCCAGGCTGGAGAGTAGGGGCACGATCTCGGCTCACTGCAAGCTCCGCCTCCCAGCTTCATGCCATTCTCCTGCCTCAGCCTCCCGAGTAGCTGGGACTACAGGCACCCGCCACCACGATCGGCTAATTTTTTGTATTTTTAGTAGAGACAGGGTTTCACCATGTTAGCCAGGATGGTCTCGATCTCCTGACCTCGTGATCCACCCACCTCGGCTTCCCAAAGTGCTGGGATTACAGGTGTGAGCCACCACTCCTGGCGATAATTACTGTTAAAACTATCAATTTTGCTATAAAAGAACTCATATCACTGCATTATTTCTCCATTTCAATATTTAGAGGCAATAAAAAAACAATTCCAAGGGATTAATGATCATATGAAGTTAACTGTTCTCAACTCTACCTTAGTCGATCAATTCCTTATATGTGTCATTAATTCCTTTGTAATACTACATGATTGAATTGCTATATCTTGAACAACCCTTTGATTTTGTTGCACAGTTGCAGTAGAATGTGTCATTATTATATCATTTTTGGTGTCCACATTTGTTGTAGAATTAGAAGATGCTAACTCATGAGCTCAATTAGTCTTAATAACAGTAGATATTTAAAGAACAAGTTATGGTTCATATTTGGGGTATCACATCATTCTAAGATTTTTTTTCTAAGCCTTTCTAACACAGAAAAAAATATCTTAGGGATCTATTGGAATGGTCAGGTGACATTAATGTTTTCCTTATAAACTATAAAACTCTTTTCTTACGTGAATAGTAAAGAGGATTATTCCTACCCCCAAATGGTAGTGTGACAGAATACTGTGGTAAACTTTAATATAAATTTATGTTTACCTATCCAAAATCTTTTTCAGCAAAGGAGAGATGCCCTTTGAGACTTGGTGCTATGGCTAACCATATCTGATTTGTGGTCATTTATCTTTCTGCAAATTATCTGAAGGTGTCAGAAAAGGTTTATGGTATTTTATATACTCAGCAGATAAGGTAGCAGGGAAAATATCAAGTTCATCCATTCCTGGAAGCTGATGAGCTGAGGAACAAACATACTAATCCTGTAAAAATTAAAGTCTGATGAACACTTTCTTGCTTATCTTTGAGAAAATCAATAAATAAAGCAGTGTGTTAAGTGAATGTCTTATTTGACCTAGACAGTTGATTATCTTTTTTCATTCTAAATTGTCGGCTTAACTTTTTGATCACAACAAATATCACAAAGCATAGAATCACTATGATGTCTTTTCTAATCTCCTATGGGTGAGGTATATTTTTATTAAGAAATATTTTAATGTTAATATAACCCAGTTCATTGATGTTTGTTAAAAAGCACTAAGTGATACTATCTTCCATTTGCTTTCTGTTTCATTGTTTATATAACCTTTAACATTTAATATGAGAAGGCTGGTGCCTCACCAAAGGGAAAGAAAAACATCTATTCTGTTAGGTCTTTAATTTCATTTTGCAATCTGCCACTTACTGTTCCCTTTGATACTGTTCTTTCTTATGTAAAATGTATTCTATTGCTTATCTAACAATAGGACTGTCACTCTTAATGTGACTTGCCTTCTTGCTTGCTTTGCAGTTTGTGGTGGACAAATAGGCTGATTTTGAGGTACTTAGATTGAAGGATGACTTCAATGTAAAGATAAGAAAGTTAAAAAAAAAAAGAATTCTAACAAAACTGGTGCAAATGAGACAGTCGTTTAAAATATGCTATTTAATTAAAATAATTAAAACCAGTATGATTTGAGAGTTTTTGGTCCGTGGTGCCCTATTCCTGTCAAAGGTGTGGCCAGCAGTCTATAATGTGGTCTGTCATTATAACAGTTTTTCAATCCACTAGTCAGATTGAGGCAGTGGAGATTTCGGGCAGTGAATATTGTCGTTCTTCCTAAAGATCCTAAAGGTTGTGATTAGGCACAACCATACTCAGAATTTCAACTGAATGTAGAATAAAGGTAAACTCTGGGGATAGAATACTGGCATAAACTATGCAGGCAAAATGTAGTGTCATTTAGGGCGTGCACAGGTTAATCTTGCCCAAAAGGTAGAAGTGATACACTAGGAAACTGAGGCAAACTTTTTATAATTGGTATCTCATGACAGAGGAAGGGATAGTTTTTGGTGATTACCCCAGAGTGCAAGACTAATTCTGACGGATGAAGAAGAGGCTTCTTCATCACCTCTTAGATACATGTGATGAAAACTCATGCTGATGCTAAATGGAGTTTGCATGCCTGTTCAGATGAGAGATCTACTACTTTTAACTGTGCAACTTCAGGCAAGTTACATAACTTCTCCATTTTTCATTAGCAAATTAGTAGATCTAATCTACTTCATCAGGTATAGTGAAATATAATTGGATGAGTACATGTAAAACTCTTTGAATGTGCTGAAAGTAGATACATCTTTTTTTGCTTTTATTATTACATTATTATTCCATTCATTTCGGACTCTTGCTGGAAGGAGAAGACAGCACAGCAAAGACTTTTTGTCGGTACAAATTAGTGCAAAACAAAAGAAGTAATAGATAAACAGCTTTTTCTGTGAGGAACACAATAAAAAAGGTGTTTCTGTTTGATTCTGAACTCAAAAATTGGTAGATTAATTTGACTAACTTGAGCCATGACTTAATTCTGTTCATTGTAGCAGTAAAGCTTCTGCTCTATCTGCTCCCATACTTCATAAACCCCTTTACAGAATCTTACTAGTAGTCTTTCTCTTGACTCCAAGGTGTTACAATCTGGGGTGATTTCAAATTTTAGAGTATGTTTTAGTTTACCTTTCTGACCTCCTTAGCTCCAATTACCTACATTTTAACATTTGAGCTCCACTTTAGCATTTGTCTTAGGTTTCTCTAGAGGGATGGAACTAATAGGAGGTACATCCATGTATATTTACGAATATTAAAGGGAGTTCATTAGAGAGAATTGGCTCACATGATTACCAAGGTGAAGTCCCTCGAGAGGCTGCCGGCAAGCTAGAGAATACTGTTAATATGGCTCCCAGGTAGGGTGGTGGCATGACTCAGTCCAAGTCTGAAAGCCTCAAAACCAGGGAAGCTGATAGTGTGGCTCCAGTCTGAGGCCAAAGGCCTGAGAACTCCCGGGATATGTGTATGTGGGGGCGGGGTGGTGATGGTGTTCCTTTGGTGAAAGTCCCAGTCCAATGGCCACAGAACCTGGTGTCTGATGTCTGATGTCCAAAAGCAGGAGGAGGAAAGGGTGTACTGCTCCAGGAAAGGGAGAGAGAGAGAGAGAGAGAAGGGAGCAAGCAAACTGAATGCCTCTTTTTTCCATCTAGTTTTTTTCTAGTGACACCATCAGCTGACTGGATGGTGCCTGCCCACATTGCAGGCAGATCTTCCTCTCCCATTTCACTGACTCACGTGTAAATCTCTTCTGGAAACACCCTCACAGACACACCCAGAAACAATACTTCACCAGCCATCTCAACATCCCTCAATCCAGTCAGGTTGACATCTAATATTAACCGTCATTGTCACATCTTTGTTCTTGTCATCATGAACTTCCCCAAACTGATATCTTACGTTAAATATCTGAGTTGAGATGTCTCATATTCTCCCAGTTTCCCTTCGCTTTTACCAGTTTACCTTGTCCTTGACCTCAGTGAGAACCGTCCTTTCTTCCATTCTGCAAAGCCACTTTTTTGAAAATTAAATTTGTAATTGACAACATTGTATATATTTATTTAGTAAAACACGTTACTTTTAAATAGGTACGCATTGTGGAATGGCTGAATCAAGCTAATTAATATACATTATTAACTCACCTACTTAGTTTTCTCTGTGATAACACTCAAAATCTACTCTCTTCACAATTTTCATGAATACAATGCATTGTTATTAACTATAGTCACCATGTTATACAATAGATCTCTTGAACTTATTCCTTGGAGTCTTTTTTTAATTTTGTATCATATGGCCATCACTCTTTTTGCCTCAGCCTCTGGTAACTAACCACTATTCAACTCTCTTCTTCTATTAGTTCAGCCTTTTGTACACACTGCATATAAGTGAGATCAATCTGTATTTATCCTTCTGTGCCTTGATCATTCCACTTAATATAATATTCTTTAGGTTCATTCATGTCACAAATGACAGGATTTTTTCTTTTCTTTATTTTAGGCTGAATAGTATTCCACCGTGTTTATGTACCACATTTTCTTTATTCATTCATCTGATAATGAACACTTAGGTTGTATCCATATCTCAGCAATTATGAAAAATCCTGCAATGAACACGGGAGCAAACAGACATCTCTTTGACATATTTATGTAATTTCCTTTGAATATATGAATATACCCAGTAGCGGTATTGCTAGATTGTATGTTAGTTCTTTTTAATTTTTTGAAGAAACTCCATACTGCTTTACAAAATGACTGTATAAATTTACATTCCTCCCAACAGTGTGCAAAGATTCTCTTTTCTCCACATCCTCTTTAGCACTTGTCATCTTTTGTCTTTTTGATAATAGCCATTTTAAAGTACATGAAGTGATATCGTATTGTGGTTTAATTTGAATTTCTTTGATCATTAATGATGGTGTGCATTTTTAAATAGAACTGTTGACTATTTTTATGTCTTCTTTTGAGAACTATTTCATTCCTTTGCCCATTTATTAATCAGTTTATTTGTTTACTTTTAGTTCCGCATGTATCTTGGATATAAACCCCTTATAAGATATCTGGTTTGCAAATATTTTCTCCCATTCTGTAGGTTGTTTCTTTAGTCAGTATTGTTTTCTTGGATGTGCGGAAGCTTTAAGCCTGATTTAATCCCATTTTTCATTTTTGCTTTCATTGCCTGTGCATTTGGGTTTATATCCAAAAAAGAATATTGCCCAGACCAGTATAATGGAGATTTTCCTTTGTGTTTTCTTCCAGTAAGTTTACAGTTTCAGCCCCAGCGTTTAGGTCCTTAATCCATTTTGAGTTATTTCTGTACATGACATGAGATAAGGGTCCAGTTTCATTATTCTTCCTATGGATATTGAGTTGTCCCACCATCATTTATTGAAGAGACTGCCCTTTCTCCATTTTGTGTTCTTGACACCTTTGTTAAAAATCAATTGACTGTAAATGTGTTGGTTTCTTTCTGGCTCTTTATTCTGTTTCCTTGGTCTATGTGTTTGTTTGTATACCAGTACCATGCTGTTTTGATTGCTATAGCTTTGTGGTATATTTTGAAGTCAGGTAGTGTGGTGTTTCCAGCTTTGTTCTTTCAAGATTGCTTTGGCTATTCTGGATCTTTTGTGGCTCTGTAGAAATGGTAGGATTGTTTTTATATATCTGTGAAAAATGTCATTGGAATTTTGGCAGGGATTATATTGAATCTGTAGATCACTTTGAGTAATATGGATATTTTAACAATATTAACTCAATCCATGAACATGGAATATCTTTCTATTTACTTGTGTTTTCTTTCATTTATTTTACTATTGTTTTAGAGTTTTCAATGTACAGATCTTGCACCTTTTAGTTAAATTTATATCTAGATTTTTTTCTGGCTGTTCTAACAATTTTTTTTTCTAATATCTTTTTTGGTTAATTCCTTGTTAGTATATAGAAATGCTACTGATTTTTGTATATTGATTTTATATCATTCAACTTTATTGCATTTTCTTATCAGTTCTAAGAATTTTTGGTGGAGTCTTTAAGGTTTTCTATACATAAAATCATGTCATCAGCAACCAGGGACAATTTAACATCTTCCTTTATAATGTGGATGTCTTTCATAACACTTCTGGCTTTATTTCCTTTTGCCTTCTAATTCTTCTGTCATATCTGCCTGGAAAACTCCAACATGAGATGGTGCTCACATTCAGTCTTTTTTTCTTTTTCACACAGGAGCTCCAGGGGAAGGCCAAATAAAATCTTCTAATCGGTGAAGTTCATGCCCTTACATATTCCTGTTGCCCACTTCCATTTGTGCACTTAATACTTTCTGGTAATTTTCTGTAGTAATTATTTCAAATTTTCTCTTGTCTTTCTGCTCCCTATCCCATAATGTACCTCCACCCTATTACACCTTTACATGTAAACAGTGTAATTCTGAAGAGATAATTTTTATACAGAAAATTAGTGTTGTGTGTGTACATCTATAGAGTTAATATTTAAAATATATATCATATATTTATAAATTTTAAATATATAAAATATATATAAAATTATTCAGAAACATGGAAGGTACATAAGTGTCATATAAACATTCAATATTTTTATTATTGTACTCAGCAGCAGGTGAAACCACCTCAACGTTTTATCACTCTGTCTCCATCTATCATCACGTTTCCTGTCTTTTCCTACTCACAAAAGGAAATGCAGAATAAAACGTTTGTCTAAGATGATCTCTTTTGTATTCTGGACACACTTCTATCTCTTCACGTAAATTAATTGATTTTTCATTTTGTTTCCAATCTTGCCTTTGCAATCGCTCTTCCCCATCAGTATTTCAACATATTTTGATCTCTCATAATCCTCTCTTCAAACGTAAGCCTTTGGTCATATGGTGAGTTTTCTTCCATTTCAAAGGCTCTAAAGGAGACAAGATTTGTTAAGACCTTTTTGACATTGGTGTTTCTACTTTCTCTTTCCCCATAAATATTTTCAATCTCTGTAATCTGGTTTGTGCTCTAACACCTAACAAAACGGCTGGGGCAAATATTATCCATGTTCATTTTCTTATAAAATTCTATGGGTACCTTTTATTTTTCCAACTTCTGACAATTTTATCCTTCGGAAAATTCATTTTCTACAGGCATCACAATCTCCTTTTTTTGCACACGGCTCCTCAGCAGCACATTGATGATGTCATTTATTGGTGCCACTTACTCTGTTTCTCCCAGATGTTGATGATCCCCTTAATTTTCATCTCCATATGTGTAGTTTTATTCACATCTGTTTGTAAGAACTATTTATGTATTCTTTTTGCTCTGTTATTTCTTTCTTTGAGTTTGTTCTAGACTGGTATAGGTAACTATAACTGCATGTATATCACATTCAAAATATGAACCCTGAACTCAAAATGTCTTATCATATCTTACTCTCCCATCTAAAATGTATCTACTTCTGTAATTACTATATTAGGAGCATGACCAACTTTAGACAAGTCCAAAATTTACTAGTCTACCTTGACTACTCCTCCTTTCGTACCTCCCCAAATCCAGTCAATTTATTCAATGAATTTTTTAACAAAGCCTCAAAAATCTCTATCATATTTACTTCATTCTCCATTACTATGGCCAATACACTCTCCAAGACTTCAGTCTTTATTTGCCACACACCATTACTCTACAATACTCTTTTTGAAATACAAACATGACAATAGCTTAAGCTTATGTCAAGCCTCTGTGTGAAACACCAGTACGTGGTAAGAATTCAAGTAGTTTATTTGAATTGCATTTATTTGCACTAAGTTTTTCTTACCTCATGTTTAAATCTTCAAATATATTGGTGGAAATAAAATAGCCAAGCATACAAAGTAATTGAATTGTTAGTAAATTGCCATTACTTATAAAATTACATTTTTGAGCTTGAATGGACTTATAATACAATGACATATGTTCCCAGAAGCTAAAACTAAATCATCTCATTTATTAAACACAATAAAATCATTGTACACATAGGTCTAATGTTATATTCTAGATGGTAAATTTGATAATTTATAATAAAAAAAGGAAATTTTAGTTATCTAATTTGGCAATTTTCTTATTGTCAATACTTATTTAAAATATTGGGATTTGTAGAACTGATACACTAAAATTTGACAATTTGAAAATAACTTTTCCAAGTTTACTGGAAAATGTGAAGACTTGATTATATATAACAGCCTCTTCCAAGAGAAATAAGGCATTTCTTACTAGAGCATTATTTTTATTCTTTCTTTAGTTGGAATTGTAGCTAACCAATATATACTATTTAATAGATGATAGTTGAATGAATATTTGGCTCCTAAAGCTTTGCTGTGGGCTGCACTAAAATAAATAAATAAATATATATATATGTGTATATATATATATATATACATAAATATATATATATATATATTAAGATGGCTGTCTAAATGTCCCTGAATTATTTCTTGCCTACTTCTACCACACTTTTGTGTATGACCATGTATTGTAGTTAATCCATGCATGCAATTTAATATTTATTTGTTGATATTGTACTGAAAAGTTTTTTGAGATAGACTAAAACATTTGAACATTATGTTCTAATAAACTTATTTGCACAAACATCAGTTTGGGGGAGGGCATAATTTTTTTAAAAAATACAATGCTGTGTTTAGCAGTATTTAAGCTTATTTGCTGTTGCCTTTTGTGATGACAAAATATACTGCCTAAGAACTGTATTTCAAGACGGACATAGTGCAGATCAGAACTTTCTCATACCATTTTAAGTGAATTGGTTTTTCTTTAGTACACTTATGAAGACTAATTTATATAAAGCTGACTAGTGTAAAGGAGATCTGGAGATAGTTAAATTTTTATAGCTCAGAAATGGCAACTACTTCTTTATATAGACAGCACAAATGTATTTAACTTGATTAATTCTTTTATTTATTACTTTTTAAACTTTTATTTTAGATTCAGGGGTACATATGTAGGTTTCCTACACAGGTAAATTGGGTGTTAAAGGGGTTTGGGGTTCATTAGCTAGGTAATAATCATAAGACCTAATAGGTAGTTTTTCCAGTCTTAACCATCTTCCACCCTCCAACCTCAAGTAGATCCCAGTGTCTGTTGTTCCCTTTTTGTGTCCCTATGTACTCAATGTTTAGCTTCTATTGTAAGTGAGAACATGCACTACTTGGTTTTCTGTTCCTGCATTAGTTTGCTTAGGATAACGGTTTCCAGCTCCATCCACATTGCTGCAAGGGTCACAGTCTCATTCTTTTTTATGGCTGCATAATATTCCATGGTATATATGTATCTCATTTTCTTTATTCAGTCTACCATTGATGTGCATTTAAGTGAATTCCATGTCTTTGCTATTGTGAATAGTGCTGCAGTGAACATATGTGTGCATGTTTCTACCATAAGTGGTAGAATAATTTATATTCCTTTGGGTATATACCCAATAATGGGATTGCTGGGTCAAATGGTAATTCTATTTTAAGTTCTTGCAGAAATTTCCAAATTGCTTTCCACAGTGGTTGAACTAGTTTACATTTCCACCAGCAGTGCATAGGCATTTCCTTCTCTCCACAACCTTGCAGCATCTGTAATTTTTTTGACTTTTTAATAGTGGCCATTCTGACTGGTATGAGGTGGCATCTCATTGTGGTTTTGGTTTGCATTTCTCTAATGACAGCGATGTTGAGCATTTTTTCATATGCTTGTTGGCTATGTGTACGTCTTCTTTTGAAAAATGTCTGTTCATGTAATTTTCCCATCTTTAATGAGGTTGTTTTTACTTGAAAATTTGTTTCTTATAGATGCTAGATATTAGACGTTTGTCAAATGCATAGTTTGCAAATACTTTCTCACATTCTATAGGTTGTCAATATAATTTCTTTATGGTTTCTTTGTGCAGAAGCTTTTTAGCTTAATTAGGTCTCATTTGTTAATTTTTGCTTGTAGAAGTGTTGCACTGTGGCTGTCATGAGACCTAGGCACTATTGCCTAGGTAGTCCCCTTTTTCTTAAAACATTATAAACTAATATTCTGCAATTGTATTGGTAAAGAAATGAAAATAATCTGGGCTCTAATTATTATTATATCTTCATTAGTATTATACTATTCATTTTCCCTTCTGATCTTAAATTAAAATTAAGTCATTTCTGTGGGCCCCATATAATTATCGTAGGCTCTAGTCACTATGCCTGTAGTACATAATATACCAGCCCAGGTCAGAATTAACAACTTTTGTTTTGAACTTCCTTATTGCCACTGCAGGGGCCAAGGGAAAACTTTCCTTTTACCTTCTAAAGGTTCACAGAAAAAACAATTGATAAAAGGCAGATTAGTAGGAGAAATGCCATGTACATTTATTAATGTGCACAGGAGAGAACTGATACTGGTAGGCTAGGGGAGGTCCCGGAATGCCAGTGGGACCTCGACCCCAGCCAGTGTCCAGTATGTTGACACTGTCACAAGAAGAAATTTAAGGATGAGTTGGAAAATAGTGAAACTATTGAGATTTATTCCAAAGCGAAAGTACACACTCAAAAAAGGGGAGAGCAGGCATACTCAAGAGAAGGAGCCTCAAGGGCTCTGGGGCTTCTACCTTTATGGGTTTATTTAACTAAGGGGTGGAATATTCATGAAGATTCCTGGAAAAAGATGGAGATTTCTCAGAACTGTGGTGTGTCTCGCTTTTACACCAAATATGGGTATTCTTGAACTGTCATGGTGCTGAAGGGTGTATAATATTTTAAGGAGCATATAATGAGGTCCTAGGCGAAACCTGGATCAAATCTAGGATCTCTCATCATGTTGGTCCAGTTGGTCTTAGCCAGCTTGGCCCAGACCCTGGTTTTCAGGACCTTAGTGACCCCTAGCTTATGCAGTTACTTCAATAATTTCCTTTTTGCTAGTCATGAAAATTTGCTGTCTTGAATTTTCTATTCTCCTGTGACCACCCTGTCACAGGGTAATTATTCCTGTAGTATTCCTGTCTCGTCCCTTACCACCCCCCAAAGGTTTCCATTTCTTATTCTTAAGGGTTGGTTGATGAGGGAGGAGGTCAGTCTTCTGTATCTATTTTCTGCTGATTAGGAGTGATGGCCCTGCCTAGCAAGAGCATAGAAATCTCTGGCTGCCTGTTCTAAGGGTCAAAAGGGTGGGTCATTGGAAGAATCTGAACCCAAGGCAAGGATTGGTTGGAATCCTTGCATTGCCATCATTTTGACATGGAACCATTGAAACCTCAAAGATAAAAACTTTACGTGGAGGTTAAACAAGCAAGGACTAAAGATTAGGAGTAATAAGGTAGCCATTAAATGTCCCAGGAAAGGTAGATCAAACCATCTGGGATTCTTTCAAAGGGTATCTACTAAGTATGACATGGGAAGTATCCTTTGATAGAATCCCAGATGGTTTGAACAGTGGTGTTATTGAAATTATGTAGCCAGGTAGCCTGCTGATAAATCCTGTGAACTTGCAGTTCAACTAATCCTGAATTGTTAATATAAGAACAGCTGTTGTTTATTACTGTGCAAACCCCTCCATGTTCAGCTAGACAATAAAGACTCATGTTGTTTCCCTGACCATTCAAGCATTTCATTCTCTGGTTCTGTTAGGGCATCATACAATGGCTCAGCCAAATACTGAGACCCAAATCCTGCAAAATCCAGGAAAGTTCTGAGTTGCTTTGTGGAGGTAGCCACCTTTCATTCAATGGAGAAAGGCTGGTTTCCTGGGCTTAGCATGTACTCCTTTTTTTTTTTTGAGACTGAGTCTTGGTCTGTCGTCTCCACAGTGATTCTCCTGCCTCAGTCTCCCGAGTAGCTGGGATTACAGGCATGTGCCACCACACCCAGCTAATTTTTGTATTTTTAGTAGAGATGGGGTTTCACCATGTTGTCCAGAATGGCCTCGATCTCCTGATCTCATGATCTGGCTGCCTCGGCCTCCCAAAGTGCTGGGATTACAGGCATGAGCCACCAGGCCCAGCCTAGATATCTTACTTCTGGTTTAGAAATCTGGTCCTTGGATGGAGAGACTTGATACACTCTTTCTCTCAGAAAGTTTAGGAGTTGAATGGAATTCTTATCTGAGTCCCCTTTAGAGGAACTGCATAGAAGGATGTCATCCATATATTGGACTATGACTCCCCTTTCTAGCTCTAGCTCCCTTAATTCTCATGACAAAGTTTTTCTGTACAATCGAGGGCTATCCCTAAAGCCCAGAGTCAGTACTGTCCAGGTGTACTGCTGGGTAATATTAGTTCCACGATCAGCCCACTAAAAGCAAACAAATACTAAGACTCAGGGTACAAAAGGACACAAGAAAAGCATCATTAACATCTAACACCTTAAACCAATTGGTGTCTCACAGTATTTGGGTTAAGTATTGCATAAGGATTTGGCACTATAGGATGTAAAGTCATTACAGCCTCATTAATAGCTCATAAGTCTTAAACTATTAGGCTAGTGCAAAAGTAATGTCAGTTTTTACCATTACTTTTATAGCAGAAACTACAATTACTTTTGTACCAACTTAATACTTTATATTCTCCATTTGATTTTTGGATAGGGGGGACAGGAGTATTACCAAGAGACTGACACAGAATCAGAAATCCATGTTTTAAAAACTTTTCAATTAGAGGTTGGAGTCCTCCCCTGGCTTCTGGTTTGAGGGAATATTGATGCTTGTGTGGGAAATTATTTTTGTCTTTTAAAGAGATGATCACTGGCTTAGCATGTATTGCTTTGCCAGGGATTTCTTGATCCCACACTTGTGGGTCTGCTTGACACCTTGTTTTGGGAGGCTCTCTTGCTTTTCCGAGGCTGGGTTAGAATAAAACAAGGATTGCCAATAAAGAGGTTTCCCCAGGACCTGAGAAATATCGAAGGGTGGCTAGGAGGTCCTGTTCTAAAAGGGAGTGGGACGCTCAGTAAAACTAGAAGCTCATGAGTTACCACATAGTTTTCTAGCCTTCAGCACAGAGGCAAAATGAAGTTTTTGGTTTTGGGGTGCCATTAATACCAATGACAGTACAGCTTTCGGAGAATAAGGGCCCAGAGTGTCCTTTAGGACACAGTAACTAGCTCTTGTATAGATTTAAGAAATTAATATTCTTACCTGTCACGTCAGGAGTCACCCAGGGCTCCTCAGTTGTGACGACTACGTCTTTAGTGGGAGCCACCAGGAAGCTTAGACTTCATCAGTCCTCAGTTATGGCCATTGTGGCTTGCAGTGTCCTCTTCCCCCTTTGGGACTGAGGGCAATACCTTTTCTAATGGTCCCCTTGCTTGCAGTGAGGACAGTGGGTGAGCTCCCCTGGTGGGGAGAGTTCTTGCTCCCATGTCCTGGCCTTCCACATTTGAAGCGGCAATTATTACCTGCAGGTTTGCTGTTAACGCCTGTTTGGTCTGTGGGTGAGACGTCCCCCTCGGTGACCCTGAGATCGCAGGCCACTGCTTATAGTGACTGTTGTCATTTGGGCCGGCTGTTTATCCCACTGTTTGGCATGTGAGGTTCTTGCAGCCTTTTCAGCCCCATCTCTATTATTGAATACTCTGAAAACTACATCAAGCATTTTATAAATATGCGTTTGGAATCACAAAGCCAATTTCTGTAATTTTCTTCTGATTTTCAGGCACTGACTGGCTAATAAAGTGTGTGCTTAGTAAAATTTGGCCAACATCAATACCGGGGTCAATATTAGTATAATCTCTTAGGACCTCCACAAGGCACTCATGGAATAAAGCTGGGTTTTCATCCTTTCCTTGAGTTATTTACCTTATTTTATCAAAGTTCACATGCTTAGCGGAGCATTTTTTTCATCCCCACACTAAACGAGTCCGTGTGATTTCTTGTTCTTAGATCAGCTTGGCCCTGTTGATAGTTCCAATTAGGGTCATTGTTAGGCACAGATGTGGCCCCACACAGCCTATTGTTCAGGGTCCCCGGCTGACAAATGTCAGCATAAGCCTGTGCCTACACCAAAATACCCTGCTTTGCTTCACAGTTGCAATACTTGTACAAGATAATGTGCGTATCTCCCCAAGTTAACTCAAATGAGAGTAAGAGTGCCTGAAATTTCTCCGTTTAGTCAGGTCATCTGAAAATTGGCCCAACCTCTGTCTACATTGTGCTGAGTCAGACTCTGAAAAAGGCATATGTGCTAAAATGGTCCTAGCATCCCCACTGGCCACCTCCCTAAATAGGCATAACTTAAAATGACCAAGAAGGTAGAAAATGCTGCTGCAGACGACCCCAGAAGGGCTCTGTTCCCTTGGTAGGCAAGGGTATATAGGTTGGCACGGAAGTGGACTAGCAGGACTCTGGGCACTGGAGATGGTGGAACTAGCAAAAGAATGGGGACTTGAAGTGAAGGTGAGTAAGAGAGAGGAGCTGAGGGTGCTGGAATTGAGTCTGGGTTAAGAGGTGGGAGAAGGCTCTGGGGAGGTACATTTCCCAAGAGGGGATCCTCTAGGATAACTGTTTCTTGGTTTCCCTAAAGGGGTATGAGCATAACAAAGGCAGCAATTCCCAGGAAGGTCAGGATTCTGAAAAAATGCCATGAAGGCCTGTATACATGGTATTTCACTCCATTTTTTTCTGATGTATACAAAAAAGTTCTAATTGTAAGACTGTATTAAATTTTAGGGCCCTGTTCATTGGCCATTAAACCCCAGAGAGTTGCCCATGACCTTGACTTGTCTTTGGGTCAACCTGAAAAATAAGGGGGAAATAACAGGATGCTTCCCTCATGGAGGCACTGGTCCTGGCATTTTTGTGTCCAGGTGCATGAGCATGGCCCTTACAATTGGCCCACTCCATGGCCAGACCAGAGAGACATGTGTCCCTGTTTCTTTGGCTGATTGCCTTGGCATCCAGGCATTTCCTGGATCCCCAGTGTTGCCCAGGTATCCATGGCCTCTGGGGCTTTGAAAATAGGAAGGCCTTCAGGGTTGAGTGGGATGAATCGTGAGCCTATTTTGAAAGGGGCAAGCATGCTGATATGTGTCTGAATGTTTATCATCAAGTAAAACTTGAGATTAGAGATGATTCAGCATGGCCAATAAACAAGGACCTTGAAGAGACTCCTTTAGAACCATAGACTAAGTTTGGCATTCCAGAGGACAATATCTAAGTGGCCTGTCTTGCTGGGTTCAAAGAGTTTACTAAGCTTTTGTGTGAAATATGAGAAAGAAGCATGAGAAGAGAAAATCACAAAAGCAGGGTTTAAAGAGAGATAGGAAAGATAAAACAGTTCCCAACCAGGATCAGTGTCTTGGCACAGTTGGTCCCTTAGGAAAATGAAAGATGTTTCCCAGGAAAAAGTGATAGTGCTCCTTGAAAGCTGTCTAGCCACTGCACGGTATGGGACTTTACCCTACCATCCTCATTAGCCTTCCCTCAGGGAGGACCCTGGCATTTCAGAAACCTTCCCACTTTTGCTTGTTGTCTGTAAGTATAAACTGGGTTTTCCAGCTGGAAGGAGCAGAGGTGCTATGGCTGAGGGGAGTCATGCTGTAGTTTGTTTCTAGGAACAAGGAAGAAAGTAGGAGTAACTCTAGAGAGTGAGAATACTCTGACTCAGATTGGAGTGAGACTTACCAACTGCCAGTCGTTCTAAAATGGGGGTGATGATGCTCCTGGCTGGATGATGATAGAGAGATACCAGTGGGCTAGGGAGATCCCAAAATGTGATGAGACCTCAATTACAGCTGGCTGGTGTCAAGGCTCTTGACACTGTAGCAGGAAGCAATTCAAGGATTAGTGGGAATATCTTGAAAGTATGGACATTTATTGCAAAGCAAAAGTACACACTTAAAAACGGAAAGTGCGGGCTTTCTCTATTGAAGGAGTCATGCACAAAGGGGTTTGGGGGCTTCTACCTATCTTCTGCCTACCATGTCACACTTGATAGGTATCCTGTGATAGAATTCCAGGGGTTTGAACAGTGGGGTTATTGAAATTATGTAACCAGGTAGCATGTTAGTAAATATTTGGTTTTCTGTTCCTGCATTAGTATTTGGTTTGTGGATTTCTTTAGCCAAAGAGTAAAATATTTGTGAAGATTCCTAGAAAAAGGTATCTGTGGAACTGTGGTGCTACTAATTTCTTCACCAAATATGGATGGTCCCAGAAGTGTCATGGCACTGGTGGGTGTGCAATTTAGCATGTTAATGAGCAAATAATGATGTCCTAGGGGAAACATAAGTCAAATCCAAACTTATTTTGGATCCAGTGGGTCTTAGCCAGTTCTGCCCAAACCCTGGTTTTCCGGGTCTTAACAGCTGCTAGCTTATGCAGCTATTTCAACACTTTCTTTTTTGCTAGTTGTGTAAAACTGCTGTCTGAAATTTTCTATTCTAATGTGACCTCCTTGTATTATTCCTGTCTCAGAACCAGTAATTACCCCAGAGCAATTACCCCAAAAAACCAGAGCAATTACCCCAGACCCCAGTAAGATACAGAAGCTTACATATCATCTCGAGGTTACGGAGAGAATGCGGGCTTGGATCATGTCAAAACAGATGATAGTAGCAAAGCAGGTTATGGGCTAGGGGTAGAGGAGGCCTGGCTAGCAAAGGTGGTCTTGTTACATAGATGAAACCTCACAGGTAGCAGCCCTCAGAGAAAGTAGATGGTGAATGTTTCTTTCAGATCTTTAGAGATAATATAGTTTAGCTGTGTCCCCACCCAAATCTCAAATTGTATCTCCCAGAATACCCCTGTGTTGTGGGAGGGACATAATGGGAGGTAATTGAATCATGGGGCCCAGTCTTTCCCTTGCTATTCTTGTGATAGTGAATAAGTCTCATGAGATCTGAAGGGTTTATCAGGGGTTTCTGCTTTTGCTCCTTCCTCATTTTCTCTTGCCACCACCATGTGAGAAGTGCCTTTCACCTCCTGCTATGATTCTAAGGCCTCCCCAACCATGTGGAACTGTAAGTCCAATTAAACCTCTTTTTTTTCTCAGTCTTGGGTACGTGTGTATCAACAGCATGTAAACAGAATAATACAGTAAACTGGTACCAGAAGTGGGGTGTTGCTGAAAAGATATCTGAAAATATGGAAGCAACTTTGGAACTGGGTAACAGGCAGAGGTTAGAACAGTTTGGAGGGCTCGGAAGAAGACAGAAAAATGTGGGCTGGTTTGGACCTTCCTAGAGACTTTTTTAATGGCTTTGCCCAAAAGGCTGATAGCAATATGGACAATAAAATCCAGGCTAAGGTGGTCTCAGATGGAGATGAGGAACTTGTTGGGAACTGGAGCAAAGGTGATTTTTGTTATGTTTTAGCAAAGAGACTGGGGGCATTTTGCCCCCGCCCTAGAGAGTTGTGGAACTTTGAACTTGAGAGCGATGATTTAGGGTATCTGGAGGAAGAGATTTCTAAGCAGCAAAGCATTCAAGAGGTGACTTGGGTTCCATTAAAGGCACTCAGTTTTATAAAGGAAACAGAGCATAAAAGTTTGGAAAATTTGCAGCCTGACTATGTAATAGAAAAGAAAAACTCAATTTCTGGGGAAAAATTCATGCCAGCTGCAGAAATTTGCATAAGTAGCAAGGAGCCTAATGTTAATCCCCAAAACCATGAGGAAAATGTCTCCAGGCCATGTCAGAGACATTCACAGCGGCCCCTTCCATCGCAGGTCCAGAGGCCCTGGGGAAAAACTGGTCTCGTGGGCCAGGTCCAGGGTGCCTGTGCTGTGTGTAGCCTAGGGACTTCATCCCTTGTGTCCCAGCCACTCCAGCCATGGCCAAAAGGGGCCAATGTAGAGCTTGGGCTGTGGCTTCAGAGGGTGGAAGCCCCAGGCATTGGCAGCTTCCATGTGGTGTTGAGCCTGTGGGTACACAGAATTCAAGAACTGAGGGTTGGGAACCTCTGTCTAGATTTCAGAAGATGTATGGAAATACCTGGATGCCCAGGCAAAAGATTGTGGCAGCGGGGAGGCGCTCATGGAGAACCTCTTCTAGGGCAGTGCGGAAGGGAAATGTGGGGTCAGAGCCCCCACACAGAGCCCCTACTGGGGCACTGCTTAGTGGAGCTATGAGAAGAGGCCTGCTATCCTCCAGACACCAGAATGGTAGATGCACCAACAGCTTCCACCGTGTGCCTGGAAAAGCTGCAGACACTCAACACCAGCCCATGAAAGCTGTTGGGAGGCTGTACCCTGCAAAGCCACAGGAGCAGAGCTGTCCAAGACCATGGGAACCCACCTCTTTCATCAGTGTGACCTGCGTGTGAGACTTGGAGTCAAAAGAGATAATTTTGGAGCTTTTTTTTTGAGATGGAGTTTCGCTCTTGTTGCCCAGGCTGGAGTGCAGTGGCATGATCTCGGCTCATTGCAACCTCCGCCTCCTGGGTTCAAGAGATTCTCCTGCCTCAGCCTCCAGAGTAGCTGGGAATACAGGTGCATGCCACTATGCCTGGCTAATTTTTGTATTTTTAATAGAGACTGTGTTTCACCACGTTGGCCAAGATGTTCTCGATCTCCTGACCTTGAGATCTGCCTGCCTCAGCCTCCCAACATTTTGGAGCTTCAAAATGTGACTGCACTGCTGGATTTCAGACTTGCATGGGCCCTGCAACCCCTTTGTTTTGGCTAATCTCTTCCCTTTGGAATGGCTATATTTACCCAATACCTGTACCTCCATGTATCTAGGAAGTAACTAGCTTGCTTTTGATTTGACAGGCTTAGAGGTGGAGGGGACTTGCCTTGTCTTAGATGAAACTTTGGACTGTGGACTTTTGGATTAATGCTGAAATGAGTTAAGACTTTGGAGTATTCTTGGGAAGGCATGATTGGTTTTGAAAGGTGAGGACATGAGATTTGGAGGGGCCAGAGGCAGAATTATATAGTTTGGCTGTGTCCCCACCCAAATCTCAACTTGATTCATATCTCCCAGATTTCCTTCATGTTGTGGGAGGGACCCAGGGGGAGGTAATTGAATCATGGGGGCCGGTCCTTCCTGTGCTAGTCTCATCATAGTGAATATGTCTCACAAGATCTGATGGGTTTATCAGGGGTTTCTGCTTTTGCTTCTTCCCCATTTTCTCTTGCTGCCACCATGTAGGAAGTGCCTTTCACCTCCCGCCATGATTCTGAGGCCTCCACAACCATGTATAAGTCCAACTAATCCTCTTTTTCCTCCCAGTCTCAGGTATATCTGTCTTGCTCAACAGCATGTAAACAGAAATAATAGAAGAGGTGTCAAACTCTCAGTTAATCTTTCCTAGGTTGGACAAGGAAATGCCTCGAGAAAGTCTGGCTGCATCAATGTAGATTCTCTACAGATGCAAACATCCCCCCCACCAAAAAAAAACCCCTGGCTTTTTAGCTCTTCTTACATAACAAGCTATTCTAAGTAGCCATCTTAAACTGTGTGAAGGAAATCTATTTTGCAAAAAAATATTTTGGTTTCCTTCACCACTTTTCATCCACCTGCCTGAAGAGTTGGTTCAGCACTGAGTTTTGAATAACACAAAGCAGCAATTCATCCTTGTTTATTGGTTACTCCTTTTAAGTAATAACTATTTAAAGATTTTGAGGTCATAAAGTCAGTGAGTGGATAGAAATAAATACTACTTCTGTGGTAGTAAGTAATAGGCAAACAGTCTAGCAAAACATGCCTCTCCATTAACACTTTGGTTGAAAATTAACAGACACTATTTTTTTTTTTTTGAGACGGAGTTTTGCTTTTGTTGCCCAGGCTGGAATGCAAAGGTGCAATCTCGGCTCACTGCAACCTCTGTCTCCTAGGTTCAAGCAATTCTCCTGCCTCAGCCTCCCGAGTAGCTGGGATTACAGGCATGTGCCACGATGCCCGGCTAATTTTGTACTTTATGTAGAGACGTGGTTTCGCCATGTTGGTCAGTCTGGTCTCAAACTCCCAACCTCAGGTGATCTGCGTGTCTTGGCCTCCCAAAGTGCTGGGATTACAGGCGTGAGCCACCGCGCCCGGCCACATTCTTTATGAAGGGGTAAAGGAGTTATGTCTTAGTAAAAATATTTTAATCTGTTTTTTATAATAAATATCCTATCAAGCATTCAAATGCCACTGGTTGATGTGGTGTTATAATACTATGAACAATCCCAATGTGTTATTGAAATTATGATACAAAGGAATTATAGAAGTTAACATTATTAGATTTCTTGGCCCAAAATATATAGCTTAAAGATCTGTTAGCTCTTTCCTCTTTATTCATTGGTATTGATAATCTTTGGATATCATAGAAAAATATAAAATATACCAGAAAAATATGAAATATATTGATCTTTCCATACTTCAGATGCTTGCTGTCAGATAATTTACAACCGAACGGAAAAAAAGATGCTAAATTTTCATTAATACAAAATGACAATTTTTAAAGATATAAGACAAAGTTTGATTGAAATTTTCAGTGGACATATCAGTGCATATATAGATGTACATGTTCATGTAAATATTTAGAAACCACCAAAATAGTCTGTACTTTCCAAAGGAAAAACATTATGTTTCAGAAAAATTTGCATTGATATAATTGCAAATGTACTATTGAATTCCACAGTGAGAATCAACAACTGACTGATTCATTCAGCTATGCATTTGCAACAGCTTTGAGATGAAAATGTGATGAATTTTAACAGTAAATTGTGAAGCCTAAAGTGTTTATAGCAGTCCTACAGCTAAGTAGCATCATATTTCAGCTGATTTTATTTGTAATACCCACTGAGCCTGAGCAACATTAAAAAGTCTAGTTTTTTCAGGAGACATTGCTATTTATAATTGGTTTCTCACATTGTCCCTCTGCTGAAGAAATGAGTATTTACTTTACCTTCAAGTATTCCTGCAAGTCAAGTCTACTGACAATAATTTTATATATGAAAGGAGAAGCATTGTAGAAAGAGGGTGAGTCTTGAGTTTAGACAATACTGAGCTTGCATGCTGTCTCAGCCAGGATTCAACTATAGGTAGACTGTTTTCAAAATGTATGCTCTCAGCAGTTATGCTATGTGGTGTCTTAGAAATTGAGTCCATCCTCCCCTTCCCTGTACCCTGCAAAGAATAAATGGAGAGAGAAGGAACTTCTGGGCACATTTAGGTTATTGTTGCTAGAGTTTGGTAATGTGTCTCACGTTTTCCCTATGTATACCTCATTAATTCTCATGTACATGCACATACATACACTGACACACAAGGTAGAGGAAAAGAGTATCTGTTTTTGGCAAAGGGACTTCCGTACACCACATGCAGGAATGTATTGATCAAGGTTGAAATTATTAGCTTCTGTAACAGTTTTCAAATCTCAGTGGCTTGATGTAAGAAATGTTTATTTCTCACTCACTTAAAAAAAGTCACTGGGAGTTAGGTTTTCCTGGTTTCCCTTTAACCTTTAAAGGAATGTCATGGTCACTCTGTCTTTAACTTCTTATAGCTAGTGGCACTGAAAGCTGTATTCTTCCTATACCTGAAGCAAAGCATGACAAATTAGAAAATATAAAGAGTTTTAGTCCTGATTTTCCAAAACGTTTGGGATTTTAAATGTTTCTGCCTATAGGTCCAGGATCTACTGTCTTCTATGGTATGCCTTCTAGGTACCCAGGGACCATGCAGTGTACAAAGGTGGTGAGTAGGGGGAGTTGGCAATAGGAGCTGTCAGCCCACCCAAGGAGAAGTATTAACTGATATTGCTAATGTATGGTGATCATAAAATCAGATTGAATTTCAGTTTTGTTATTCTTTTTATTTAATAAAATAATTTATGAAATTATATACCTTTTTGTTGTCTGTACCCAGAGCAGATACCTCCCCAGTCGTCCTCTTGGTATGCACTGGAGACACTCTAAACCCAGTATGTACTATTTGTACAATGGAAACCACATTTGAAGAACTGGATTTTAGATTTGGATTCTCCATCTAGTACTCAAGTTTACTACTAGGCTTGAAGATCCATCCCTAATCCTAGCTTGCTGTGCAGGGGTGGAAGGGTCCTGAGTGGTTTCAATTTGATTCCCAGTTAGTATTTAGCAAAAGCTTTTTTAAATCATTTTTTGTTTGTTTGTTTCTAAAACTAAACTAAAAGCAAAGCAAAACAAAAAATTCTGTAGGTTATATCTTCCTTTCTTTCTTGAGCTCTACGTTTATCCACGTTAACAAGAGCTAACACTTTGATTTACTTGACCAGATTATCTGGAAGCTTGATGTTTGTCCTGTTTAATTTAGAATATGTTCAATTCCAGGATGTCATAAACTGCTGTGTTTTGTCTAAAAGATTAATATGTTCTCTCCCACCACCATTACCTCCTGTTGAACGGAACCACAACTAAATGCACCTTACTTTTAAAAATGAGTTCTACATATCGTGGTTTTCTTTCCTGTTTTTGACTTTCTGAAGTTGCTTCAGTTTTCCAGACTCTACTTGCAGCCAACCTCATGTCTAGTCCTCCTCAGTAATAAATGAGATGCAGATATTTCTAATTAAGACATAAACATAAGATAAATATTCTCTTTATGCCAAACATAAAGCTATCAAGAAAAGTAACTCAGCCATATCTAGATTTGAAAACTGTAACCTGGCCTACCTAGCACAGGGGCTCACAACTGTAATCCTAGAACTTTGGGAGGCTGAGTTGGGGGAGGATCACTTGAGGCCAGGAGTTTGATATCAGCCTGAGCAACATAGGGAGGGCTTGTCTCTACAGAAGAAAATAGAAAGATTAGCTAAATGTGGTGACACACACCTGACCATCTTCTGGGAGGCTGAGGCAGTAGGATCACTTGATTCCAGCAGTTCAGGGTTATAGTGAGCTGTGATCACACCACTGTCCTCCAGCCTAGGCAACAAAGAGAGGACCGTGTCTCTAAGAAAAAACATAAATGAAAATTTAAAAAAAATCCTCTGAGTTCTTTAAAAGCATTTTTCTTAGGATTTTATCTCTTTCAAGGAACAAGTTAGGATAATGAAAAATTTTAAGATCATGTCTAATATGGCAGGAAAAATACATACATGGATATTATATACTACCTATCTTGTATCAGCCTTTTTGAAAAGTTTCTTTTTGATGTAGGAAAGGAATGATTATCTGTATTGGTGAGAAATATTATTCTTTGAAAAATAAAATTTTCAGAGAATCTAGACATTGGCTTCTCCCAGTAGTTGAAATTTCATTCCTCATGAAACATTCCACTAACGCTTTTTATTTTCCTTATATGTCTTGAGACATAGAAGTAGAAATTCTCAAAAGTCTGTTTTCTCGAGAAAACAAAAGGAGAACAGGGACTGCTTTTAATCATCCAAAGGTAAAACAAATTCCAATGTAACACTGATCAACTGTACTTTGTGATGACTCAAACCTTTAGTAAGAATTGGAAAAATAGATAATCTGACAGTGTTCAAATGACAACAAAATTGCTAGTCAAAGAGTAAAAAACTGTGATCAGATAGCAACTATTCAAGTTGACTACATATTAGACAGTATAGTTAGAATGATGGGGAATAGATAGAAGACCCCTATGCCTTTAGGCTAAACAAATGTTATGGGAGAATTCTGCTTGAATTATTTTTATTATAAAGTTATGTTACTCTTTTCCCGCCCTGTTCTCACAATCCAAAGAACCATCTGATTATTTTGCTGTTCTAAAAAGCAAAATACCTTTGTTTACATAATAACAGTATGGCCAGCAGGGAAGCATGAGAGTTAACAATTCATTTTGTTTTAAGGGATCAAATAAAACAACTATTTTATTTATTTATTTTTAACTTTTATTTTAAGTTCAGGGGTACAAGTGCAGGTTTATTACATAGGTAAACTTATATCATGAGGGTTTGTAGTACAGATTATTTCATGACCCAGGTATTAAGCCTAGAACTCACTGGTTAATTTTTCTTGATCCTCTCCCTCCTCCCAACCTCCACCCTCCAATAAGCCCCAGTGTGTGTTGTTCCCCTCTGTGTGTCCATGTGTTCTCATCCTTTAGCTCCTACTTGTCAGTGAGAACATTTGGTATTTGGTTTTTTGTTCCTGTATTAGTTTGCTTAGGATAATGGCCTCCAGATCCATCCATGTCCCTGCAGAGGATAAGATCTCATTCTTTTTTATGGCTGCATAGTATTCCGTGGTGTATATGTAACATATTTTCTTTATCAGAGTTAGATCCCTTGACTCTCAAGATACCTTATTTCTATTCAAACTAATTTTTCAATAATTCACAACAGAGAGACTGAATACACATGTAAACACTGGCCAGGTGATTCATGGCACTAGAACTCTGACTCACATAAGAAACTCAGCAAGTCAAATCATAGCCTCTGCAGCAGTCAAGAACCATCACCTTCCCAGTTTTTATCCCACAGTGCAACTAAGGACTAACCAGAAAAAAAACCAGTATGCTCCCCAAATAAACATAAGGTGTTCTGTTTATCTCTAGTCCACCTCCAGTTTCCATATGCTGACAATCTCCCATCAGATGTTAACTGAAACCTACCCTTTTTAAATTATAACACGTCCATTTTCCTTGATAGCATTTAAATTCTGCCAAACACAAGTGTTATAACTAGCCTGAATAACTGGCTTCTGTGTGTTCCCACTTAGGTGGACTTTATTTCCTCACACCATATATTCTTCCTTTTGGCCAGGTTGGTCTCTTTACCATCCCGCAGATTGAGAAGCTTGCACCACAAGCTTGGACTCCTTATTTACTCTCTTCCTACAATGTCAAGTGCCTCCAGTCCTTTCAGCTCAGCCCAATTCTATCCACCCATCAAGCTCTTCCTCATGTTCCAACTCTGCTTTGAACATATTTTTCATAATCCAGTAACTCCAAGATCTACACTTCTTATCTGACCTTTTGTGGCCTTAAATATCTGCACTAAACTCACCAAATACTTGGTGTCTATTTTTCTTTAACCAGCAGAGTCACATTTATGTGCTCTCTGATAATGTAAACCACCAATTCAGAGAAGTACCATATAGGACTGCATTGGGAAGTGAGTGATACAGTTCAAATGCCATATTGAAAAAAACACGAGAATAACAGTGTCTTTGGAGCTCATGATAGTTTTATTCTTGCTTATAGGAATTTGCTACATGTAGAAAAGTTTGCCTTTTCTAACTCTCCACAAGGGTCTATGATGTTGAGAGCGAAGAACAGAAACCCTTGAGAAGAAATGTTTATAATGTGTTATGAATACATGGGAGATATATATGTGTGTCTCGTGTGTGTGTATGTGCATGTGGGTGTGTGGTGTTTGCCTTCAGAGTGAATATAAATAATGAGAAAATTAATCCTTAACACACACACACACACACTTTTCCTTTCATTTATTCTAAAAGTTAAAAATTGCGATTAGCACGGAGATCTTGGTTTTGCTTACCTGGGCTAACACTGTGGTTCTTAGATGGTTCAGTTTATCATTAGGAAGTCTCCAATTCTCATTCAGCTGAGGAACTCAAGGTATATAATATTTTCCTTCTTTTTTATGTGGAAAAACTATACATTTGATAAATATTAAAAATATACCTTAAAGACCTTAAGACCCCATGGAATTTTTCATTACTTTATGTAGGATGATTTATCCTGTTAAAAATACATGTGTTAATTATGGGCTCATGGATTTTCAGATGGCTTACATGTTAATTAGCTATAGACATTGCTGTATATTTTATGTTCAAATTATCTCAATTTTAGTCAGTGGAAGTTTGCTTTAGATTTGTTCTTATGTCCTTTTGCCATGACTTGAATAGTCTTTGAAAGTTTCTTGGTTTCTGGAGCAAGAGGTTGTACCAAGCTCTCCTTCATGTTCTTCTGCCTCAAATATGAAATAAGGAGAATAAATATTATCTGAAGAACTCTGGAGATTCTTGGTAAAATATTTGAGAAAAAAATGGCATCTAGGCTCTGGGGAATACTGTGGAATAACAGTATTTGAGACACTTCAGTGGAAAAAAAAAACTAGAGGAAACGTGTTATTATTTTGACTCTTGTAAAGTCATATTGATCATTTCTATTTAGTATCAACAAAATTTTTTTTCTATTTAAATGTTAGATAATATAATTGTTTCTCTTTCCATTTTTTATTCTGAAAGTAGTGGTTGCTAACAAACTGTATAATTATATTTCTTCTTCAATTAAAATGCCAACATTAGTTTCAAAACAAGGCATTTATACCAAAATATAACTACAGAATAGAATTTATCCCTTTCTACGTACTTCCTTGTTTTTAAATAGTGTTTAACACATTGGATGTTTATTCAAATTATTTTATTCTATATTAGAGGCTAGATAAGTGCCTGATGGATAGTTTGGTTTACTTTCACTTGATTCCAGTTATTTCTCTTCTGAGGCATTGACCTTCCACAGCTCTGTTCCTAGAAACTAGAGTCTCTCAGTCCCTCATTTTTTCTTAGTGGAGATAGCCCCTGGGTTAGAGAAGAAGGTTCACTCTACCTGTCCACTGTAAGACTTGGATAACTCTCATTTTCCCCACATCTAACAGTCTTCAAGGAGATCTCTGTCTCTTTCTTTGTACATATATATGTATGTGTAAGAGAAAGAGTGTGAGAGAGAGATTTATGAATGATTTAATATATTCTGCTTCCTATTATTTTTTAGTAATATAAATATTTTTGCTATTTATTAATTTTATCTCTAACAGATCATATCTTAATATTACAGCCTTAAAATATGTATTGTTCTTTTGTGAGCTAAAATTCTTTATTATATACAACAATCCTTTTTCAGTTTAAAAAATTATCCCATCTGTTATTATAACAAAGATTATAATATACAAATCTAATTAATTTCAATAACATTCTTGACCTAATACCAGTTATAGCTTTACCTTTCTGCAGGGAATCAAGCTGGTATCCAGTATCTTAGAATTCCATATTATTAAAAAAGAGCATATTAATGAAGGCTCTTTAAATTTTGCCTGAACTAATTTTTTTCTCTCATGGGTCAAAATTCAGTTTTTCATCCTTATGATTGGTATTTCCACATAAATTATGGGCAAGTCTGCTGTAAAAATTGAGTTTCTCAGACATCATTTACTAAGTATAGACATCTATAACCTTATTAATTCATGGGTTTAAAAATGATTCAAGCAAATAAAAACTGTTGTAAAATACAACCATAACATAAATTAGGTTCAACTAATTTTGAAATATAGT
Organism: Homo sapiens; assembly: GCF_000001405.40. NCBI lineage: Eukaryota > Metazoa > Chordata > Mammalia > Primates > Hominidae > Homo > Homo sapiens. Next base: position 116,173,879 of record NC_000002.12, read on the forward strand.
AACAGAGAAATACTAAACCAAACCAGAAAAAAAAGGTGGAAACTCTTGTAGAGTCATGTGATTTTTGGATTATGCCCTGTAAAACCATTTTCCACATGATGCCCGTGTTTGCAGTTATAACGTATTGAAATTGCAATTCTGTGTTTTTTCATCACATTTACATGTAGCTTTAGAAATTTAGTATTAGTGAAGAAAATAAAATTTGTATATGGAATTCAATATTTCACATTTTGCAATAAACTCATAACTACAGATCAAAAACAAACAGAATATTGGCATAAGGTAAAATGATAAAATGTCTATTATCATAGAATTATTTAGTTAAAACATTATTTAAATATGAAGGACATTGATTAAGATAACTCCAGGCCGGGCGTGGTGGCTCACACCTGTAATCCCAGCACATTCGGAGGCTGATGTGGGTGGATCATTTGATGCCAGGAGTTCATAACCAGTCTGGCCAACGTGGTGAAACCCCAACTCAAATAAAAATACAAAAATTAGCTGGGTATGATGGTGCACGCCTGTAATCCCAGCTACTCAGGAGGCTGAGGCAGGAGTTTTACTTGAACCTGCTAGGCAGAGGTAGCAGTGAGCTGATATCATGACACTGCAGTCCAGCCTGGGCAACAGTGAGACTCTGTGTCCCACCTGCACTCAAAAGAAGATAACTCCAAATTAGAATTAATGTTTAGGAAAAAAGTGGTTAAGAACTTGTTTTTATTAATGGGGACAGAGGTTCTAAACTCAACCCCTCATTATTTCAGAATCAGAGAGCTGCCACTTTGTTTTTCTAAGAACCTAGACTCAGGCCTAAATCTCTTATTATTTCTTTGACCTGTAGCTTCTTTCTGTCAAATCAAATGTTATTTTTAAAATTTAACTTAAAATCTATTAGAAAAACATTTTTTGAACATAATTTAATTCATATGTATTTTTCTTTTATATACAGAAATGTAGTGTCATTATTTTTGGCTACAAATCAAACAACATTCAATTAACATCTTCAAATTTATCACATTTTAAACTCTGTATTATTTATATATGAATCAATGTATACATAATTTGGAGTTCAGCTTTCCAAACAGACAGTTCTTACAAAAATTTATAATACTTCTAGCTTTGTGTTTGTGTGTATATAAGGTAGTGGAAATTCTTTATTTGCAAAACTCACTTGTTTATTGTTGTTTATATTTAAATTTGAGGTTGTACTCCATATTCCTGCTAGGTTAACATTCTTTATTAAAATAAAAACTAAAATGCAAATAACTTATCTATTTCTCGGTACTTTGTAGTCTATTTTTACTGTGAAAAGGATAGTCTATTGCTATGTATTACCAATTACCTAAGTCAAAACCTGGTAATTAATGTAGAAGTTATATTCACAAAAATATACTTCTGCTCAGAGAGAATTTTTGTTTTTTTATGATGTGAGAGAGTCTTTACTAGAGTATAAAACTTATTTTGTTAAATACTCTGGGGTAATATTTAATCTATTACTTCTAGGCTGTGTCTTCTCAAAACTTCAGAAACCTTGCTGATACATTTTGGGGGTTTAACATTTCATTGAGGTAATTTGATACAAGACTTTTAGTTATTTTTTAAATTAAGGTTTCTATATTTAACAAATATATAGGTTACCTCATTAAGTTGAAATTTCAGATAAATAACGATAAATTTTGTACAAGAATATTCAAAGTATTATTTCATCCTTAAATTATAGGTATATAATTTAAAATCTATAAATAGACATATATTACTGTGATATGTCCCATATAATCTTTGGAACATACTTATGTAAATAAAAAAATCAATTGTTGTTTATCTGAAATTCAAATTTAACTGGTTGTCCTGTATTTTATCTAGCAAAGTCTTGGTGCAAGTTTGGTTTTAAGTCTATAAGCAAATCCAAATGTGTTTTCTTGGTTGTTTGTTTTATCTTGCTTTGTTTCATCCTGCTAATAAGATTTTTAAGTTTTACCAAATATTGTGTTTGTGAGAATGGCAACTGACAATTTGTGTGTGTGTGTGTGTGCACGCATGTGTGTAAATCTTATCTTTCCTCAGATATCATGACACAATCTGGCCAGGATTTTAATTTTTTGGATTATTCTTTTACATATATCAGAACATCTGTTCCCATGGGAAAAAAGAAAAATTGCCCATTTTGGATCATTTATGGAATGCTAATTCCAAATTAATTTGAATGGAGAATGTAATCATTGAAAATGAATCAGCAGGGCAGGGACTTCTTAAAAACTTAACTAGAGAGTTACAAAAGAGAGGTTTATTTGTTGTATTGTTGGTTGGTTTTTTAATACAGATATCTATAAAAAGTTTAGTCATTGCAAAGAAAACAACAAAACACGTGGTTTTTGGTTTGTTTTTTGTTTTCTTTGTGAACCACAGGTGAAAATTGCTAGAGCCTCCAGGGACAACAAGCAAACAGACAGACATCCTCAGTTTATGATTTCTATCTTAAGACACAAATCTTTCTGAACTGAAAGCAGGTCATATATAAAGCATAAGTTTGGATCCCTTGGAAGCAGAAAAAATGTATATTTGGTCTTTGTTCTTTCGTCCAAATCACTACTTTGAAAGCTCCAGTATTATTCCACAATTTTGACAGATCCATATTATTCCATATCCTGACATTACTACACATAAATGCTGTGAACAAAAGATGACAAATTTGGCATGTTAAAATAATACTTTATGCTTCTGGAATCCACTCAGGAAATTATAGAAATAGAAATTACATTGTTTTCAAAATTACAATGAAAGCAAAATTTGGACAAATAACAAGTCTGTGACTTTTTTTCCAACACGCTTTAGTGACAAGGTCACTAGACAACAACTGGCACCAAAGCTAAGTAGACACTAACAGCCACCAGGGAGATCAGTGGCAGACAGGAGCACTGTTTTAACTAGAAAAATAAAGGCAGCAGGACACGGTTTAGAACATTTGAGTTTGGGAGACTGGTGAGTTGGTGGAAAGGGAGTGAAGCTGCTGGGGTCCAAAAATATAGGGGGAGCCTATGTACTGTTGTTAGCTTTTGTTCAGTAAAGCTCACTGGGTACTCGCTGACAATCTTGGGAGAGTCTTGAGATAATTTTCCTTGGGATGCAAAAATCACAAAGAAAAAGAACTACCATCGCAGGAAAGGCAAAATTCCAGTGAAATTCTTCCCCCCATCTCTCTTACAGAATAAAAGCCAGAATCTTTGACAAGAAGGCCATTAGCATACTGGAGAAAGCCCGTTGCAGCTAGAGGAGTAAACTGAAAAATCCCCTCTACTACAAAAAAAGGGTAGAAATATATGTTGGTCAAAGAACTATAGTTAGGGCAGGGGCAGGAGTACTGACAAAACTATACCCCTAATATCCTGAGAAATGGTGCCTTCCTATGTTTGAAGCATAATCAGGGCATCACATAACTGTCTCCTTTTTACCCTGCCCGTGTCCAGGCTTAAAAGCAGTAAATCAAACAACTAACTGCAAAAGGCAGACTCTCATGAAGTATAGAGCAAGAATCAGAAACAGATGCAGATATGACAAAGAAACAGATGCAGATATGACAAAGATGTTGAATTATGTGAAATGGGATCAAAATAATCATGATTATTAAGTTAAAGGTTCTAATGGAAGATGGACAACATTAAAAATTAGGTGGAATTCTAGAAAAAAAAGAGGAAACAGAAAGAATCAACTAGGGGGAAATAACAGGAAAAATGCCTTAGTTGTACTCATCAGTAGACTTGATGTAGAAAGGAAATAAATATGTGAATTTGAAGATAGGTTTATAGAAATTATTGAAAGTCAAACTTCAAAAGTATAAAAAAGTTATCAAAAGAAAAACACAACCACAATTTTCTAGGCCATTGTTAAACAGTAACAAATACGTGATAGAATCCGTGAAGGAGAAGCTAGAAGAATGAGGAGGAAGAAATATTTAAAGAAATGATAGCTAAGAATTTTTCAAAATTAAAAACAATGTTCTAAGAATCTCAGAGGACACCAAGCAGGATAAAATAAAAATGACAAACCAAACACCACCACCAAAATATTTGAAAGCAGAAAAAGGGAAAATTTTCTAACAGAAGAATATAGATGACAATTATAAACGAATTTCTCAGAAATCATGCCAGCTGTAAAAATAACATATCATTTTTAAACTACTAAAACATTTGAAAACCTAACTGCCAACCTATCATTCTATAAAAAGCAAAAATATTTTTCAAAGAATAAAAATTAATACTTTTCCTAGACAAATTAAACCTGGGAGAATTTCTTGTCAGAAGACCAACAATAAATGTTTAAACCTGCAAGAAATTTTAGAAATTCTTCAGGCAAAAGGAATATAACACTGTAACTTGGATCTATATGAAGAATTTTTTTTAAAGATAAACTAAGACAAAAATATTAGCAATATATAGTACATGACACAGTAATGCAAAAGATGAATAGATTTGGGAATGCACTGTTATGTTGCTCTACTATTCATGAAGCAGCATGGTATTATTTGGAGGCATAATTTAAACATTTTAGCAATCACTATAAATATTTTAAAAGATAGACTTAATAAACCAATAAAGTAGATTTTAAAAATCCTAAAAATTTCCTTAATTAGCCATGAAAGACAGGAAAACAGAGGATGAAGAATATATAATAGGTAGAAAAATAGAAGGAGACAATGGTAGATTTTAATTCAATGATATTAATAAGCACTCTAAGTATGAATGGCATAAAAATTACTGATAAGACAGAGATTGTAAAATTGCATTACAAATCGAGATCCAATATGTTATCCCTACAAAATCTCACTTTAAACATAAGGACACAGGTAAGCTAAAGATAAACAGCTGTAAAATATTATTAAAACAATAACCAAAATAAATAAAGCAAAAGCAGCAATATTAGTTTCACTCGTGTCCGTGTGAAGAGACCACCAAACAGGCTTTGTGTGAGCAATAAAGCTTTTTAATCACCTGGGTGCAGGCAGGCTGAGTCCGAAGAGAGAGTCAGCGAAGGGAGATAGGGGTGGGGCCGTTTTATAAGATTGGGGTAGGTAAAGGAATATTACAGTCAAAGGGGGGTTGTTCTCTGGTGGGCAGGAGTGGGGGGTCACAAGGTGCTCAGTGGGGGAGCTTTTTTGAGCCAGGATGAGCCAGGAAAAGGAAAGGTAATGTCATCACTTAAGGCAAGGACTGCCCATTTTCACTTCTTTTGTGGTGGAATGTCATCAGCTAAGGCAGGAACAGGCCATTTTCACTTCTTTTGTGATTCTTCAGTTACTTCAGGCCATCTGGGCATATACGTGCAGGTCACAGGGGATGCGATGGCTTAGTTTGGGCTCAGAGGCCTGACAATTAGTATCAGAAAAGTAAGTTTCCAAAAACAAATAAGAATAAAAAGAAACATCATTTAATTATAAAAGGACTATTTTTCTAAGACAAAAATTCTAAATGCACATGCACTTAATAATTGGTATCAAAATACATAGACTAAAAGAAGAAATGGAGAAATCCACAGTCGTAAATGCAGACTTCAACACTCCTTTGCAGTAATTGATAGAAAAAGTAGTCAGAAAAATAGTAAGGATATTGAATATATGACCCAAATTGCCATTCAATTTGACCTAATTTAAAATTTGTTAAACACTTCACCCCAAAGTATTAGAACACACATTTTGTCAAGAATTCTTAGGCCATAATAAAACCAAAAAAAAAACCATATGAATTAAAAATTAAGTCTAAATGGAACTTAAGTGGAATGAAAATGAACCATGTCAAAATTTGTGAATGCAGTGAAAAGCAATGCTCACAGAGAAATTCATAGCATTACCTACTTATATTGAGAAAATAAAAATATTCTCAAAACAGTATTCTAAGCTTCCACCATCAAGAAACTAGTAAAGGGACAACAAATAAAACTCAAATGTAGCAAGAGAAAGAAAGTAATAAATACCAGAAATTAATAAAATTGAAAAGAAAAATAACTGAGGAAAGGTAATGAAACCAATTGTCAAGAATTCTTAGGCCATAAGCTGTTCAGTTGTTAAAAATGAAGAAAGCTGTTCAGTTGTTAAAAATGAAGAAAAAAAAGCACTGGCAACAAAAAAAATTCAATTTTGGCTTCATCACCGTTAAAAATTTCTATGCATTGAATAGCACTATTAAGTGAATGAAAAGACAAGCTGCTAAATAGGAAAAAAGAATTTGCAAATTACTTATCTAATAGGAGGTTAATTTCCAGAATATACAACGAAGTCCTACAACTCAACAGCAAAAACCAAACAAGCCAATACAAAAAAAAAAGGACTCGAATAGTTCATTGCTCCAAAGAAGATATGCAGATGGCTAATAAGCACATGAAAAGATGCTAAACCTCACTAGTCATTTGGGAAATGCCAATCTAAACTTCAATGAGATGCCTCCCCACACAAAATAGGTTGGCTATTATTAAGAAGAGAAAACAACAGGTGTTGGTGAAGACGTGGAGAAATTAAAACTTTTGTGTTTTGTTCTTGGGAACATAAAATGATGCAATTGCTATAGAAAATAATTTACATGTTTCTCAAAAAGTTAAACATAGAATTATCTATGATCCAGTCATTTCATTTCTAGGTGTATATATTTGTGCACTAACATTCATGGCAGTATTATTCACAGCAGCCAAAAGATGGAAACAACGCAAATATCCTTCAAAAGTTAGATAAACAAAATGTGGTATATATACAATGGAACATTTAGCCTTAAAAAGAATAAAATTCTGATACATGCTATGACATGAGTAAAGTTAAAGGCATTAGGCTAAGTTAGATAAACCGCATGCAAAGGATAAATATTGTATTATTATGCTTATATGAGGTACTCACAATAGCCAAACTTTTAGAGACAGAAAATAGAACCAATGTTACCCTAGGCTTGGTATAGTGGGAATGAGGAATTAATTGCTTAATAGGTAGAGTTTCTGTTTGCTGTAATAAAATGTTCTGGAAATGACTAGTGAATAGTTGTAAAACATTGTGAATGTATTTGATGCCACTGAATTGTATACTTAAAAAATCAAAAAGTAACTTTTTTTGTTATTTATATCTTACCCCAATAAAAAATACCATTTAGCAAAAATGTTCTGTTTTCCCAGTTTGACAAAATGGTATGTTTTTTTGAGCTGTGAAATATCTTTGAAATACATTGTTATTGAAAGATTACTTAAATGTACACATATTTATAATTTCTGTTATATTACATTTATATATCTATTTGGTTTAATTTATAGGCAGTAAAATATATGTCTTAACTGTACAGTCCAAACATATTTGAAAAAAATGCATGCATCCATGTAACTCACATCATAAAACATTTCTATCATCCCACAAAGTTGTGTGTTATGCTCACTCAACACACTTTGAAATCACTATTTTATCATTGATGAATTTTGTTCTTCTAAAACTTCATATAAATGGAATAATACAGTGTATTATTTAGTATCTTGCTTCTTTCACTTAACATGTTTTGAGGTTCATCCATGTCATTATGCAAATCAGTAGTATGCATATAAATAGTATTTCATTATATGGTTATATTTATCCATTCTTTAAAAAAATTAGATTTTAAAATTTTTGTGGATACATAGTAGGTATGTATATTTATGGGGTACCTGAGATGTTTTGATACAGGCATACAATGTTAAATAACCACATCTTAAAGAATGGGATATCCTTGCCCTCAAGCATTTGTCTTTTAAGTTATAAACAATCCAATTACATTCTTTAGTTATTTTAAAATATACAATTATTTTTGACTTCAGTCACCATAAGGTGCTCTCAAATAGTAGGTGTTATTCATTCTTTCTGTTTTTTCTTTTTTACCCATTAATCATCCCTACCTTCTACCCGCAACCCTCACTACCCTTCCTAGCCTCTGGTAACCGTGCTTCTACTTTTTATGTCCATGAGTTCAACTGATTTTTATTTTTAGATTCCACAAATAAGTGAGAGTATGCAATGTTTTTGTTTCTGTCTCTGGCTTATTTCGCTTAACATAGTGATCTCCAGTTCCATCCATGTTATTGCGGATGACTGAATCTCATTCTTTTTTATGGCTGCATGGTGTTCCACTGTGTATATGTATCACATTTTCTTTATCCATTCATCTGTTGATGGACACTTAGGTTTCTTCCAAATCTTAGCTATTGTAAACAGTGCTGCAACAAATGTAGGAGTACAGATATCTCTTTGATATATTGAGTTCCTTTCTTTTGGGTACATACCCAGCAGTGAGATTGCTGGATCATATGGTAGCTCTATTTTTAGTTTTTTGAGGAACCTCCAAACTGCTTTCTATAGTGGTTGTACTAATTAAATTCCCACCAACAGTTTACAAGGGTTCCCTTTTCTCCGCATCCTTGCCAGCACTTCGTATTACCTGTCTTTTGGATATAAGCCATTTTAACTGGGGTGAGATGATATCTAATTATAGTTTTGATGTGCATTTATCTGATGATCAATGATGTTGGGCACCTTTTCATATGCCCACTTGCCATTTGTATGTCTTCTTTTGAAAAATATCTGTTCAAATATTTGCTTACTTTATTGGATTATTAGATTTTTTTTTCCTATAGAGTTGTTTGTGCTCCTTACATATACTGGTGATTCCTCCCTTATCAGAGTGATAGTTTGCGAATATTTTCTCCCATTGTGTGGGTTGTCTGTTCACTTTTTGATTGTATACTTTACTGTTTAGAAACTTTTTAACTTCGTGTGATCCCGTTTGTCCATGATTGCTTTGGTTGCCTGTGTTTGTTTGTGGAGTATTGATCAAGAAATCTTTGCCCACACCAATGTTGTGGACATTTTCCCCAATGTTTTCTTGTAGTAGATTCATGGTTTGATGTCTTGGATTTAAGCCTTTAATTCATTTTGATAGAATTTTTATTTTCTGAAAGATAAGGGTCAAGTCTCTTCTGCTTATGGACATCCAGTTTTCCAAGCACCATTTATTGAAGAGACTCATTTTTTCCCCAGGGTATGTTATGGCACCTTTGTCCAAATGAGCTCACTGTAAGTGTGTGGATTTGTTTCTGGGTTCTCTATTCTGTTTTATCATTCTATGTGTCTGTTTTTATGCCACTACAATGCTATTTTGGTTACTATAGCTCTGTAGTATAAGAAGAAGTCTGGTAATGTAATTTATCTAGATTTTTTTTTTTTTTTTTTTTTTAGCTTTGACTATTCTTGGTTTTTCTGTAGTTCCATACAAATTTTAGGAATGCTTTTTCCATTTCTGTGAAGACCATCATTGGTATTTTGATAAGGATTGCATTGAATCTATAGATTATGCTTTGCGTATTATGAACATTTTAACAATATTGAGTCTCCCAATTAATGAACATAATTTTTTTTTCATTTTTTGATGTCCTCTTCAATTTTTTTCATCAGTGTTTTAAAGTTTTCATTACAGAGATCTTTCACTTCTTTAATTTCTAAGTATTTAATTTTATGTGTGGCGATTCTAAGTTAGATTTTTTTATTCCTTTTTTTTCAGAATGTTCACTATTGACATAGAGAAATGCTACAGATTTTTGTATGTTGATTTTGTATTTTCCCACTTTATTTTTTTAATCAGTTCTAATAGTTTTCTTGTGGATTCTTTAGGTTTTTCCAAATATAAGATTATATAATCTGCAAAACAGGATATTTTGACTTGTTCCATTCCAATTTGTATGCCCTTAATATCTTTCTCTTGTCTGATTGCTCTAGCTAGGACTTTCAGTACTGTGTTGAGTAACAGTGGTGACAGTGCCATTCTTGTGGTGTACCAGATCTTAAGAGGAAAGGCTTTCAGGTGTTCCCCATTCCATGTGATACTTTTCATACAAGTCCGTGTGAAGAGACCACTAAACAGGCTTTGTGTGAGCAGCAAGGCTGTTTATTTCACCTGGGTGCAGGCGGGCTGAGTCCAAAAAGAGAGTCAGCAAAGGGAGATAGGCGTGGGGCCGTTGTATAAGATTTGGGTAGGTAAAGGAAAATTACAGTCAAAGGGTGGTTGTTCTCTGGCGGGCAGGGGTGGGGGTCATAAGGTGCTCAGTAGGGGAGCTTTTGAGCCAGGATGAGCCAGAAGAAGGAATTTCACAAGATAATGTCATCAGTTAAGGCAGGAACAGGCCATTTTCACTTCTTTTGTGGTGGAATGTCATCAGTTAAGGCAGGAACTGGCCATCTGGATGTGTACGTGCAGGTCGCAAGGGATATGATAGCTTAGCTTGGGCTCAGGGGCCTGACATTCCTGTCTTCTTATATTAATAAGAAAAATAAAATGAAATAGTGGTAAAACGTTGGGATGGCGAAAATTTTGGGGGCTGGTATGGAGAGATAATGGGCGATGTTTCTCAGGGCTGCTTGGAGCAGGATTAGGTTAGGCGTGGGAACCTAGAGTGGGAGAGATTAAGCTGAAGGAAGATTTTGTGGTAAGGGGTGATATTGTGGGGTTGTTAGAAGAAACGTTTGTCACTTAGAATTATTGGTGATGGCCTGGATATGGTTTTGTATGAATTGAAAAACTAAACGGAATAAGAGAAGGAGAAAAACAGGTATTAAGTGTCTAAGAATTGGGAGGACCTAGGACATTTAATTAGAGAGTGCCTAAGGAGATTCAGCATAGTCCTGCCAGCAAAGATTATTTATTTACTCTAAGAGTTAAGAATGGCAGTTGGGGATAGCACCAGGAGATATCAGCTGTCATGGGTTGGAGAAACGGTGTAACCTGACAGTGTAAACAAGAGCAGGGCATGTATGAGTAGTTGAGAACGGTGAATAGGAGTATGACTACACAGAAGATAGTAGGGATGACAAGTTTTTTGGGGCACAATTTAAGTTGGTCTGGTGTCTGGAATGAGACTTGGGGCTTAATTAAAAGGAGTGTCCATACAGGAGCTCAAATGGGCTGTACCTTGTAGCATTCCAAGGACAGGCCTGAATTCTGAGAAGGGAAAGTGGTAAAAGTATTGTCTAGTCCCATTTAAGTTGGTGGCTGAGCTTGGTGAGGTGTGTTTTTAAAAGACTATTAGTGTGTTCTACTTTTCCTGAAGACTGAGGACTATAAGGGATATAAAGATTTCACTGAATACTAAGAGCCTGAAAAAATGCTTGGCTGATTTGGCTAATAAAGGCCGGTCTGCTATCGGACTACATAGAGGTGGGAAGGCCAAACTGAGGAATGATGTCTGACAGAAGGGAAGAAATGACCGTGGTGGCCTTCTCAGACCCTGTAGGAAAGGCCTCTACTTATCCAGTGAAAGTGTCTACCTAGATTAAGAGGTATTTTACTTTTCTGACTCGGGGCACATGAGTAAAATCAATTTGCCAGTTCTGGGCAGGGGCAAATCCTCGAGCTTGATGTGTAGGAAAGGGAGGAGGCCTGAACAATCCTTGAGGGTTAGTAGAATAGCAGATGGAACACTGAGAAGTGATTTCTTTGAGGATAGATTTCCAGGATGGAAAGGAAATGAGAGGTTCTAAGAGACGGGCTAGCGGCTTATAATCTACATGGAAGAGGTTATGAAATGACGACAGAATAGAATGGGCCTGTGGGGCTGGAAGGAGATATTTTCCTTGGTCTAAGAACTATTTGCCTTGTGTGGGAAGAGATTGATAGGTGGGAGTGACCGATGTGAAGGAGAAAAACTGGCCATGAGGGACAGAAGTTGGAAAGCTAGCTGCTTGTCTAGCCACCTTATCAGTGTAAGTGTTGCCTAGAGCAATGGGATCTGACGCCTTTTGATGGCCTTTGCAGTGAATGACTCCAGCTTCTTTTGGAAGTAAAGCGACCTTGAGCAGAGTTTTTATTAAAGAGGCATTAATGATGGAGGATCTTTGCGTAGTCAGGAAACTTCTTTCAGCCTATATAACAGCATGGTGGTGCAGAATATGAAAGGCATATTTAGAGTCAGTATAAATACTGATGAGTAGTCCTTTTGCAAGAGTGAGGGCTTGAGTTAAGGCAAGTAGTTCAGCTTGCTGAGAGGTAGTAGAGGTGGGCAGAGCAGTAGCCTCAATGATAGATGTGGAAGATACTATAGCATAGCCTGCCTTTGCTGGTGAGTGGCGATTAGGCCTGGTGGAACTGCCATCAATAAACTAAATGTGATCAGGGTGAGGAACAGGAAATAAGGAAATATGAGGAAATGGGGTTAATGTCAGGTGGATCAGACAGATACAGTCATGGGGGTCAGGTGTGGTATCCAGAATAATGTGGGAGGCCGGATTGAAGTCCGTGCCAGGAACAATGGTAATTGTGGGAGACTCAACAAAGAGTGAGTATAGCTGAAGGAGCCTGGAAGCAGAAAGTATATGCATCAGGTATGAGGAAGAAAATAGATTTTGGAAGTTATGAGAACTGCAGAGAGTGAGTTGAGCATAGTTTGTGATTTTTAGGGCCTCTAAAAGTATTAAGGCAGTGGCAGCCGCTGCATGCAGGCATGAGGGCTAGGCTAAAACAGTAAGGTCAAGTTGTTTGGACAGGAAGGTTACAGGGTGCGGTCCTGGCTCTTGTGTAAGAATTCTGACCACACTAACCATGCCTAGGAAGGAAAGGAGTTGTTGTTTTGTAGAAGGGATTGAGGTTTGGGAGATTAGTCGAACACGATCAGCAGGGAGAGCACGTGTGTTTTTATGAGAATTATGCCGAAATAGGTAACAGATGAGGATGAAATTTGGGCTTGACCGAAGTAATGGGGGCTATCTGTGAAGCCTTGTGGCAGTACAGCGTAGGTAATTTGCTGAGCCTGATGGGTGTCGGGGTCAGTCTAAGTGAAAGCGAAGAGAGGCTGGGATGAAAGGTGCAAAGGAATAGTAAAGAAAGCATGTTTGAGATACAGAACAGAATAATGGATTGTGGAGGGAGGTATTGAGGATAGGAGAGTATATGGGTTTGGCACTATGGGGTGGATAGGCAAAACAATTTGGTTGATAAGGCACAGATCCTGAACTAACTTGTAAGGCTTGTCTGGTTTTAGGACAGGTAAAATGGGGGAATTGTAAGGAGAGTCTATAGGCTTTAAAAGGCCATGCTGTAGCAGGTGAGTGATAAGAGGCTTTAATCTTTTTAAAGCACCCTGCGGGATGGGATATTGGCTTTGAGCGGGGTAAGGGTGATTAGGCTTTAACAAGATGGTAAGGAGTGCATGATGGGTCACCAAGGAGGGAGTAGAGGTATCTTATACTTGTGGGTTAAGGTGGGGGGATACAAGAAGAAGAGGCAAAGGAGGCTTTGGATTGGGAACAAGGGCAGCAATGAGATGTGGCTGTAGTCCAGGAATAGTCAGGGAAGCAGATAATTTAGTTAAAGTGTCTTGGCCTAATAAGGGAATTGGGCAGGTGGGGAAAACTAAAAGAGTGCTTAAAAAAGTATTGTCTAAGTTGGCACCAGAGTTGGGGAGTTTTAAGAGGTTTAGTAGCCTGGCTGTCAATACCTACAACAGTTATGGAGGCAAGGGAAACAGGCCTTTGAAAAGAAGGTAATGTGGAGTGGGTAGCCTCCATATTGATTAAGAAGGGGACTGACTTACCTTCTACTGTGAGAGTTACCTGATGCTTGGCATCCGTGATGGTTTAGGGGGCTTCTGAGGCGATCGGGCAGTGTCAGTCTTCAGCTGCTAAGCCAAGAAGATCTGGGAAGGAGTCAGTCGGAGTGCCTTGGGCCAGAGTTCCAGGGGCTCTGGGAGTGGCTACCAGGTGAGTTGAACAGTCCGGTTTTCATTGGGGTCCCACACAGATGGGATGGGGCTTAGGAGGAATCCCAGGCTGCGGGCATTCCTTGGCCTGGTGGCCAGATTTCCGGCACTTGTAGCAAGCTCCTGGGGGAGGAGGTTCTGGAGGAATCCCTGGCCACTGTGGTTCAGGCGTTTGGAAGTTCTTGTGTGCTGGAGATGTGGCTGGGGTTTCTCTCACAGTGGAGGCAAGGAATTGCAACTTTTTTCTATTATTGTACATCTTGAAGGCGAGATTAAGTCCCATTGCGGTGTTTGAGGGCCGGAATTTAATTTTTGGAGCTTTATTTAAAGTCGGGAGTGGATTGGGTAATAAAATGTATATTGAGAATAAGACGGCCTTTTGACCTTTTAGGGTCTAGGGCTGTCAAGCGTCTCAGGGTTGCTGCCAAACAAGCCGTGAACTGGGCTGGGTTTTTATATTTGATGAAAAAGAGCCTAAACGCTATCTGATTTGGGATAAAGAAAAAGGAGCATTAACTTTGAGTATGCCTTTAGCTCCAGCCACCTTTTTAAGAGGAAATTGCTGGGCAGGTGGGGGAGGGCCAGTCACGGAACGAAACTGTAAGCTGGACAGGGTGTGAGGAGGGGAAGGGATAAAAGGATTATAGGGTGGAGGAACAGAGGCTGAGGAAGAATTGGGACCTAGCTCAGCCTGGCGAGGAGGGGAGAGGTCAGATAGGTCTATATAAAAGGAAGATTAGAAAGACTCAGCAATGCTTGGGGTTGGGACTGAGGGGACAGGTGGGAGGGAAGGAAGATTTGGGATGAGTTGCATTGGGAACAGAGACTAGGGAGGGACCGATGTGTAAAAGAATGCCTGGACATCAGGCATCTCAGACTATTTGCCTATTTTACGACAAGAATTATTTAGATCTTGTAGGATGGAAAAATTGAAAGTGCCATTTTCTGGCTATTTGGAACCACTGTCGAGTTTGTATTGGGGTCAAGCGGCATTGTAGAAGAAAATAAGGTGTTTAGGTTTTAGGTCAGGTGTGAGTTGAAGGGATTTTGTCTTCTTGAGAACACAGTCTAAGGGAGAAGAAGGAGGAATGGAGGGTGGACGCTTGCCTATAGCGAAGGAGGCAAGTTTAAAGAGAAGGATAGAGACATGGAGAAGGAGGTGGTGAGCAGCCCTGGGCTGCAATGTGGGTGAGCAGTCAAAGCCGGCGTCCCTGCAGTTGACTTGCCACCAAGGATACATGGGTGAATGATCAAGGCAGGTGTCCCCGTGGAGATCAGACACAAATGGAACATGGCTGAATAAGAGAGCCGTTCCTGCAATGATTAAACAGCAAGGGAAGGCTGCCTCCCCAAGTCCGTGACTGGCACCAGAGTTTTGGGTCCACAGATAAAATGTGTCTCCTTTGTCTCTACCAGAAAATGAAAGGAATTGAAATTAAGAGAAGGGAGAGATTGAAGTGTGGCGCCAAGATTGAAAGGAGAAAGAGGTTGAGGGATAGTGAGGGAGGTTGGAGAAGAGAGTAAAAAGAGGCCGCTTACTGGATTTGAAATTGGTGAGACGTTCCTTGGGCTGGTTGGTCTGAGGATCTGAGGTCGTAGGTGGATCTTTCTCACGGAGCAAAGAGCAGGAGGACAGGGGATTGATCTCCCAAGGGAGGTCTCCCGATCTGAGTCACGGCACCAAATTTCATGCGTGTCCTTTTGAAGAGACCACCAAACAGGCTTTGCGTGAGCAACAAGGCTGTTTATTTCACCTGGGTGCAGGCAGGCTGAGTCCAAAAAGAGAGTCAGCAAAGGGAGATAGGGGTAGGGCCATTTTATAAGATTTGGGTAGCTAAAGGAAAATTACACTCAAAGGGGGGTTGTTCTCTGGCGGGCAGGGGTGGGGGTCACAAGGTGTTCAGTAGGGGAGCTTTTGAGCCAGGATGAGCCAGGAGAAGGAATTTCACAAGATAATGTCATCAGTTAAGGCAGGAACAGGCCATTTTCACTTCTTTTGTGGTGGAATGTCATCAGTTAAGCAGGAACTGGCCATCTGGATGTGTACGTGCAGGTCACAGGGGATATGATAGCTTAGCTTGGGCTCAGGGGCCTGACAATACTAGCTATGGGTCTGTCTTATATAGCTTTTATTATGTAGAGTTATGTTCTTTCTATACCCAGTTTGTTGGAGATTTTTTTTTTATTATTCTGAAGGGATGTTGAATTTTATCAAATGCGTTTTCAGCATCAATTGAAATGACCATATGGTTTTTATCTTTCATTGTGTTATGATGTATCATATTGATCGATTTGCATATGTTGAATCATCCTTGCATCCTAGTAATAAATTCCACTTGGTCATATGTGTGACCTTTCAAATATGTTGTTGAATTTGGATTGCTAATAACTTGTTGAGAATTTTTGCACGAACATTGATCAGAGATATTGACCTGTAGTTTTCAATTTTTGATAGGTCTTTGTCCGGTTTTGGTATCAGGGTAATTCTGGCCTTAAAGAGTGAATTTGGAAGTATTTCCTCCTCCTCTATTTTTCAGAATAATTTCAGTAGGATTGGTATTAGTTCTTGAGTAGGATTGGTATAATTCAGCAGTAAAGCCATCAAGTCCTGGGACGTTCTTTACTGGAATACTTTTTATTATGGCTTTGATCTCGTTACTTGTTATTGGTCTGTTCAGGTTTTGGATTTCTTCCTGTTTTAATCTTGGTAGATTGTATGTATCTAGAAATTTGTCCATTTCTTCTAGATTTTCCAATTTATTGGCATGTAGTTGCTCATACCCAGTCACTAATGATCTTTTGAATTTCTACAGTATCTGATGTAATATCTCCTTTTTCATTTCTGATTTTCTCAGAAAATCAATAAAACTTTAATTTTTTTGTCTTTCTATTTTATCTTTCTGTTTTTGATCTTTTCTTCTTAGTCTGTTTCACTCGTGTCTGTGTGAAGAGACCACCAAACAGGCTTTTTGTGAGCAATAAAGCTTTTTAATCTCCTGGGTGCAGGTGGGCTGAGTCTGAAAAGAGAGTCAGGGAAGGGAGATGGGGTGGGGCCATTTTATAAGATTTGGGTAGGTAAAGGAAAATTACAGTCAAAGGGGGGTTCTCTGGCTGGCAGGGGTAGGGGTCACAAGGTGCTCAGTTGGGGAGCTTTTGAGCCAGGATGAGCCAGGAAAAGGAATTTCACAAGGTAATGTTATCAGTTAAGGCAGGAACAGGCCATTTTCACTTATTTTGTGGTGGAATGTCATCAGTTAAGGCAGGAGCAGGCCATCTGGATGTGTACGTGCAGGTCACAGGGGATATGATGGCTTAGCTTTGGCTCAGAGGCCTGACAGTCTGGCTAACGGTTTGTCAATTTTGTTTAACTTTTCACAAAACTCATTTTTTGTTTCATTGATCTTTTTAGTGTCTTTAAAATTCAATTTCATTTATTTATGCTCTGGTCTTTATTACTTCTTTTATTTGGGTGTTGAAGTCTCCAGCTCTTATTATATTGGGGCCTCTCTTTTTAACTCTAATAATATTTTCTTTATATATCTGGGTGTTCCTGTGTTTGCTGCATATATATTTAAAATTATTATCCTTTTGCTGAACTGACCCCTTTATCATTTTATAACAACCTTCTTTGTCTCTTATAGTTTTTCTCTTGAAATCTCTTTTGTCTGATATGTATATAGTAACTTCTGCTTGTTTTTGGTTTCCATTGGCATGAAATTCTTTTTCTATCCCTTTATTTTTAGTCTATGTGTGTCTTTATAGGCGAAGTGTGTTTCTTGTAAGAAACAGATAAATGAGTCTTGTTTTTTCTTTCATTCAGCCATTCTACAGCTTTTGATTGGAGAGTTTCATCCATTTACATTCAACATATTACGAATAAGTAAGGACTTACTCCTGACATTTTGTTACTTGTTTTCTGGTTGTTTTGTGGCCTTCTCTTTCTTTCATTCTTGTCTTTCTCTAGTGAAGAAGATTTGCTCTGGTGATATGATTTAGTTTCTTTCTTTTTATTTTTTCTGTATCCATTGTATGTTTTGTAGTTTGAGGTCACCATGAGGCTTGCAAATACTGTACTTATTATTTTAACCTAATAACAATATTCTCTGTATAAACAAGCAAGCAAAACAAAAACTAATAAAAATTCACCTTAACTTTGTCCTCGAACTTTTAAACTTTTTATTGTTTCCATTTATATATTTTTGTACTATGTCCTACAAAGTTTTTGTAGTTATTATTTCTTATTGGTTCATTGTTTAGTCTTTCTACTCAGGATAAGAGTAGTTTACACACCATAGTTACATTGTTATAGTATTCTGTGTTTTTCTGTGTGCTTACTATTACCAGTAAGTTTTATACCTTCAGGTAATTATTTATTGCTTATTAATATCCTTTTCCTTCTGATTGAAGTAGTAAAGGTCTGGCATTTCCATATAGGAAAGGTTGTAGCATTTCTTGTAGGAAAGGTCTGGTACTGATAAAATTCCCCAGCTTTTGCTTATTTCTCCTTCAGCTTGAATGACATTTTTGCCAGATATACTATTCTAGGGCAAAAGTTATTTTCCTTCAGCACTTTAAATATGTCATGCCATTCTCTCTTGGCCTGTAAGGTTTCCACTAAAAAGTGTTCTGAAAGACATATTGTAGCTCCGTTTTATGTTATTTGCTTGTTTTCTCTTCCTGCTTTTAGAATCCTTTCTTTATCCTTGACCTTTAGGAGTCTGATTATTAAATTCCTTGAGGCAATCTTCTTTGGGTTAAATCTGCTTGGTGTTCTATAACCTTCTTGTACTTGGATATTGAAATCTTTCTCTAGAATTGGGAAATTCTCTGTTATTATACCTTTGAAAAAGCTTTCTATCTGTATCACTCTACCTCCTCGTTAAGACCAATAACTCTTAGATTTGCCCATTTGAGGATATTTTCTACATCCTCTAAGCCTGTTTCTTTTTTATTTTTATTTTTTGCCTCCCCTGATTATGTATTTTAAAATAGCTTGCCTTTAAGATCACTAATTATGTCTTCTCCTTGATCCATTCTGCTATTAAAGGACTCTGATGCATTCTTCAGTATGCCAGTTGTATTATTCAGCTCCAGTATTTCTGCTTATTTTTAATTATTTCCATCTCTTTGTTAAGCTTTTCTATTTCTGAGTTACTTCTCTGTGTTATTTTGAATTTATTTGAGTTTCCTTAAAACAACTATTGTGAATTCTGTGTCTGAAGGATCACATATCTGATTCACCAGGATTGCTCCTTGGTGCCTTATTTAGTTCATTTGGTAAGTTCATGTTTTCCTGGCTGACACTGATGCTAGTAGATGTTCTTTTGTGTCTGAGCATTGAATAATTAGGTATTTATTGTAATCTTCACTGTCTGGGCTTACTTGTAGTTTTCCTTTTGGGGTAGCCTTTCCAGATATTTGAAAGGACTTGAGTGTTGTGATCTAAACTGTTTCTACTTTGGGAGGCACCCTAGCCAAGTAATTCTGTGGTTCTTGCAGACTCATAGATGGACTGTCTTGATTATGTTGGACATGTTCTGGGAGAATTCTCTCATTTACCAGGCAAAGACTCTTGTTCCCTTCCCTTACCTTGTCGCAAACATACAGAGTCTCTGTCTCTGTTCTGAGCCACCTAAAGCTGGAGGTGGTGTGTATTAGTCCATTTTCACCCTGCTATAAAGAAATACCTGTGACTGTGTAATTTACAAAGGAAGGAGGTTTAATGGATTCACAGTTCCTTGGGAGGCCTTATGAAACTTAGTGTCATGGTGGAAGGTGAAAGAGAAGCAAAGGCACATCTTACATGGTGGAAGGCAAGAAAAGCATGTGTGAAAAGCAAAGGCGTAGGAGCCCCTTATAAAACCATCAGATCTTGTGAGAACTCACTCACTGTCACAAGAAAAGCATGGGGGAAATTGCCCCCATGATCCAATCACCTCCCTCAAGGTCTCTCCTTCAACACCTTGGGATTACAATTCAAGATGACATCTGAGTGGGGACACAGAGCCTAACCATATTTCTCTGCCTGTAGTCCCTCCCAAAATCTCCTATTCTCACATTTCAAAACACAATCATGCCTTCCCAACAGTTCACAAAATTCTTAACTCATTTTAGCATTAACTCAAAAGTCCAAGTCCAAAATCCCATCTGTGACAAGTCAAGTTCCTTCTGCTTAGGAGCCCATAAAATCAAAAGCAAGTTAGTTACCTCCAAGACACAATGGAATATAGGAATTGGATAAATGCTCTCATGCCAAATGGGATAAATAGGCCAAAACAAAGGGGCTATACAGGCTCCATGCAAGTCCAAAATCCAACAGGGCAGTCATTAAATCTTAAAGCTCCAAAATGATATCCTTTGACTCCGTGTCTCACATCCAGGTCACACTGATGGAAGAGGTGGGCCCTCACAGCCTTGGGCAGCTCTGCCACCATGGCTTTGCAGGGTATAGCCCCCTCACCCAGCTGCTTTCATGGCTCGCATTGTCTGTGACTTTTCCTGATGCAAGGTTCAAGCTGTCAGTGGATCTACCATTCTGGGGTCTGGAGGATGGTGGTCCTCTTCTTACAGCTCCACTAGGCAGCATCCTAGTCGGGACTCTGTGGGGGGGGCTCCAACCCCACATTTCTTCTTTGCATTACCCTAGCAGATTCTCCATGAGAGCTTCGCCCCTGCAGCAGAGTTCTACCTGAACAACCATCTGTTTCCATACCATACATCCTCTAAAGTCTAGGCAGAGGTTCCCAAAGCTCAATTCTTGACTTCGGTGCATCTGCAGCCGCAACACCACATGGAAGCTGCCAAGTGCCTTGGGGCTTGCACCCTGTGAAGCAATGGCCTGAGCTGTACATTGGCCCCTTTTAGCCATGGCTAGGACTTAAGGCACCAAGTACCTACACTGCACAAAGCAGTTGGCCCAGGAAACAATTTTGTCCTCTGAGGCTTTGGCCCTGTGTTAGGAGGGGCTGCTGTGAAAACCTCTGACATGCCTTGGAGACATTTTCCATATCGTTTTAGTAATTAACATTTGACTCCTCATTTCTTAGGCAAATTTCTGCAGTGGGTTTGAATTTCTCCCAGAAAAATGGGTTTTTCTTTTCTGCTGCATCATCAAGCTGCAAATTTTCCAAACTTTGATGCTCTGCTTCCTTTTTAAACATAAGTTCCAATTTCAGATCATCTCTCTCAAGTTCCAGTTCCACAGATCTCTAACTGTGGAGACAGGGGCAAAATGCCACCAGTCTCTTTGCTGAAGCATAGCAAGAGTGATCTTTGCTTCAGTTCTGAATGAGTTTCTCACCTCCATCTCAGACCACCTCAACCTGGACTTCATTTTCAACCTCACTATATCAGCATTTTGGTCAAAACCGTTAAACAAGTCTTTGGAAAGTTCCAAATTTTCCCACGTCTTCCTGTGTTCTTCTGAGCCCTCCAAACTGTTCCAACCTCTGCCTGTTACCCAGTTCCAAAGTCACTTCCACATTTTTAAGTATCTTTGTAGCAGTGTCCCACTACCTTGGTAACAATTTACTGTATTAATTCGTTTTCACACTGCTATAAAGAAATATCCAAGACTGGGTAATTTATAAAGGAAGGAGGTTTAATCGACTCACAGTTCCGAGGGCTGGGAAGGCCTTAAGAAACTTACAATCATGGCAGAAGGTGAAGGAGAAGCAAAGGCACATCTTACATGATGCCAGGTCAGAGAACCATGTGTCAAAAGCAAAGGGGGGCAGATCCCCTTATAAAACCATCAGATCTTGTGAGAACTCACTCTCTATCATTAGAATAGCATGGGGGAAGCAGCCCCCGTGATCCAATCACCTCCCACCAGGCCTCTCCCTTAGCACCTGGGGATTACAATTCAAGAAGAGATGTTAGTGGGAACACAAAGCCTAACCATAGCATGGAGTGACACAAGCACCCCTGTGGCTACCACCACTATGACTACACTGGTCAGACCTGAAGCCCGCACAGCATTGGGTCTCACCCACAGCCTGCTGTAACCACTCCCTGGCTACTGCCCATGTTCACTCAAGGACCCAAGGGTCTACAATCACCAGATGGCAAAGCCAGCCAGACCAGCCTTATGTCCTTTGCCTCAGGGTGGTGAAGTCGCCCAGGCCCCACGTGGATCTAGAAGTGCCATCTGGGAGTGAGGGACTAGTGTCAAAAACCTTAGCAATCTACCTGGTATTCTATTGTATTG
The DNA here is from genome assembly GCF_000001405.40 of Homo sapiens. Lineage (NCBI taxonomy): Eukaryota > Metazoa > Chordata > Mammalia > Primates > Hominidae > Homo > Homo sapiens. The sequence goes on from NC_000002.12 coordinate 116,195,822, forward strand.
TAGCTGAGCTGACACTCAACACCACAAGATGCAGTCCTTTCCACTCTTCCTTCCCCTTGCCAAAAGCCGAGGAGCCACACCCCATAGTCACCACCACCCCGGCACAAGAAGTACTGCCATACCACTGCCAATGTTCCCTTAAGGCCCAAGGTTCTTGAGTCAGTTTATGGTGAATGCTGTGTGCCCTAGGACTCACCCTTCAGGGCAGTGGGCTTCCTTCTGGCCCAAGCAATGTCCAGAAATTCTAAGAGTCAATTCCTGGAATTGGGGACCCCAAGAACCTGCTTGGTACCCTTCCCCACTGTGGCAGTGTTGATACCTGGAGCCAGCAAGTCATGAGAGGCTCACAGGGGCCCTTGATGTAATACCTGGGTATCACCGCTGGTTATCCAGAACCCAGGGGCTTTTCAGTTAGCAGGTAATAAATGCTGGCAGGACCGGGTCAATTTCTTTAAGGCAGTGGGTTTCCTCCTGGCCCAGGATGTGTCTAAAAATGTCCCCTGGGAGCTAGGGCCTAGAAAAGGGGCCTCATGACTTTGACAGGTTTCCTGTCCTGCTGTGGCTGAGCTGGTAACCAAGAGGTAAGACAGTTTTCCCTACTCTTCTCTCTGTCCTCCTCAGGTGGAAGGATGGGATCTCTTTTGGAGCTGGGGGCTAGAAGAGGGGTGATGCCAGCACTCCCTTGGCTGCTTCGGCTGGTGTCTCAGTGTGTTGCCTGCCCCCCTCCCATTCCGCTGTCTCTGGGCCTAGTTCAGCCCAAGGAATTGCATAAGAGTTGTGGTCTTTATGGCCTAGACTGCCTTTCAGGTTTACACAGAGACTGAGAATACTTTGGCCCTTGGTGTCAAGGTTTGTGGGCACTGGAGTTCAGACCTCTGAGACCAGTGATTTCCCTCTGGATAGGGGAATGCTCCTTCTGTGTGTTGGTGTCAGCTGAGTTTGGTCTGATTATTTTTTCTCTGAAAGGACAGCACTGAGTTTGATGCCTCACAATTCCTGTATTTTTCTTCCCCAGTGTCCAGAGAGGCTCTCCACACCCACCCTGCGGCTGCCACTGGGGATGGGGAGGGGTGGCGTCAGTAATTCAGGACTGTTTTTTCTCCTCACTGCGTCTTTCAGCAATACAAAGTTAAAACCAGGTACTGTAAGTACTTGCCTCAGTTTTGGTTCTCATGAAGGTGTTTCTTTCTGTGTAGGTAGTTGTTAACTTGGTGTCCTTGAAAGGGGTATAATTGGTGGAGCTTTTTCTTCCACCATCTTGCTCCATCTCTTTCTTCTGTTTGTTCGTTCTTAAGTGCATGTGTATTAGAGTGTATCTTTTGGGGGTTTTATGGATAAATGTGTTATTAAACTATTATAGAAGTCTTTTCATGACTTTTTTACATCAGTTTTAAATTCACAGCAAAATTGAAAGGACATTATAGTGCATAGTCTCTACCCTTATCAGCATGTGTCACCAGAGCGATACATTTGTTACAACTGGTGAACCTACATTGGTACACCATTATCACTCAAAGTCCATAGTTTACATTGGAGTTCACATTCTATGGGTTTGGAAGAAAGTATGGTGACATATATTCACCATTATAGTAATGTGCAGTGTAGTTTTACTACCCTAAAAATTGGCATTTCTCCTATTCATCCCATCTTTCCCCTAGCCTCTGAAAACCACTGATCTTTTTGATTACCTCCATAGTTTTGCCTTGGCCAGAAGGTCATACAGTTGGAATCATAGACTATGTAGTCTTTTCAGAGTGGCTTTTTTCACTTAGTAATATGCATTAAAGTTTCTTCCATGTCTTTTCATGGCTTGATAACTCAATTGTTTTTAACAACAAAAATTTTACTTTTTCTGGATGTACCAGAGTTTATTTTTCACTTACTGAAGGACAACATGGTTGCCTCCAAGATTTGGCAATTATGAATAAAGGTGCTGTAAATATGCAGATATAGTTTTTGTGTGATGGATTTTGGCCATTCTAGTAAACACGCTGTGGTATCTTATTGTTTTAATTTGCATTTTCATGATGATGTATGATGTGGAGCCTCTTTTCTTTTTTTTTTGAGATGGAGTTTTGCTTTTGTTGCCCAGGCTGGAGTGCAATGGCACAATTGCGGCTCACCGCAACCTTCGCCTCCCAGGTTCAAGCGATTCTCCTGCCTCAGCCTCCTGAGTAGTTGGGATTACAGGCGTGAGACACCACACCTGGCTAATTTTGTATTTTTAGTAAAGACGGGGTTTCTCCAAGTTGGTCAGGCTGGTCTCGAGCTCCCGACCTCAGGTGATCTGCTCACCTCAGCCTCCCAGCCTCCCAAACCGTGCCCGGCTGAGCCTCTTTTCTTATGCGTGTTTTTCTTCTGCATATCTCCTTGGTAACGAGTCTGTTAGTCTTTGGCTCAATTTTTAATCAGGTTTAAGAGTTCTTATTTTGCGTGTTGGCAAATATTTTCCTCACAGTTCGTGGCTTTCCTTCCTGTATTCCTGACGTTATCTTTCATCGAGCAACAGCAGTTTTTTATTCTAATGAAGTTCAGTTTATTAATTATTTCTTTCATTGATTGTACCTTTGATGTTGTATATACAAAGTCAGCACTGTACCCAGTATCATCTACATTTCCTCCTATATTAGCTTCCAGGAGTTATATCATTTTGCATTTTACACTTATATCTATAATTTATCTGAGTTAAATTTTGGAAGGGTATAAGGTCTATAAATATATGTACATAAAATTTGTGTTATGTGTTGTATACTAGACATCACATGCAAATGTGTGTGTATACACACACACACACACACATTTACATGTGATGTCTAGTTTTCCTCACACCGTATTTTGAGTAGATTATCATTTTTCTATTGTATTGCCTTTTCTCCTTCGAAAAGATCAGTTGACTTTATTTATGTAGATCTGTTTTGGGGCTCTTTATTCTGCCCCATTGATCTATTTGTCTAATCTTTCATCGATAACACCCTGTCTTTATTATTATAGCTTTATAGGAAGGTTTAAAACCAGGTAGTATCAGTACTCCAATTTTGTTCTTTAGTGTTTTGTTGGCAATTGTGGGTCTTCTTCCCTTCTATACGATGTTTGTCAATACTGACAAAATAACTTTCTGTGATTTTGCCTGGGATTGCATTGAATCTATAGGTCAAATTGGGAAGAACTGGCAACTTGACAGTGTTGATTTTTCCTATCCATTAACATGGAATAGTTCTCCATCTGTTTATTCCTTATTTGATTTCTTTCATTCAATGTTATGGTTTTCCTTTTAGACATACATATCTTTTCAGGTAAATTCCTAAGTATTTCATTTTGTGAGGTGCTAATGTAAATGCTATTATGTTTTGTGTTTTTAGTTTCAAATTCCATTTGTTCATTGCTAGTATATATGAAAGCAATTAACCTTTTGATATTACTTTAGTATTCTGAAACCTTGCTATAATCATATAACAAACAGATCCAGAATATTTTGATTATTTTGAATTTTATATATAGATGAGCAAGTCTTCTGCAAAAAAAAAAACAGCATTTTTAAAAATTTCTTTGTTTCTAATCCATATATTGTACATTTTCTTTTATTGTCTCCCTGCATTTCCTAAGACTTCCAGGAAAATGTCAAAAATTAGTGATGAGAGGAAATATTCCTGACTTGTCCTTAGTAGACAAACTTCTAGTTTGTCACCATGAAGTGTGATGTTAGCTGTAAGTTCTTTGTAGTTATTTTTGATGAAGTTGTAGAATTTTCTTCTCTATTCTAAGTTTACTAAAAATTTTTGTTATAAGCAGATTTTTGATTTTGTTAAATGGTTTTTTGTATATCTACTTATGAGATCATGTAATTTTTCTATTTCAGCCTGTTGTGGATTATATTAATTGATTTTCAAATATTGAATTAGCTTTGCATACCTGAGTAAAATCATACTTGGTCGTGGTATATAATTACTTTTGTACATTGTTACATTGAATTTGCTAATATTTCATTGAAAATGTTTGCATCTATGTTCATAATAGATATCAATATGTAGTTTTCTTTTTTTGTACTGTCTTTGGTTTAGGTATTAAGACAATGATGGCTTCATAGACTGAGTTAAGTTATTCTCCCTATTTTTATGTTTGGAAAGAGCTTGTAGATAATTAGTTTAATGTCTTCCTAAATGTTTGTTAAAATTCACCAATGAACCTATATGGGCCTGGTGCTTTCTGCTTTAGGACATTATTTATAATTAATTTAATTTATTTAATAGATATAGGTCTGTTCAAAGCATCTATTTTTTGTTGATTGAGTTTCAGAAGATTATGGCTTTCAAAGAATCAGTCTGTTTTATCTAGGCTAACAAATTTGTGGGCATAGGATTGTTCATAATATTTCTTTAATATCCTTTTAATATTCATAGAATCTGTAATAATATAACCTTTTATTTCTGATATGCGTTATTTCTATCTGCTCTTTTTTCACCTTAGTAAGCATTATTGTAGGCTTATTAATTTTTTGGTCTTTTCAAATAAACAGCTTTAGATTTCATTAACTACTCTCTATTTCTTATTTAATTTTATTGATTTTTGTTCTAACTCTTATTGCTTTTCTTCATCGTACTTTAATTTTCCCTTCTTTTTTCTAAGGTGGAAGCTTAGGTAATTAATTTTAGATCATTCTGATTTGTGTAATATATGCATTTAAATATGTTGTTCAATTTTCTTCAAGCACTACGTTTACTGCATCCCACACATTTTCATAAGTTGTTTTCATTTTCATGTAGTTAAAATTATTTTTAAATACTTTTGAGATTTTCTTTGACCATGTATTATTTAGAACTGTGTTTTTTTTTAATATTCACATATATTGGGATTTTCCATTTTTTTGTTCAATTCCATTGTAATCTGATAACAGATATTACATGATTTCTATTCTTAAATTTGGCAAGGTGTATTTTTTCACCCAGAATGTGGTCCCTCTTTGTATAAGTCCCATGTGAGCTTTAGAAGAATGTGTATTCTGCTCTTATTTCTCCATTTTAGGTGGAAAAGTTTGGCTATAGTGGGCTGGAGTTGTGTATTTTTTTTTTTTTTCCCAGTTCAGCTAGGCTCTGATAAAACACCAGCAGTTAATACATTTTAAAAATAGGGTTTGTTGTTGTTGTTTTTTGAGAGCAGAGCTTCTGAAGAAGAACAGAATGCTATGGCATATTTCACATGGTTCCTCTTCAGCCTCATCAGAATAACAGGACAATTTCCCTGTGATATTTACTGAGAACCTATTTGTAATTTTCAAGGTAAAACTCATAAAATACAGGACTCCCATGACTGAAATGTTTAACTCCCAGCCTTGTCCACACTGAGTGTCCAGAAATTTTTGAATATTAGTTCAGGTTTTTCTACCCCAACACTTGTTCCTGCAGTCCTTTCCACTACTGAGCCTGCTCCAGTTAAGTCAGGACTTCCTGTATTTGCCTGTCTGTCTGTACAACTGGGGGAGGCAGCTTGCCTGTGACCTCACTCTCCTGTGGATCTAAAAGAGTGGTTAATTTTAGTCTCTTCAGCCTTTTATTTGTTGTTCGGGTAGAATGACAACTTACAAGCTCTTTACATGTGGAGTGAAAACAGAGAGTTTTTACAAAGCTTTTTAAGTGAGTAGTCTACTAGTATTTATTGTTTCAAAAAAAAAAACAGTCATAGAATTTGTTGACCTTTCTTATTGTTTTTCACATCTCCTTCAGGTAAGCTCTGATTTTGGTTATTTCTTTTCTTCTACTGGCACTGGGGTTGGTTTGCTCTTGTATCTCTAGTTCTTCTAGATGTGATATTAGATTAGTAATTTGATATCTCTCTTACTTTTAGATATAGGCATTTAGTGCTAGAATCTTTCCTCTTAATATTGTTTTATCTGTGTCCCAGAGATTCTGGTATGTTGTATCTTTGTTCTCATTAGTTTCAAAGAATTTCTTGATTTCTGCCTTAATTAATTTTTTTTTGTTTATACAAATGTCATTCAGGAACAGCTTAATTTCCATGTAATTTATGGTTTTGAGCACTTTTCTTGGTACTGATTTCTATTTTTATTGTGCTATGGTCCGAGAGTGTGATTGGTACAAATTAGTTTTTTAGGTTTTTTTTTTTTTTTTTTTTTTTTTTTTTTTGGTAATTTGCTGAGAATTGTTTTATGGCTGATTGCGTGGTCAATTTTTGAGAACGTGCATGTGTAAATGAGAAGAATGTATATTCTCTTGTTTTTCTGTGGCAACTTCTGTAGATGTCTGTTTGGACCATTTGATCAAGTGTTGAGTTTAGGTCTCAAATATCTGTGTTACTTTTCTGCCTTGATAATATGTCTAATACCAGTGAGTGTTGAATTCCACCATTATATGGTTAGCTAAGTCTCTTTTAGGATGCTAAGGACTTGTTTTATAAATATTGGTGCCCCTGTGTTGGGTGCATTTTTAATTAAAATAGTTAGGTCTTCTTGTTGAATCAAAGTGTTTATCATTATGTAATGTTCTTCTTTTTGTGTGTGTTTTTCTTAAACTATTGTTCATTTAAAGTCGGTTTTGTATGAAATTAGAATAGCAGTAGCTGCTTTTTTCAGTTTTCCATTTGATTTGGTATTTTTTTTCATCACTTTACATTGAACCAATGGATGTCCTTGCATTTGAGATGTGTCTATTGAAGACAGCACACAGTACATCTTGCTTCTTTATCAGGCTTGCCACTCTGTGCCTTTTAATTGGAGCATTTAGCTCATTTACATTCAAAGTTAATAGTGATATGTGTGAATTTGATCTTGTCATGGAAATGTTAGCTGGTTATTATACAGACTCGATTGTATAGTTAGTTGCTTTATAGTGTCAATGGTCTATGTACTTAAGTGTGTTTTTTATGGTGTCTAGAAATGGTCTTTCCTTTCCATATTCAGCACTCCCTTAAGGACCTCTTGTAAGACACATCTGGTGGTAATGAATTCCCTTAGCATTTGCTTGTCTGAAAATGATCTCATTTTTCCTTTGCTAATGAAGCTTAGTTTGGCTGGATATAAAATTCATCATTGGCATTTCTTTTCTTTAAGAATATCAATCATAGGCCCCCAATCTCCTCTGGCTTGCAGGGTTTCTGGTGACAGGTCTGCTATTAGCCCAGTGGGGTTCCCTTTCTAGGTGACCTGCACCTTCTATTTGCCTTTAACATTTTTCTTTCATTTCAATCTGAGAGAATCTGATGACTATGTGTCTCGTCTTAGAGATGATCATCTTGCATAGCATCTCACAGAGGTTCTCTACATTTCCTGAATTTGAATGTTTACATCTCTAGTGAGGTTGGGGTAGTTTTCAGGGATAATATCCTCAAATATGTGTTCTAAGTTGCTTGCTTTCTCTCCCTTTTTCAGGGATGCCAATGAGTCATATTTTTAATCTTTTTACATAATCTCATATTCCTCATAAGTTCTATTTATTCATTGTTTAAAAAGATTTTCTGAGTTATTTTTGAGAACCAGTTTTTGAGCTCTGAGATTCTTTCCTCAGCCCAGTTGATTCTGCTGTTTAATACTTGCAATTGTATTATGGAATTCTTGAAGTAAGCTTTTCAGCTCTATTAGTAGAGTTAGGTGTTTTCTTAAAACGGACATTTTGGCTTTCAGCTCCTGAATTGTTTTACTGTATTCCGTAGATTGAGTTACAACTCTCTGCTAAATCTCGATGATCTTTGTTCACATCCATATTCTGATTTATACATCTGTCATTTTAGCCTGGTTAAGAACCACTGCTAGGGAAGTAGTGTGGTTGTTTGGAGGTAAGAAGACAGTCTGGCATTTTGAGTTGATAAGGTTTTTGTACTGTTTCTCTCATGTGTAGGATGATGTTCCTTCAATTTTTGGTATTGCTCTCCTATGAATATTGTTTTTAGTTTTTATCTTCTTTGATGCTCTGGGGGGTTTGATTGTGGTATATATAATATGGGTTCAGTCAACTGGCTTTGTTTCTGGAAGATTTTAGGGGGCCAAGGCTGAGCTTGGCCCTCCTGGGCTGTGTGCTCCAATTCTGAGTAGCTGACACCAGAACCCTGGCTTTGTTTTCTGGCTCCTAGAGGTTAGGAACCTGCTGCACTGGAGGGGCTGAGGTGTTCCAGGTCTGCTTGCCATGAGATTCCAATGGGTGTTGCCAGGCAAAGAGTTTCACTGGGGCAATGGGATCTGTACTTGCTCACACATGCCAGCAGTTACCGAAGCATAGCAGGTTGCATGTGCATTGGCTGGGGTGGGACACTAATGGCAGTGGGGCTGCGATGTTCCTGTGTGTTCTTGCTCCAGTGGCAACTGCAGCTTGGCAGGGGTGGGGCACTGGACAGGGAAGGGCTTCCAGCATTCATGCGCATGGTGGCACTAGCAATGGCAGTGCAGCTAGGTGCCTGTCCATCAGCAGGAGGGCATGGGGACAGTGGGGTGTGCTTGTGCAGTGGTGCAGAGGGCTGTGCACACACATGCATGCCAGTAGGGAAGGGGAGGCGAGGTCCACATCTACGCACCCTAGCAAATCAGCGGAGGTGTGGCCACAGGTGAGTGCATGTAGACAAAGCGGGGCAGGGGCTGGGGGTGCTGTATTAGGGGGAGGGTGCAGGTGAACTGGTGCATATCGGTGGGTCCAGTTAGCTGGAATTCTCTGATAACCCATTGCTGTCTGCTATTGAGGGACCTCTGATGAGGGCCCTCAGAAAGTACCCTGCTTGGGCATCTGAGGCTGTGCTACATGGCCATGGCCATGCTGGGGCCCTTGGAGAGGCCAGCAGACAGGGTGGTACTCAGATTGGACTGACCCCATCTCATAGACAAGACCACCCTATTCTTTCTAGGTCTGATACTCATCCCAAGGCTAAAGTCTCTTAGAGGAGCATGGTAAGCCTTGGGAGATGGGCATCTCTGGCCGGCCATTCTCCACTGCAGACATTTCTGCCCCAAACCTTCTGAGCTCTGCACAGACTGGAGTACTGCCCTTACTGCCTCTCTGAGTAGCTCTCCCTACCAGCTCAAGTTTCTGTGGTGTTCATGGGATCTGCTGATGCCAGGATTCTAGAGGTCTGCAGCAATAGTGGGACATTCCTCACTTGTTCAACTCACGCCTTCCCCATGAGTCTCTAGAGACCAGGAAGAAGTTCTTGTGCTCAGTAGTCCCATGCAGGGTTCCCTGCTACCTCTCTTTTCAGCTCAGCATCTGCATCCTTCCTCTATCCACTCTCAATTTCTGTCCGCTAAAGGTGTGCTCAAAGTGTGCCAGTCTTCTCAGTGTCCCAGTCTCTTGGTGGGAGATGTTCCTCTCTCAGTGGAAGATGTCAGCCATCTTGGGTCCTCTGCCCAGCTTTTTGTATTTTAACCATTCTGCTGAAGGTGTTGGACTATGTCATTGAGGTTTAATTTTTGTTGCAGTGATGACTAATGATGTTGAGTACTTTAACTATTTCTTCATATTCTTTTGTAAAGCATATTTGAAGTCATTTTTCTGTTTGTTTCTATTGCTAGTCTATTTATTATTGAATTTCATGAGTTGTTTATATATTCCATTTATGAGTTCTTAGGTGTGTATTTACACATATATTTTCACAAACTTTGGCTAATGTATTCATTTACTAGGTAATCACTTTGGATGAGTAAAGGGCTTTAATGACAATAAAGTCTAATTTATTATTTTTATTAGTAATCTGAGCCCCTTCTAAACATTTTTGCTTCACGTTAGGATCCCAATCTTTTGTAGGATTTTCTTCCATAAATTTGTTTGAATTTTGAGTTTTGTGTCTGCAGTATTATTTTAAGGTAAATGTTTATGTAGAGAGTAAGTTGTTTTCGAATCATTTCTAATATGACATTCCTTTACCCACTGCATGGCTTTGGCATTCTTCATTCATTCAATATGGGTGAGACTCTTGATTCTCTTTCCACAGAACTCTTTATGTGTCGTTTAGCCAATACTATGCTCTCTCAGTTACTGTAGCTCTACAATCTGGTAATATGTCTTCAACATGTGTTCTTTCTTTTCAATATATTTTGGATAACCTATATTATTTGCAGTTTTGTACAAATTTTATAATATACTTGTATATTATTATAAAAATACCTTAAAGTATTTTTATTATAATAACATTGAATTTATAAAGCAACTTGGGGAAGATCGACATCTTAATATTGGGTCATCTCTGTTATTATTTTTCAGCAATGATTTCTAGTTTGTAATGCAAATTTTTTGCTACTCTTATTTTTATGTATTTTATGTATAGGTAAACTATGGAAAATAATATTGCCCAGTACATTTGTCTCAGTTCTTTGCCTGATTCTCAGCCACCTACAAACTCCATACTCTTGAGCCTCAATTGGTGCAACTCTTTCAGGTCTTCTGACTACCGTAATAAAGTTGGCTGCTTCATTGTATTCAGAATAAGACCCAGTGTATACCTGTAGAGTTTCTCTAAGTTTTTTCACCGTGACTTTAGACTTCAGTGGGCTCTGTATGTCTGTACTTAAAAGAGGCAGTGTTTTCTCAGTCCTTCATCCTAGCTGCAGATGGCAAAACAGTCAAAATCAGTATAAGATTTAAGTATTTGAGTTCTCTTCAGTTCTTTCCTGCTTTCAGCTGGCTTGCTGTGCCTATGCAGAAGAAATCTCTCTCAGCTTCTCTACTCTGCCCACAATCTGTCTCATGAGCACACAGTGTAGGTCCAAGAAAAAGAGCTGGCAGGGAATACTGACTCCTTTTGTTTGGGGCTCCTGGGAATTCTAAGCCACTGTGCCAACACCTAAGTTAGACTTAAAAGGGTATTTACAATGTATTGGATTTCTTTTTACCTACCTATCTCTGGCTGGTTCTTCATCTTCCTATCTTCTGCTGAGGAGGAAATCAGCCATAGATCTCATATCATCTCCTGAGAAAAATTTGTCATTTTATGGATTTTATTTCATTATCTTTTCTTGCCACCTCAGCTCTCTGATGGACATTAAAACACAAACAGACCGAAAAAAAAAAAAAAAGACTATAATTTGTCAGTTTCCTTTCCTTCTCTTTTTAGGATATAATTTATGTTTTCTTACAACTTTCTCCACCCTAAGCACAAGCTAAAACTCTATTTTATTTTTATTTTTAGCTGTGTCCACATCTACTCAACCTAGAATTCAGTTTCAGAGGTTGTCATGATAACCTCCTTCTTTAATCTAACTTTTTCTTGATTTGTTTATGACATTTTCTGGCATTTAATGCATGCAAAACTCAGTTAAATTTTTAAAAAGTAGTTATTTACACATGAATACCAATGAAACCTACAGTTTACAGAGTATAATAGACTGAGTTTCTCAGGAGAAAAATGGAAAGAACACTGGACACAGAGGCAGAGAGAAGTGGATTTAAATCTGTTCTTGACATTTATCATCTCTGTGACCTTGAGCACATCTCTTAACTTTGCTATTTCTCAAAATTTCACCTACAAAGTAGAAAGTAAAACACTTAGCCAAGGAATTGATGAAATTAATTAAGGTAACGTACTTAAGTAAGGAAGAGTGTATGGCATACAGGTGACTAATATCTTTCCTTGAATTTGAATACAAACGCAAATATGCATCACAGAGGAAATTATAATTCATATAAAACTGAAAAATGGCATATCTTAGTCATGCCCGTGGACTGCATTGTGGCTATTTTTAGTGTATTTAGTAAACGGGTTTTACATAGCAATTATCTACGAAACTTGACTGCAGAAAACTTTCATTACAAAAAAGAAAATCTTTTTCTTATTTTGTTTGTCACTTTAATTAAAGTTTGTCTTGTATCTTCTTGTTCTTTTCAGGAGATACTGAGATTTTGAATTCTGTTTTATTATCTTATCTATAAAATGCTACTTTTATGGTACTAAATTCCTATTTGTTTTATATGTTACTTTTTTTGCTTTCTTGTTTTAGAGGTGACTGTTTCATTTGAAATGTTTCCTTTTCTAATTTTTCTATGCAGTAATTTTACTTATATATTCCCTGCCATTACTTAGTTTTAAATGTTTTTTTGTTTTTCTTTTTTAGACTGCAGTGGCAGCTGTTTCAACATAAGAAAGGGCTAAAGATTTGACCAGATTTTGTGTTAAAGTGTCTTCTCTTAGAATGCTTCTTCTTTAACTTATTGTTGTCTTAGTGGTAGAGAGGATTCATTCTGTAGTAATACTCTCCTGTTTATATAGAAAACTTAATTTTGATCAGTCACTTCTTTCTTTCTCATCACCACCAAGGCTCCTAGGGAAGCCTGTTCCTTCCAAACTACCTCCTCCTCCTGCGGAAGTTAAACCCCTTCCTTTCCATTTTCCTGTGGCCCGTCCAATCACCCTGGCCTCAGGCTTTCCTCCTCCTCCGAAATCTTCATGAAACCTTACTTCTGCGTTGCCCATGCACCTGTCTCTGTTGGTTTGAGATGTTCGTTTCATTACACATATGTCATTCAGAGCTGTAATATTATTTCTATCTTACTAATGCTGGGCAACAGTTATGAGTGTGGTTTTATTTGTGCTGTTTGTTGATCTGGATGGTTTCTGGATGATATGTAGGGGTATGCAGGTTTAAGAAGCTACTAGTATTTGAAAAATAATGGCACATCATAAGAGGTATAAATTTATGTGAAAGAAAATTGTCTTCAAAGGTATAGCTAATTTGATACTTATTCATCAAAAGGTAAGAAAAACAATGTCTGTAGTTTTATTTTAGTATAAGTCACATATAATAAACTAAAACTATATATATTTGAGGCCACCTCTCTTTGTAGGATATGGTGATAGTGGAGAGTAGTACATATTGGAACAGCTTCCTTCCTTTGTCACTGTGCAAAGTGAAAATGTTGTGCTTTGTTACCATGGAACCTTGACATGCAAGGATTCAGTCCTGATACGCAGAAGTTTTCCTACCACGCCAAGCAGGGACTGCCTGCACTGATGAGAACTTCTGCACAATCAATCAAAATAATGAACATATTTGAGCATCCCTCAAAGTTTTCTCATATGCCTGTGTCAATCCTCTTTTTTTTTTTTTTTTTGAGACAGAGTTTCGCTCTGTCTCCCAGGCTGGAGTGCAATGGTGCAACCTCTGCATCCTGAATTCAAGCAATTCTCCAGCCTCAGCCTCCCGAGTAGCTGGGATTACAGGTATGCACCACCATACCCGGCTAATTTTTTTTGTATTTTCAGTAGAGACGGGGTTTCACCTTGTTAGCCAGGCTGGTCTCGAACTTCTGATGACCTCATGATCCGCCCGCCTCAGCCTCCCAATGTACTGGGATTACAGGCGTGAGCCAATGTGCCTGGCCCATCCTTCCTCAGGCAGTCCCCGATCTGCTTCACTTCATGTAGTTTAGTTTTCATTTTCTAGAAGGTTATGTAAATGGTGTTTACAGTGCATATACTTTTGGATCTGGCTTCACATAGCATAGCTATTTTGAGATTCATCCAACTTGCTGCATGTATCAATAATTCAATTAGGTAAAACAAGTATAAACCCTCCAAATTTTTTATTTTTCAAGGTAGTTTTTCCCAGACTATGCCTTTTGAAATTCCATGTAAATTTTATAATCATCTTGACAATTTCTATACAAAAGTCTGATGAAATACTAATTAAAGTTGCATTGAATCTGTAGATATTTTGGGGACAAGTAACATATTGCCACTTTTTTTGATCTATCAGCTTGGTATAGTTCTATATTCTTAGAAATCCTAACAAACAATCTTGTTTTTATCAGTTTAGGGGCCTTTTACATCTTTTGTTCAATTTATTGCTAAATATTATGTCTTTTAATGCTATTATTACAATTTCTAATTATTTGTTGCTAGTATATACAAATACTCTATATTCCAAACTTGCTAGACACAGGTACTAGTTACAATTTTTTTTGTAGATTCCTAAGATTTCCTGCATAGACAATCATGCTACTTCTAAATACAGATTTAATCTTTGCTTTCTAATTTGTGATTAGCTTTTTCCTACTTTATTGCATAACTAAATTCTCCAATGTAATGTTTAATAGATGAGGTAAGAATAGACATCCTTTCTGCATTTCTGATCTTAGAGGAAAAGCATTCGGTTTTAATCATTAAATGTTTTATCATATATGCCCTTTATCAGGTTGAGAAATTTTGTTAGTTTGCTGAGAGTTTTACCATAAATGGAGATTCAGTTCTGTTAAATGCTTGAGACTACTGTTATGCATTTTTCTTCATTAATTTAATGGTATGATTATTTAAATATCCTTGCATTCTTGCACTTAATTATGATGCATTATCTATCTGTCATTGGATTTAATTTTCTTAAACTGTTAACAAATTTTTGTATTTATGAAACATGTTGCTGTGTACTTTTCTTATGTCTTGGGTTTAAGTGTCAGGATAATGGCCTCATATAATGAGTTTGAAAATGTTTTCTGCAACTCTGTTTTCTGAAAAAGTTGTAAAATTGGAAATGTTTCTTCCTTCAATGTTTGGTGGAATTTACCAGGGATATCATCTGAAACTGGAGTTTTCTTTGTATGAATGTTTTACCTGAAATTCCAATTTCTTCCATCACATGTCACTGTTTACTTTGATATACAGCTATTTAGGTTATATATTACCTTTTAAGTGAGTTGGTATTTTCTGTCATTTAAGATATTTGTCATTTCATCTAAAATTTGGAATTTATTGACAGACATCTTTAAACTGTTAACGCTAATAAGAACTGCAGCAATGCCATGTTCCTTTCTCCTGATATTTGTAATTTGTGGTTTTTCCTCACATTTTTTAATCAGCTTGGCTTGAGGCTTATCAACTTTACTGATCTTCCCATTCTTCTGTTTTTTTTTATTTCATTGTTTTCTGCACTTAATGTTTGTTTGTTATTTATTTTCTGTGGTTTAATTGTAATTTAATAGTTTTCTAAATAACATGAGCTCTGTTTCTTTAAAAGTGTTCAAATCTATAATTTGTTTCTCAAAGCCTTGCTTTAGTTGAAGATTATAATTTCTAATTGAATCCCACTGAAGGCAGATAATAAATGTTGTATTATGTAAGTAAGTTTAAAATACTGAGACATGTTTTATGGCTCAGAAAGCAATCTATCATGTTACATGTTCACTGTTTTCTTGAAGAATGTATATTCTGCTGTTCTTCGGGTATGTGTGACTGAATATTACTTAGTTTCTTGTGGTTTTACAATTATTTTTAATCTGAATTTTTAAAGATGATGAAATCTCTCCCCAACTTATTCAGCATTAGTCAGATAAGTCTTTGATTTACGTGAAAATTAGAATGAATTGTCCTTTAGTGGCTTCTCTAAGTTAGTTAGTAGTTTCTTGAGATTTCTTGGATTAACACAACTGTGTGCGAGGAAAAATATTGAATCAAGAAAAATGCTTCTCATATTTTAGCCATATATTTATGTTGTAAATCTACCCTAAACACTAGCAGAAAGTCTCAGCTCACAGTGATGGAGTATTAAGAATAAGGATTATATGATGATAAGTTTTAAAAATTATCTATAATAAAAGTTATAACCGATAAATGTTGGTGACATTTGGCAAAATATCGAAACAGCTGGTGGTCCAGTCAAGTTGACACATAGTATTAAGCATCATACAGACCCTGAAGAAGAAGAAAATAATTATGTGCTATTCATTTAAGACACACTTTGCATTTAAAGGACCCTCATCTGATGTCATCTGATGCTGTGTCCCAAATGAAGTACATTAAGTTGGTAAAGCACGTAGTTCTAGTCAGACCCTTTCAAGTCTTTAACTCTGTGCAGTTATATGGAGAAGATTTTGTAGTAGACACACTGCCTTGATATTTAAATTATAGTTGTAAGGCTATGCATATGGTAATAGTGTAGTACATAGAAATAGGATACCATTATAAAACTTGAGTTTAGATATATATGCATTTGTATAAAATTGAATCTTAGGATTACAGTATAATGAGGTACAGACCAACAGGGGAGACATGAGTTTTATTAAAGATGCTTATCTGAGATTCTTTTGTAGGCAAATTGCCTCAAATGCCCATCACTGCCATGGAAGCCATAATTTTATACATCTGATTCACAAAGTGAGTGGTGAATATCATTTCTTGGTGCACAGATATCTGCCTCTCGTCAGGCAGTTTTCACATTTCATCTCTTCGTCCTTGACAAGTTGGAATTAGAGTCCTCAAAGTGTGATTGGTGTGAAATGCTGTTATGATAAAAGTGCTGTGATACCACAAAAAGCAAAATCATAAAATAAATAATCCATAACTGCACAAACTCGCAATACAGAAATGTTTACACACAGTAAAAAAAAAATAATTGTCATTTACATTGCAAGAGAAAGATAGTAATTTTTTTTTTTTTTGGTCAACAGCTGCTGAATATTCTCCTAAACGTATGTTTCAATTTTTATTACAAGTCAACATGTTCATACTGACTATGAAGAGATTTCTCAAGTGTGTTGAGGACCAATCTTTCTTTCACTAAAACAGAGGCTATTTATTAATTTAGGAAACTCAAAATTGAGGTGAGTGTCTCACAACGCATAGGAGCCAGGGCTGCCTCCAACTTTTCTGATATCACCCAGAGGATGCCTTCATTTTCTTCACTTTTCTCCAGAATATCATGAATACATGGCTTGATCTCATTCTGACGCACATAACACCCACAGCCAGATGAGTGAGTATAGAGAGGCTCCTGACTGGGAAGGAAACCCAGTGGAATCAATCCACATAGCTTAAAAGAAGGCAAAGACAAGGATGTGGTTTTAAGAATCAATTCAGATGAATGAATTGCTGCCAGAAATAGAACTGAAGATTTCATTTTCAACAACTAATTACATCAAATGTAGTGTTCTGAATGGGTTTCTATTGTTTGTTTTGTTATATTTAAAAGTTATTGGAAAATTCTGATAGGTAAACACTTTTTTTCTATCATTTTTAGTGCAAGTCGGCAGGGCTCTATGAGATAGATAATTAGTAAATATGTTGATACATATAAGAATGAATATGAATGCACATAAAATGAAAATTCACCTATGAATGTATTAATCTAGTTGACTCTTACACAATACAGGTTTGAACTGTGTGGGTCCACTACCTGCATATTTTATTCTGTATCTGCCACCCATGAAACAGCAAGACCAACACTGCCTTCTCAATGTGAATATGGCAAGGATGAAGACCTTTATGATAATCAACTTCCATTTAATGATAAATATAGTAAAGTAAGCCAGAGAGAATATAACTATAGTATACAATATATAACATACAAAATGTGTTTATTCACTGTTTATGTTATTGGCCAGATTTCTGGTTGCTGGAGAGTCAATAGTTACATGTAGATTTTCAACTGTGCAGGGCGTGAGCCTCTAACCCTTTGATTGTTTAAGGGTCAACTGTATAAGCATTTAAAAATCTAACTTCCTAGCTTTTTCAGACTTTTTAAAAATGTGATCTATAAAAGGTAAGTAAGTCTTTGTTTTTGATGACAGGTGATATCTTATGTTCACAAAATTTAATCTATGAAGTAGATGATGTAAAAAAAACTCAAAAATAAGACAAAAAATCTAGTGAAATAATGAATGTTAAGATCTACTTCACCTGCTTGGTGAATATATTAATAGGTATAATTTTTTCAGATGCTATGTATAGTTTTGATGCATCCCTTCCTCCTCAGAGGGAATCACTGATTATTTGTGTTGTGTACCACATGCATATTTTCCATGACATGTGCATACTTATGCATTTTTTTATTATACATATAAAATTAAAATATTTATTTAATAAGAGATAACAATGCACTGTGCTGCTGATTTTGTGTTTTACATTATATTTTGAAATTTATCCATGTTAACAGATGTAGTCTGGTTGATTCACCTTATATCAGTGAATCAGTGTTATATAAACTGTTTCCAGTTTTTTGGACAGCACAACAATAACTAACTATTCTTGTAATTGTGCACAGCCTAGTTACTAGAATATGCCTAAGTGAAATTTCTGATATGTTGCCAAATTATTCTCCCCATTAGATTTTCCAATTTATATATTCATCAACAGCTTGATATTCTTGCTAAGAACATGACTATATTGTACAATATTTGTAGATATTCTTGCCAATTTTCTGTATTGATGATTTTTGTATTTTAAATACCCAAATATGCCATATTTTAGTTGCAACCAAATATCGAATATGCTGAAAAAGGCAGGTGAGTAACCTCAAACCTCAACCTAAGTAACAAAGCCTTTTCCATGTACTTTCTTGTGGCTGATTTTGCTAACCCTGCTCAAATCAAATTAAGACCCATCCCACCAGTAATATGTGTTTTTAGTATTTTTCTAATGGTTTGCAGTTTTGTTAGGTTCCCTGAATACTAATCCTCTCTCAGCTACGTGTATTGAAAAGATCTTGAGTATAGTATTTTATTATATGAAAATAATGTTACAATATAGATAATATCCTCAATATAATCTTTAACTTTGTATTGGAGACTTTCTATTCCCTATCTATCTCTTATGTTCATATAAAAGGCTTTAAATCGGCTGGGCATGGTGGCAGGAGTTCAAGACGGGCCTGGGCAACATGGTGAGAGCCCCATCTCTACAAAAAAAAATACAAGAATTAGCCAGTTGCGGTGGTGCATGCTTGTACTCCCAACTATTGGGAAGGCTGAGGCAGGAGGATTGCCTGAGCCCTGATCATGTTACTGCACTCCATCCTGGGCAACAGAACAAGACTCTGTCTCAGAAAAAAAAAAAGTCTTTATGCTTTTAAAATTTATGTCACTGGCTGGGGCTGGGCGCAATGGCTCATGCCTGTAATCCCAGCACTTTGGGAGACCCAGGTGGGCAGATCGCCTGAGGTCACGACTTTGAGACCAGCCTGGCTAACATGGTAAAACCCCCTCTCTATTAAAAATACAAAAATTAGCCAGGCATGGTGGCACGTGCCTGTAATCCCAGCTACTCGGGAGGCTGAGGGGGGAGAATCGCTTGAACCCAGGAGGCAGAGGTGCAGTGAGACGAGATTGTGCCACCGCACTCCAGACTGGGTGACAGAATGAAATGCCGTATCAAAAAATAATGTTATTAATCTAATTTAGAATTGATTTACATTCACGGTGTTTTGGGAGGCATCTAACCACCTACGTATCTCTTTCAGTATAGCTAATGTATTGTTCTCTCAATCGTTTAATTGAGGAGGGCCACCCACCTTGCTTTGCCTTAGAAGTTGTGCTAGTCAGGTGGATATGCCATACCAAAATACCGTGGACTGGGTGGCTTAAATGACAGAAACGTCTTTTCTCACAGTTCTGGAGGTGGGAAGTCCAGATCAAGGTGCTGTTAGGCTTGACTTCTGGCAAGGCCTCTCTTCCTTGCACGTGGCTACCTTGTTGCTGGGCCTTAACATGGCCTTTCTCAGAACACACACACACAGAGTGAGAGTTTTGATGCCTCTTCCTTCTTTGAAGGACATTAGGGCTCCACTCTTATGACCTTATTGAACCTTATACCTGGATTTCACAGAAACTAAACATCTCATATAGAGATAATATTTATTCAGTGATTTTTTTTTTCTCCTTAAAAATGGCACACGTGCCTGGTCCAAATAAGATTTTCACTAGAACTTTAGTCTAAGTGAGACTCGTCTTCTTCAACATCAAAAAGTTAGGGGTGTGATAGTGAAGCACTATGTACTCTACTCGCATTTTTAAGATAGATAGAGTTTCACTCTCTTGCCCAGGCTGTAGGGCAATGGCACAATCTTGGCTCACTGCAACCTCCACCTCCTGGGTTCCAGCGATTCTCCTGTCTAGTGGCTGGGATTACAGGTGCACGCCACCATGCCCAGCTAGTTCTTTGTATTTTTAGTAAAGAGGGAGTTTCGCCATGTTGGCCAGGTTGGTCTCGAACTCCTGACCTCAGGTGATCCACTGACCTCAGCCTCCCAAAGTGCTGGGATTACAGGTGTGAGCCACTGCAACCGGCCTGAAAAAAAATATTTTTAAGATTATAAAGCTGATGACTTTTATGGTTGTTGACAAAACTTTCAGGGTTGTTGGATCTCTGATGCCAGTGCATCTGTGTAAAAGGCAATAATATGAGGAGCTTGATTTCCTGCTAATGTTTGTTGAGAATATTTTTTAAGTACTGTAGGAGCTCCATCTGTGGCAAGAAGCAGCAGCATTCATTTCCACTTAAAGTTATGATCTACTAAAAAAAGAATCAAGCAACATTCTTTAGCTGCCTTTAAAATGTTGACTCTTTCTTTGAGTAGTTTCTAAAATGGACATGTAAGAGATGTAATTTTCCCTTATGGCATCAGCGTGCACGTAAAGAGTAATATAATATATAGATTTGAAGGTCAGGCATGGGGACTCACTCACAGATCTGTAATCCTAGCACTTTGGGAGGCCAAGGCAGAAGGACAGCTTGAGATGGAGTTCAAGACCAGCCTGGGAAACATGGCAAGATCCTGTCTCTACATACATTTTTTAAAAATTAGCCAGGTGTGGTGATACACACCTGTAGTCTCAGCTACATAGGATGCTGAGGCGGGAGAATTGCTTGGCTCCAGGATGTCAAGGCTGCAGTCAGCCATGTTTGTGCCACTGCACTCTAGCCTGGGTGACAGAGTGAGACCCTGTCTCAAAAAATAATAATGATATTAACAGTAATGTTTTTTAAAGGACGTGGCTACCATGGAAGGGGAGTAGTAAAGCTGCAGTACCTTGATGAGCAATTTGAGAGTTAGCTAGATTAGAAAATACGTAAAACTTAGATAGATAGATAGAGGTATAGAACATACATGGGAATATATCAGTGGGAACACAGAGCGTCATTTGAAAAATGATTCACTTTCCGGTCTTTTCTCCTTCCTTTTCCAGGCCACCAACCAGTTTGAAAATTTTTGTGGGACACATGTCTTTATTTAAAGTCTTTCCAATGCTTTGGGACTTCTTTTCTTTGGCAATCTGGTAAGTAGTTTTATAGAATGCTTCCGGAAAAGGTTTTTAGGAAGTGAAGACCCTAATCGTGAAAGTGTCGCCTTGGAAGTTTTAGAATTCTCATTTGAACTGTCTCGCTTTACAAAGCTTAAACATTAAGAAAACCCTCACCTCTTTACAAATACTGAACTAAGCTTAGGTGTCTAGATTACCAATGTGAGAACATGCAACTTTACCTTAATAGTGGCTAATGGCTTTGAGGCACCTATTTGCATAAGAGGAGGCCAGATGATTCTGATGACATGCATTCTAGCCCAGGCTATAATATAACTACTGCAATGTTGCAGAAGTCATGAATATAAATGAGGTTTTGAGATATCTGGAAAAACGTCAATTGACCATAAAAACATTTTTTAGTTTCTGTTTGTGTCATTTTTATTTTCAGTCTTAATTTTTAAGACTTTTATTCTTTGTTTAAATGTACATGGCATACAGATTATATGCCGCATTTAAACATTTATATTATTTGAATTAACTCTTCACACTTGGATAAGAGTCAGATGTTTCTAATGGAGAGATCAAAGTTGCCAGTACTCTCTTACTTTGGGGATACACATTGCCTCAACATTTTCAGGGTGGATATACATAACAATTTTCATTTTCTGGAGTCTGTTTTCTATACCTATGGTGAGGTAGATATGTAATCCTATATAGGTCTAGTTAGTGCAAATCATGTATATTACTAAAGAAGGATAAAATTGACCTTGGTATTTGCTTCTAATTAATTTGCCTTATAAGAGATCCTTCACTTCTGTATGCCTTCTTTCAGTTTATTTATTTTACTCTGTCTTCGAGAAGCAATATGCTAGAAAAAGAAAAATTATGGCTAAAATAGATCTAGAAACCAGGGGCCTTAGTAAATATATATACAACTTCCATATATATATATATGGAAGTTATTTCCAAATATGGTAGTATATATATGTACTTCTTTCTAACCCTCAAAAACGAAATACATAATGGATACCAAGATTTCCTATACACACACACACACTATATATATTTACTTATTTCTAACCATTCTGTGGCTCTCAAAAACATAATGGATATCAAGATTTCTATAAAATAGAAATTAAAGCATAATAATGATATATTAAATAATTATACCAGTTCTCAAAAACACATTTCCAGGCATCTGTACAATTGACAAATGAAACTTACTAGAGTAATACAAGGAAATTGTTCTGGGCATGAATGTGACTAGTATTTTTAGGTCATACTTTAACTTATCCTACTATGTGGAAATGCCACTGCTGATCTATGAATTAGCCATTATCTCAAATTATTTTATCTATTTTGATGATAAATTATACTAATTACATACACTGTCTCCCACAAGCAGGGTATCACGCTTCAGAGAAAGAGAGAGAAGCGGCAGGCCTTAGGCCTTGAGATAATCAGACAGATAGTGATGTCTTGGGAATGGCAGAGTAAGGTGTTTGAATACTAGGTCCACTCATTGAAACTACCATCACCTGGAAAACACTGACAGAATCAGCTCTGTTTTTGGAACCCTAGAACCTACTGTAATTTGAAATGTATAACCAGAGGACCACTTAATGAAGGAAAGGGCAGCTGAAATTTGGCGAAAAAGCATTAGGTATTTTCACTCATCTGATAACTATCTCTAATTCCCCAGCATGGCAGAGATGCCATCCATGGGAATGGCAAACCACGTTCCTGATCAAGTTTGCTGGTGTTAGTGGTGATGGAAACATTGTTTTTAAAATATTGTAGTTGTCTGTTTTGACCTATGGGGTTGTTCTCTAAATAAACAGTGTAGAGGCTGACATTTATTTCTCCCTCCCCAGCAATCAAGCTGGAGTGGTTTTCTTGGTAGTGACTGCATCTTTCAAAATATTTAAAGACATACACTGACTGTACCTGCCTGAAGAAAGAAACAGTGGATAAGGCAAGCATCAGACAACTCTAAAGCCTGGGAAAGACAAAGCTCAGGAGGAAATTCCTTGAAGAAATAAAAACATAGACAGCTCATTCTGTTTACAGGGTGTGCAATATGTATGACCTGGGCTAAAAGCAGGCTCAGAATAGACCTGAGTGAACCCTAGGCATGCACCTTTGGGATAACTGTGAGCTCTACAAAAGCTAAATATTAAGGTTAGGGCACAGTCCTGGGTAGTCTGGCTTGGTATTGAAGTGATACAACTCAGAGGTAATCTGCACAAATTAGGAGAGTAGGATTACCTTTTAACTCCAGATGTATTAAAAAAAATCTGTCGGGTCACTTGCTTACTGCTGAGATAATGAAGCATAGGAAACATAGGCTTCAAGAACTATACAGCATAAGGAATACAATCTTTGTAAAAATAGTTTGGAAAAGTCACCAAATAGACAAGTAGAGCCCTAAAAAATTAACAAAAATTAACACCAGCAAACCCAGGGGAATGAGGAGAATCTAATTTCCAGAGTTACCACCTTTAAATATTCAAACTGCACAGTTGTGTTTTTTTAAAAATCACAAGGCCTAAAAAGAAAAAGGAAGTATGGCCCATTCACATGGGAAAAAAAAAGACAGCTGGTTGTGAGGAAGCACAGACACTAGAATTAGCAGATAAAACCTTTAAATTAACTATCAATCATCTTAAAAATGCTTAATAGGCTAAAAGAAATCATGGCTAAAGAAATAAAGAAAACTGGGAAAATAAATAATGTCTAAAGAAGTAAAATATTAATAAGAAATAATAAAAAAGGATCCAAAGAGAAATTATAGTGTCAAAAAGTAAAATAGTTGTTTAAATTAAAAAAATAATAGTAAAAGAATTCAGCAGCTTTCCGAAGGCAGTAGAAATAACTAGCAAATTTGGAAATAGCAATTAGAATTATCAAGTCAGAAGAACAGATTGAAGAAATAGTGACTGAAAACTTCAAAAGTTTGATGGAGGGTATGAGCTACACATTCAAGAGCTTAAAAAATACTCCAACTAGGACCAACTCATAAAGATCACAGACATAAACCATAATCAAAGTTTTGAAAAGATGATATAAAATATTGAAAACAAGCAAGTAGCAAGTTTTACATACAAGGGATCCTCAATAGGGCTAACAGCTAATTTCAGTAACTTTAGAATAAAATATTTAAAGTATTGAAAGAAAAACAATAAAGTCAACCAAAAGTTCTATGTTCAGTAAAACTATTCTTCAAATACATGCCAAATACACAAAAGTTGAGGAAATGATTTTCTGGTAGACCTTCCCTACAAAAATGCTAAAGTCAATCCTTCAAGATAAATTCAAGCACTACAGTATGCAAAGACATATGGAAAAGGAAAGAATGTTATAAAGGTAACTGTAGTAGTAAATATAAATGCCAGTATTGTATTTTATTTTTTGTAACTCCTCTTATTTTCTGCATGATATAAAAAATAATGCATGAAATATATAAATCCATGTTAATTCGCACATAGTGTATGAAAAAATTTCATGAAATAGTATGAAATAGTAACTTAAAGACAGGATGAGGCTAAATAGGGGCAAAGTTTTGATATGTTAGAGATGATAAATTGGTATCAAATCAAACTAGTTTGTTATAAATTTGGATGTTGATTGTAATCCACATGGTAACCACTAAGAAGGAAGACAAAAGAGAAATGAATAAAAAGGGTACAATACAAAAAAAAGAAAAAAAAACACATAAAAAATGTGTTTAATGGAGAAAATAATAAACAAAAAAGATAGTGGATAGACCATCTAAACAAACAGAAGACAGAAAATTGAGAATTTGAACACCACAACATATCAGCAAGACCTAACAGACATATATTGAATAACCCACCAACAAAAGCATAATTTTAATTCTTCTTAAGGCCCATGAGATGTTCTCTGGAATAGATCATATATTGGGCCACAAAACAAGTCTCAAATTTTAAAATATGGAAATTATACAAAATATATTTTCTAACCAGAATGGAATAAAGCTAAAACTTAGTGATAAGGAAAACTTGGAAAATTCACAAATGCAGGGAAATTTAAAAACACACCTTTAAACATGTATTGACATAGAAATCACAAAGGAAATTAATTAGAAAATACGTAGAGACCATGCAAACAAAAGCACAGTATACCAAAAGTGATTACGTGCAGCAAAACAGGTGCTGAGAGGGGATCTATAGCTGTAAACACCTACGTTAATAAAGAAGAAGCACAAACTAGACCCAGACGTAGCTGAAGGAAGGAAACAGATCAGAGTAGAGACAAATGAAATAAAGATGAGAAAAAACAATAGAATCAATGAACACAAAAGTTGTTGTTTCTTTAAAAAAGATGAATAAAATGACGACAAACTTTTATCTTAAAAAAAATCAGAGCTTAATAGAGGGACATAACTGCTGACTTTACAGATACAAAGAGATTATAATGGGATGCTGTGAACAACTGTAGGCTGACAAATTAGATGAAAAACACATAGAAAGACATAAATTACAAAACTAATTCAAGAAAATATAGAAAATCTGAACAGAACTAACTACAGTCAGCGTTTTTAAATACTGGTTCAATCTGCTCACGACAACAAAAATTATCAGATTGATGGCTTTGTTGGTGAAATTCTACCAAACATTTATTAAAACCAATTCCCAAAATTTTTCAAAAAATAGAAGAAAAGGGAATACGTCCTATGACGCCAGCATTAGCCTGCTACTAAAGCCAGGGGATGGGAGGGAGGAATAAACATCACAAGCAAGAAAATAAATATATATATATATGCACAAATTCCATCACACATAATAGCAAGTCAAATCAGAGCATATTGAAAGTATTATACATGATGACCAAATGTGATTTATCCCAGGAATTCAAGGGTAGGTCTGTATATGATAATTTAATATAACACATTAATAGAAAAAGATAAAATGATTACAGGATTATTGCCTTTGATCTAGAAAAAGCGTGACAAAAATCTAACATCCATTCATGATAAAAAAAAAAATATACAAAAATTGAAAGCGAATTCTTCCATATGACAAAGAGTATATATGAAAAGCCAACAGCTAACATCATAGTGGGAGAAGACCAGAAGTTTTTAGTACTAAAATCAGAAACAAGACAAGGATGCCGATTTTCATGACTTCTGCTTGACATCATACAGGATGTTCTAGCCAGGGCATTTAGGCAAGAAAAGGAATTAAAAGGCAATCAAATTGGAAGGAAAGAACTACCTCTACTTGCAGATGACAATATCCTAAATGTAGAGAATGTCAAAGAATATACACATATATACAATACACGCACATAAATTCACAAACTAGTAAAGCTAATAAATTAATTTAGAAAACCTGAAAGGTACAAAGCCAAGACATAAAAATCATTTGCGATTCTATACATAAGCAATGAACAATCCAAAGGATGAAATTAAGAAAATTTCTTTTTTTTTTTTCTTTTTTTCATTTTATTCCAAGATGCATCCCAAGCACCTAAAGCACTGCCTGGCACATATGGACATATAATAAGTAAGTGTTTGTTGAATGAATAAGTGATGGGCATTTGGGTCATTTCCAGCTTTTCATTTTTTGCAACAATGCTTAAAAGAATATTTTTGCAAAGGAACAGCTTTGCTTGTCCTAATGTGTTTGTTTCCTTTCTATTCAAAGTATTATCCAAAAGAATAACTAGACATAAATTTTACCATTGAGAGGAAAGGTTTATACACTGAAGACTACAAAACATTCCTGAAATAAATAAATACATGAAAAATACATTCTGTGTTCATAAATTGAAATAGTTAATATTATTAAAATAGCTAGACTTCCCAGTGATCTACCAATTTATGCAGGCCCTATGAAAATCACAATGGCCTTTTTCCTCCCAAAAGGGGAAGTTAATGTTCACATTCATATGAAGTCGCAAAGTCTCCCAAATAGCTAAAAACATGTCTTGAAAAAAGAACAAATTTGAAGAACTTACATTATTTTTTTCAAAACTTACCAAAAAGCTACTGTAATCAAAAGATTGTGGTACTGGCATAAAGATGGACATAAACATGGAATCAAATTGAGTGTCCAGAAAAAAAAAATCATATTTATGGTCATTTAATATTTGGCAAAGTTGCCAAGACTATTCACGGAGAGACAGAATGGTCTTCTCAGAAAATGGTATTGTGACAACTGGGTATCCAACATGTAAAATAATGATGTCGGACTACATCACACCATATGTAAAAGTTACGCAACATGGATTAATCACCTAGATATAATATCTCAAAGTAAAACTATTAAAGTCTTAGATAAAACACAGGAGTCACTTCATGACCTTGGATTTGGCAATGATTCTTATATGTGAAACCAAAAGCCTGGGCAACAAAAGGAAAATAAATTATACTTCCTCCAAATTTTTTTTAATGTGCATCAAAGAACATTATCACGAAAGTAAAAAGATAACTTACAAAATAGAAATATTTTCAAATCTTACATCTGATAAGGGTCTAATATCTAGGACATATAAAGAACTCCTATAACTAAATAATACAAAGACAAAAAATTCTATTAAAAGTGGGAAAAGGGATTGAACAGCTATGTCTCCAAAGAAGATATATAAATGGACAAGCACATAAGCAAAGATACTCAACATCATTAGTTATTAGTGATGCAAATCAAAACACAATGAAGTACCATTTTATATGCACTAGAATGGTAATTTTTTAAAAAAGGAAATTAACAAGCATTAGTGAGGATATAGGGCGATTGGAGCCCTAGTACCTTTCTAGTGAAGGTATAAAATGCTTCAGCTGCTGTGGAAAATAGCTTGGAGATTCTTCAAAAACTTAAATGTAGGTCGGTCATCAGCAAGATGGTCGAAGAGGACTCCCCACAAGTCATGCCCCTGCAGAAACATCAATTTGAACAACTACTATGAATGCAAATACCTTCACAAGAGCTATGGAATTCAGATGGGAGATTACAGCACCTGCTGTAACACGGAACTGAGAACAGATGCATTGAAGAGGGTAGGAACGGCTGTTTTACAGTACTCACATCATCCCTCTTCCAGCCCCAGGCAACACAGTGTGAAGAGAGATACCCTCTGAATTGAGAACAGGAGGAAAAATGAGCCCAGATTTCACCTCAGACCCTGAAACTGGACCCACCCCAGTAAAAGACAGTGGTGGATAGTCGCCCATGGCCCCAGCCTGTAAACTAAGTGTCCAAGCCCAACAAAGCACCAAGGATTCCACAGCCTCAGCCTCCAGGCTTGTGTAGCCACCCCACTGGCAGGTCAATCCCAGTGGCCCTAGGCTCCAGACTGCCCCAGAACAGGCTGGCCCTGCAGCCATAGGCTTCAAGCCTAGCTCAGCATTAGGTAGAGCCCCACGGCAACTGTAGTCATCAGGTTAGGACACATGGACTCCGCCTCCAGACCTCTCCAGACCAGGACAACACCTGGGACCCCAGACTCCAGTGTGGGACCTGCATACTGAGTTGCCACGCATGTCTCAGCTCCAGGCAGAATCCTACAGCTCAGGCTCCAGGCCTGCCAAGTAGACATGGTCTCCAGGTCTTTACCAGTTGGCACTGGGGTTGGCACTGACTCCAGTGGCCCCAGGGTTCAGACTGCCTTAAGAACTGGGAATAGCACCTCAGCCCCAGACTTTAGGGCCATCCTAGCATTAAGTTGGCAACCTCATACCTAGTCATCAAGGTGGCAACTTCAGACTCATCTTCCTCTCTCATCTCTTTGAATTCAGGATCTAAACTCACCAAGCAAGGACAGCCCTTGTGGCCTCAGGCTCCACATCATCCTAGTACCAGATTAGCATCCCTGGTATAAAATACCATGTAGACATCCCTGAACACAAGCTTCAGGCTTGCCCAGTGTTGATCCAATTCCCATGGATCATGGCTTCACCCTTCAGCTGGCTCCAGTAACCCAGGCTCTAGCAGACCCAGGATAAATCAGGTCGGTCTCTATGACTCATAGCCAGCCCCTGAGATCCTAAGCTCCAGACTGTGGACCCAGGCTTTATGCCGGCCCCAGCACCTGGATGGCCCTAGGCCCCAGGCCTGTCCCCGTAGACCAAGCTCCAGAGGACCCAGATCCAGGACCGCTCCAGCAGAATAATGCTTCAAGTCCCATTCCAGGGGACCCAGGTGCCAGGCCCACTCCAGTGCCAGGTCAGCTCCTGTGAACCCTGGTTTCGGGCTGACCCCCAGGGGTCGAAGCTCCAGGCCTAAAACATAGCTTATAACCTGAGAAAGATTAACATGTCCAAGTAGGGAAAAAGAGCTATAACCCAACTATATGATTGTGTGAATGTTACCTGAAAATGTGACTCTATAAATCAGTAGATAAATGCACACTGGTGAGATTATTTTGAACTTTGAGATTTAATTTCTTTAGTGCTGGCTTAAAAATGTTAATTGACGTTCTATTTGTATTTTACTATAATATTTCATGAATTACATGTAAGCCACTTGAAATCCTTTGTGAATGAAGGCAGAAGAATAAAATATTATGATTGACAACCTAGAAGAAATGGAAGCTATTATCAATAAATGGCTTTCTCAGACATTCATGACCATCTTTTCAAAAAAAATTTGTCGTTTGTGATTGACTGAAGGTAAGTTATCAGTTTAAAATACACTGTTATCACTTTAAGATGTTTTATGCAATTGCAATGGTGACCACAAGAAAATATCTGTAGAATAAACACAAAGATAAACGAGAAGGGAATCAAAACATGTTACTACGAAAGTTGGGCCGGGCGCGGTGGCTCATGCCTGTAATCTCAGCACTTTGGGAGGCTGAGGCTGGTGGATCACTTGAGGTCGGGAGTTCAAGACCAGCCTGACCAACATGGAGAAACCCCATCTCTACTAAAAATACAAAAAATTAGTCGGGCACGGTGGTGCATGCCTGTAATCCCCGCTACTTGGGAGACTGAGACAGGAGAATTGCTTGAACCCGGGAGGTGGAGATTGCGGTGAGCCGAGATTGCACCATTGCACTCCAGCCTGGGCAACAAGAGTGAAACTCCATCTCAAAAAAACAAAACAAAACAAAAAAATGTCACTACGAAAGTCAACACAGGCAACAAGAAGAAAGGAGGAACAAATAAAGCTACAAAACACACTGAATAAAGTTAACTCATAGGCCAGAAATTACTACTACCCTTTTGTTATTACCTTACCTGTCCTTTTGTAAATGGCTTATTTCACTTAGCATAACATCCTTGAGGTTCATTCACATTGTAGTATGTGACAGGGTTTCCTTCCTTTTTTAAGGCTCCATAATATTCTATCACATGTACATAACACAGTGTCTTTATCCACTTATTTGTTGATCAACATTTGGGTTGCTTTTACCTCTTAGTTCTTGTGAATAATGTTGCAGCAAACATGAGTATGAAAATATTTTTTCTAGATCATGCTTTTAATTTGTGTATATACCAAGAAGTGGGATTGCTAGATAATATGGTAATTCTATATTTAATTTTTTAAGGAACCTCATTGTTGTTTTCTAAAATGGCTGCACCATTTTGCATTTCCACCAACAGTGCACAAAAATTACAATTTTCCACACCAATACTTTTTATTTTCTGTTGTTTTGATAGTGGCCATCCTAATGGAGCTGAAGCTATGAAATCTCATTGTGGTTTTTATTTGCTTTTACTTTATGATGAGTGATGTTGAACATTTTTTCATATGCTTGTTGGTCATATGTATATCTTCATTGGGCAACTGTGTATTGAAGTCTTTTCATCATTTTTTAATTGGGTTATTTTTGTTGTTGTTGCTGCTGTTGAGTTGTAGAAGCTACTCACATACTCTTAATATTGATCCTTTATCATACACAGGATTTGCAAATATTTTCTCCCATTCCATAGATTGCCTTTTCACTTTATTTACTACTTCGTGTGATAGAATTTTTAAGTTTGATGTAGTCTTATTTGTCTACTTTTGTTTTGGCTGCCTGTGCTTTTCATACCCTACCCAAGAAATCATTGCCAAATCTAACAGTCTGATGTTTTCCCCTATGTTTTCTCCTAGGAGTTTGATAGTTTTTGGTCTTAAGTTTAGGTTTTTAATTCATTTTCAGTTAATTTTTGTATATGGTGTTAGGTAAGGGTCTAAATTTATTCTTTTTCATATGGAGATCCAATTTTCTCAAAACCATTTTTTTCACAGAAATACTGACAGTTCCCCATTATGTAGTCTTGGTCCCTTGTCAAAGATCCTTTGGCTATATATGTAAGGGTTTATTTCTAGGTGCTCTGTTTTGTTCCATTGACCTCTATATTGGTCTATATGCCAGTGACACACTATCTTGAGATCCATTGCTTATAGTATGTTTTGAAATTAGGAAATGTAAGAAGTCCGTATTTTTTAGTACTATTTTGGCTATGTGGGATCTCTTAAAATTGAAATTTCCTGTAAGTGTTGGTGCTACTTTCTATTTCTTAAAAAAAATTGCCAGCTGCACATGGTGGTTCAAGCCCGCAATCCCAGCACTTTGGGAGGCTGAGGCAGGCAGATCATGAGGTCGAGACCATCCTGCCCAACATGGTGAAATCTCATCTCTACTAAAAATATAAAAATTAGCTGAGCATGGTGGTGTGTGCCTGTAGTCCCAGCTACTCAGGAGGCTGAGGCAAGAGAATCGCTTGAACCTGGGAGGTGGAGGTTGCAGTGAAGCGAGATCACGCCACTGCACTCCAGCCTGGTGACGGAGCGGGTCTCCATCAAAAAAAGAAAAAAAAATTGCCATTGAGATTTTGATAGCAATTGCATCTGTAGATAACTAGGTAGTACAGACATTTTAACAATATAAAGTCTTCTAATCTATAAACACAGAATGGCTTTCTACTTATGTGTATTTTTGGTTTCTTTTAGCAATGTATTTTAATAGGATTTTTAACCAAATTTGAGTATTTATTTATAGTAATTACTGATAGTCAAGGACTGTTGTCATTTTGTTAATTGTTTTCTGTATGTTTTGTCGCTTTTTTGTGCCTCCTTTCTCACTGCCTTCTTTTATGTTTTGTTGATTTTTTTTGTAATGATGTGTTTTGATTCCTTTATCACTTCTCTTTGTGTTTATTCTATATATATTTTCTTTTTGGTCACAATTACAATAGCATAAAACTTCTTAACGTTATAACAGCGTATTTTATACTGATAACTTTTTTTTCTAAACATAACAATAATGGATGACTGACAAAGCCATTTATTGACAGTTTCCATTCCTTCCAGGTTGTCAGTCATCTCCTTACCTCTTTTTTCCCTGTTTAGTTCACAGAGGATTTGAGGTAAGTTACAGGTAATACACTGACTATTATAGTAAAATATAAATAGAACATCAATTAACAATTTTTTAAAACGTGGTGGTGCACGCCTGTAGTCCAAGCTACCAGCAACCAGTTAAACATTACTAGAGAGGTTAAATCTCAACAAGGGTCAAAACAGTTTTAGCACTGTGTGTTTATCTACTGATCTATGTAACCACACAGGTTTTTAGGCAACATTCACCCAATTATAAGATCGGATTATAGCTCTTTTTCTTCTACTTGGCTACTTTTATCTTCCCCAGATGTCAGATATATTTTTAGTCATTTGTTTATTCAACACATTAAAATAATTACGATATGCCAGGAACTGTGCTGGGGACTATAGATATAGTAGTAAGAGCAACAGTTGTCTCTTCTTTTATAAAGCTTAGATTGTATTGGAGCAGGAGAAGACAAAAACAAAATGAATACATTATTGAAAAAAAGAGGAATGTAATAAAAGGGTTATTTTAGACACAGTTCTTTTGGTAAGGTGGTAAAAGGGCTATTTTGGGGAAATATTTACTCTGAGACCTACGGAAACAGGTAAATATGCAGAGCAATAGTATGGGAGGCTTAGGGAATGCAAACTGCAAAGACCCTAAGACACCCAGAAAAAGAAATGTATCAAGGCCATTAAGCACAGAAAGACAAATATCACATGTTTTCACTCATATGTGGGAGCTAAAAATGTGGATCACATGAAGATAGAGAGTAGATGGGTGGTTACCAGAAGCCAGAAAGGGTAGTGGGGAGGGGGAGCGTTGAATAGAACATGAAGATAGTGAGTAGATGGGTAGTTACCAGAAGCCAGAAAGGGTAGTGGGGAGGGAAAATGTTGAATAGAAGTTGATTAAAGGTACAAATATATGGTTTGGCAGAAGAAATAAGACCTATTGTTAGATAAATTGAGTGACTACAGTTATCTATTGCAGATTTCAAAATAGCCAAAGAGGAATAATTTGAATCTTTCCAGCATAAAGATAAATGTTTAAGGTGATGATCTTTCACTAATATGATCTTTCAAATTATACAAATAAATTATTACATGTATCCAAAAACTATGTACATGTATTATGCATCCATAAAAATAAATTTAAAAAAGAGACAAAAGGGAGTTTTAGTGATTCTAGGTTATAGTAGGATATGAGAAAATGAAAAGGGAAAAATCAAAGAGATAGAGGGCGCCAGATTTATAGGGTCTTATGGGCCAAGGAATGTTTTGAAGTTTATAATAGTGATGAGAAACCTCAGACATATTTTATATAAGATAAAAATACCTAATTTCCTTTTGAAAACTATTACTATTGTGGCTGTGTGGGAACTGCAGAATGTTGAAGACCACTTTGATGAACATTGTAGTAGCCCAGGTTTGATATTTGAGAATTTTGTTTAACTCAAGGGAAATTCAAATGAAAGTTAATTTCATATTCTGTCTATCTGCACAGAAAAAATTACACATTGAATTTGTAGCTATAGGTAGTTGGTAATGAAATGCAGGTTGATTTGTTTCTTCTTTTTG
The DNA here is from genome assembly GCF_000001405.40 of Homo sapiens. NCBI lineage: Eukaryota > Metazoa > Chordata > Mammalia > Primates > Hominidae > Homo > Homo sapiens. Next base: position 116,229,612 of record NC_000002.12, read on the forward strand.
CTCCTGCATATTATAAAGATCTTGTAATGAGCATGTACCGTTTTTACAGTGAAAGAGTTATTTTCTCTATCAAGCCAGTAGAAAACAAAAAAGATCAGAAGCTGCTCTTCTTATTTCATACAAACCAATTTTAAAACAACAATGATCAGAAACGACAAAGAAGGACATTACCTAATGATGACAGGTTTTATTCAATAAGAAGCCTTAGCTATCCTAAATATATATATGTACCTAACACAAAGATTCATAAAACAAGTTCTCAGAAACCTGTGAACAGGCTTAGATAACCACACAATAATAGTGGGAGACCTCAACACCCCATGGACGTTATTTGACAGATCACTGAGGAAGAGAAAGAAGAAAATCTGAAACCTAAACTTAACATTTGACCAAGTGATCCTAACAGACATCTACAGAGCCCTCCACCCATCAACCACAAGTTGGTATTCTCATCTATACATGGCCCAGACTCTAAAATCAACAACATGCTCGGCCATAAGGCAATTCTCAACAAATTCAAAAGAACTGAAATCATACCGACCACACTCTCAGATCACAGAACAGTAAAAACACATGAATACCAAGAAGATCTCTCAGAACCATACAACTACGTAGAAATTAAGTGTGCTTGTCCTGAATGACTTTAGGGTAAATAATGAAATTAAGACAGAAATTAAAAGAAAAACATTTAAACTAATGAAAACAAAGATGCAACATAGCACAATCTCTGGAACACAGCTAAAGCAGTGTTAACAGGAAAGTTCATGGCACTAAAAGTCCACATCAAAAAGTTAGAAAGATCTCAAATTAACAATCTAACATTATATCTAGAAAACCTGGGGGGAAAAAGAGCAAACCAATCCCAAAGCTGGCAGGAGAAAATAAATAGCCAAAATCAGGGTTGAACTCGACAAAATTAAGAAATGAAAAAATCACACAAAGATCAATGAAACCAACAGTTGGTTCTTTTTTTGAGACAGTTTCGCTCTTGTTGCCCAGACTGGAGAACACTGGTGCAATCTTGGCTCATTGCAACCTCCTTCTCCCAGGTTCAAGCGATTCTCCTGCCTCAGCCTCCTGAGTAGCTGGGATTACAGGCACCTGCAACCACGCCTGGCTAATTGTTTTGTATTTTTAGTAGAGACAGGGTGTCACCATGTTGGCCAGGCTGGTCGCAGAATCCTGACCTCAGGTGATCCACCTGCCTCGGCCTCCCAAAGTACTGGGATTACAGGCATGACCCATTGCGCCTGGCCAAGTTGGTTCTTAAAGAAGATTGATGATAGACTGCTAGTGCGACTAATAAAGAAAAAAACATCCAAAGAAACACAATCATAAACGACAAAGGGGACATTACCACCAACTCTACATAAATATAAAAACCCTCAGATGCTATTATGAACAATTCTGTGCACACGAACTGGAAAACCTTGAAGAAATGGATGTATTCCTGGAAACATACACCCTCCCAAGAGGTAACCAGGAAGAAATTGAATCCCTGAATGGGCCAATAATGAGTTCCAAAATTGAATCAGTCAAAAAAAAAAAAAAAAAAAAAAAGCCTATCAACAAGAAAAAACCCTGGACCAGACAGATTCACAGCTACATTCTACTGGAATTTGGCCATAGTGCCAAAAACAATTTACAGATTTAATGCTATTCCTATCAAATGACCAATGGCATTTTTCATAGAATTAGAAAAAAAGATTCTGAAATTCATATAGTGCTAGGTGTGTGGTGGTTCACACCTGTAATCCCAGCACTTTGGAAAGCCAAGGTAGGAGGATAGCTTCAGCTCAGGAGTTTGAGACTAGCCTTGGCAGCATGGTGAAACTCAATATTTACAAAATTAAAAAAAATAGTTGAGTGTGGTAGCTTGCACCTGTAGTCCCATCTACTTGGGAGTCTGAAGTGGGAGGATTGCATGAACCTGATTTTGCCACTAGACAAAAGCCTGTGGTCTGTGTGACAGTGCAAGACACCATCTCAAAAAAATGAAATATAGAAATAAATCACGTGAAACCAAAACAGCCAAAGTAATACTAAGCAAAGAGGACAAAGCCAGAATCATCAAGCTACTCAACTTCAAACTATACTACAAGGCTACCATAACCCAAACAGCATGGTACTGGTACAAAAACAGACACATAGACGAATGGAACAGGTTAGGGAACCCAGAAATAAAGCTACACACTTACAACCCTCTGATATTTGACAAAGTCAACAAAGTCAAGCAATGGGAAAATGACTCCATATTCAATATATGTTGCTGGGATTACTGGCTAGCCAAATATATACAGGAAATTCAAACTGGACCCCTTTCTTTCACCATATACAAAAATCAACTTATGATAGGTTAAAGACTTAAATGCAAAACTGAAAACTATGAAAACCCTAGAGGAAAACTTAGAAAATACTATTGTGCACATAGGTCCCTGACAAAGATTTCATGATGAAGACTCCAAAAGCAATTGCAATAAAAACAAAAATTGATAAATGGGACCTAATTAAAGAGCTTCTGCACAGTGATATACATCATCAGAGTAAACAGACAATCTACAGAATGGGAAGAAAAAATTCACAAACTATACATCAAACAAAAGTCTGATATCCAGAATCTATTAGAAACAAACAAATTAACAAGCAAAACCAAACAACCCCATTAAAAAATGGGCAAAAGGTCATGAACATACACCTCTCAAAGATGACATACATCTTTTATTACATACATGCAGCCAGCTAGCATGTGAAAAAACATTCCACATCACTCATTACAGAAATGTAAATCAAAATAAAAATGAGATGACATCTCATACCAGTCAGAATAGATATTATTAAAAATTCAAAAAATACCAGATTCTGGCAAGGCTATGGAGAAACAGAAATGTTTTTACACTGTTAGTGGGAGTGTAAAATTAGTTCAACCATTGTGGAAGACAGTGTGGCGATTCCTCATTGCTGATATGGAGAAAGTCTTAGGGAACTGGATATAAAGGTCAAACCAGCCACAGCATTCCCTTAAGCCAAAGCCTAATTCAGAACGAGGCCCTAACTCTCTTGACTTCTATAAAAGTTCAGAGGTGAGAAAGCTGAAGAAGAAACTTAGAAGCTAGCAGAGGTTGGTTCATGCGGTGTAAAGAAAGAAGTCATCTCTATAACATTAAAGTACAAGATGAAGAAGCAAGTGCTAATGTAGAGGCTTCAGCAAGTTACGCAGAAGATCTAGCTGAGATCATCGATAAAGGTAGCTATACTAAGCAACAGATTTTCAATGCAGACAAAAAAGCCTTATATTTAAAAGTGATATCACCTAGGACTAACTAGAAGTGAAGAATTCAATGCTTGGCTTCAAAGCTTCAAAGGACAGTCTGACTCTGTAGTTAGGGATTAATGCAGTGAGTGACTAGAAGTTGAAGCCAGTGTTCATTTGCTATTCTGAAATGCCTAAGCCCTTTAATAGTTATGCTAAATCTACTCTGCTATGCTCTTGAAATGGAACGACAAAGCCTGAATGACAGGGAATCTGTCTATAGCATGGTTTGATTGCTTTAAGCACATTATTGAGACCTACTGCTCAAAAAATAAGATTCCTTTCAAATAATTTATCTGGTTACCCAAGAACTCTCAGGGAGGTATGCAAAGAGATTAATGTTGATTTCATGCCAATTAACAAAACATCCACTCTGGATCAAAAAGTAATTTCAATTTTCAAGTCTTCTTATTTAAGAAATGCATTTCATAAGCCTTTAGCTGCCATAGATGGTGATTTATTTAATGGATCTAGAAAAAGGAAATTGAAAACCTTCTGGAAAGAATTCACCATTGTAGGTGCCATTAAGATCATTCATGTTCCATGGGAGGTCAGAAGAGCACAGTTAAAAAGACAACAAATTATTCTGAATGTTACATAAACTTAGTTGATCAAGCAGTTGTAGGGTTGGAGATAATTGAATCCAATTTTGATAGAAGTTCTACTGTGGGTAAATGCTATCAAACAGAATTGCATGCTATAGAGAAATCTCTCATGAAACGGTCAGTTGATGTGGCAAAATTCCATTTTTTCTTATTTTAAGAAATTGCCACAGCTATCTGAATCTTCAGAAACTATCACCATGATCAACACAGTCAGCAACCACCAGTATCGATGCAAGACCCTCCACCAGCAAAAAGATTATAGCTCACTGAAGGCTCAGATTATTATTAGCATTTTTAGCAACAAAGAATTTTTAATTCAGGTATATACATTGTTTTATTAAAAACACAATACTATTGCACACTTAATGGACTATATTATAGTGTAAAGACTATATTATAGTGTAAAGGTAATATTTATATGCACTAGGAAATCAAAAATGTGTGTAACTTGCTTTATTGCAGGGGTCTGGAACTGAACCTGTAATATATTTGAGGTATTACTGCATTCAAGACTTAAGCAAAAAGAGCAGCATTAAGAAAAAGTTTACAGAAATATAAACTACCATCAGAGAATACTATAAACACTTCTATGCAAATAAAGTAGAAGAAATAGACAAATTCCTGGACACATACACCCTCCCAAGTCTAAACCGGAAGAAGTTGAAACCCTGAATAGACCAATAATAAGTTCTGAAATTGAGGCAATAATTAATAGCCTACCAACCAAAAAAAGTCCAGGACCAGAAGGATTCACAGACAAATTCTACCAGAGGTACAAAGAGGAGCTGGTACCATTCCTAACAATAGTAGAGTATTATAAATCACTCTACTATAAAGACACATGCACGCGTATGTTTATTGCAGCACTATTCACAATAGAAAAAGAAGGAACCCTCCCTAACTCATTTTATGAGGCCAGCATCATCCTGATACAAAAGCCTAGCAGAGACACGACAAAAAAAGAAAATTTCAGGCCAATATCCCTGAAGATCAATGCGAAATCCTCAATAAAATATTGGCAAAACAAATCCAGCAGCACAACAAAAAGCTTATCCACCATGATCAAGTTGGCTTCATCCCTGGGATGCAAGGCTGGTTCAGCAAATGCAAATCAATAAATGTACTCCGTCACAGAAATTGAACCAATGACAAAAAACATATGATTATCTCAATAGATGCAGAAAAGGCCTTTGACAAAATTCAACAACTCTTCATGCTAAAAAACTCTCAATAAACTAGGTATTGATGGAACGTATCTCAAAATATTAAGAGCTATTTATGACAAACCCTCAGCCAATATCGTACTGAATGGGCAAAAACTGGAAGCATTCCTGTTGAAAACCAGTATAAGACAAGTATGCCCTCTCTCACCACTCCTATTCAACATAGTATTGGAAGTTCTGGCCAGGGCAATCAGGCAAGAGAAAGAAAGGGTACTCAAATAAGAAAAGAGGAAGTCAAATTGTCTCTGTTTGCAGAAGACATGATTGTATATTTGAAAAACCACATCATCTCAGCCCAAAATCTCCTTAAGCTGATAAGTAAATTCAGCAAAGTCTCAGGATACAAAATCAATGTGCAAAAATCACAAGCATTCTTATACACCAATAATAGACAAACAGAAAGCCAAATCATGAGTTAACTCCCATTCACAATTGCTACAAAGAGAATTAAATACCTAGGAATATAACTTACAAGGGATGTGAAGGACCTCTTCAAGGAGAACTACAAACCACTGCTCAAGGAAATAAGAGAGGACACAAACAAATGGAAAAACATTCTATGCTCATGAATAGGAAGAATCAATATCGTGAAAATGTCCATACTGCCCAAAGTAATTTATAGATTCAATGCTATCCCCATCAAGCTACCATTGACTCTCTTCACAGAATTAGAAAAAACTACTTTAAATTTCATATGGAACTAAAAAAGAGCCTGCATAGCCAAGACAATCCTAAGCAACAAGAACAAACCTGGAGCATCACACTACCTGACTTCAAACTGTACAACAAGGCTACAGCAACCAAAACAGCACGGTACTGGTACCAAAACAGAGATATAGACCAATGGAACAGAACAGAGTCCTCAGAAATAACACCACACATCTACAACCATCTGATCTTTGACAAACCTGACAAAAACAAGCAATGGGGAAAGGATTCTCTATTTAATAAATGGTGTTGGGAAAACTGGCTACCCATATGCAGAAAACTGAAACTGGACCCCTTCCTCACACCTTATACAAACCCTAGGCAATAAAATTCAGGATTTAGTCATGAAGTCTTTGCCCATGCTTATAACACCAAAAGCAATGGCAAGAAAAGCCAAAATAGACAAATGAGATCTAACTAAACTAAAGAGCTTCTGCACAGCAAAAGAAACTATCATCAGAGTGAATAGGCAACCTACAGAATGGGAGAAAATTTTTTAAATCTATCCATCTGACAAAGGGCCAATATCCAGCATCTACAAAGAACTTAAACAAATTTACAAGAAAAAAAAAATCAAAAAGTGGGTGAAGGATATGAACAGACACTTCGCAAAAGGAGACATTTATGCAGCCAATAAGCCTATGAAAAAAAGCTTATCACTGGTCATTAGAGAAATGCAAATCAAAACCACAATGAGATACTACTTCATGCCAGTTAGAATGGTGATCATTAAAAAGTCAGGAAAACAACAGATGCTGGAGAGGATGTGGAGGAATAGGAACACTTTTACACTGTTGGTAGGAGTGTAAATTAGTTCAACCATTGTGGAAGACAGTGTGGCGATTCCTCAAGGATCTAGAACCAGAAATACCATTTGACCCAGGAATCTCATTACTGGGTATATACCCAAAGGATTATAAATCACTCTACTCTAAAGACACATGCACACGTATGTTTATTGCAGCACTATTCACAATAGCAAAGACTTGGAACCAACCCAAATGCCCATCAATGATAAACTGGATAAAGAAACTGTGGCATATATACACCATGGAATACTATGCAACCATAAAAAAGGATGAGTTCATGTCCTTTGCAGGGACATGGATGAAGCTGGAAACCAACATTCTCAGCAAACTAACACAAGAACAGAAAACCAAACGCTACGTGTTCTCACTCATAAGTGAGAGTTGAACAATGGGAACACATGAGCGCAGGGAGAGGAACATCACAAACCAAGGCCTGTCCGGGGGGATGGGGGAGCTAGGGGAGGGTACCATTAGGAGAAATACCTAATACAGATGACAGGTTGATGGGTGCAGCAAACCACCATGGTACATGCATACCTTTGTAACAACCCTGCACTTTCTGCACATGTACCCCAGAACTTAAAGTATAATAAAAAAAAAAAAGAGAATATCCTTAGCACCCCAGATGGCTACTTTGTGACCTTTCCCAGGATATTTAAAAAAAAAAAAAAAAGGTTTAAGGATGAGGGAATGGTGTAGGTTAGCTTACTAAAGGAACAGATGATGGAAAGCAAATTAACAACCAGTTTTATTCCATTAGAAAGTAACTCTGAAACATAAAAGTGTATAGTATTGCCATATTTTATTCCAGAGCAAATTTTATGATCACTCTACCATTTGGAAGTCAAGGATATATAGGGCCCAAGATTCAAAGTGCAGAGCTGAACATGGAAAAGGAATAACTCAATGAATAAAAACTGTAATTTTAGCATGTAGGATAAACATTTCAGCAAGCAAATATTGTTCTAAGGAGCAAGAAATATATTGCAGCAAGTGGAATCTTCTCAAATGCCATCCAAGTAGTTGTGCATTGGAAAAGAACAAGCTTGAATTCTATGTAATTTGAAAAAGCACAAACAGTTTTATAATATTGCCTGAATTACTGCAGTCAGATGGGAACCTCCTTCAGAAATTGATGACAATATAAACATATCCATCTCTGTCCCCTATGATGCAGTAGGTAAAAATATTGTGAATATCAAGATCATTAATAATAATTTTCAAGTTATTGGAATGCAGAAAAGATGACACAATTCAGCTTTGCCACGATATAAAATATGAAAAATTGGGACACAGAATCGATAGAAAAGGATGCCCTATCAGATATTATTGCTGCCAACGAAATGATATTCAGTTAGATTTGAAAGTATTAGGTGATAATAGAATCAGATAAATGTCATAAAATGGTCAACTTCCATTATCTGTCAGTGGAGGAAATGGTGATGCAAATAACTGGAATAAAACAAATTTCTAACCGCTCTGCCTGTGCGTATTCTGCATTTAGCCACCAAGGATTCATACAAAGGTATATAAGAGGAAAAACAGCAGAGTTTATAATGTTAAACAATGCCATTTACTCAGCCTTTTTTTTTGCAAGAAGTTAATGAGCCAAATATATAGTTTTATTCTTTTAAAAGAGCTAGATTTTAATTTGAAGTTTGTTGATTACTATAGGGTTTTTGTAGTAATAGATATGAAAATACATGTGTACTGTTGGTGACTTATTTGAACCAGTTTATCTTATTCCATACGTCATTATACATTTGATTTGAGGCAATATGCAGAATAAATTCAAGTGTGCAATAATTGGTCAAGTGCGATAGGAACAATTTTACTGGTAAACTATAAAAAAGAGTCAAAATAATGGTGATAAGAATAAGATTTTTCTATGAGATGGGGCCTTCTTTGTGCCAACCAACATTGTAGTAGGTCTATGTATATATTATCTCACTTAATTTTTAGAACAATCATGTCTACTTTGTGTGCTAGCTTCAATTTGCAGATGAGGAGATGGAAGCCTAGCGAAAATAAGTATCATGTGCAAAACTGAATAGTTGGAAAAAACTAATACTGATATAAAACAGGATTTTTACCCACTACAGAATATCCAGCGTCAAAATACCACAAATATTTATCTATTGAGGTGAATAAAACAAAATAATAATTTCAAAAGAAAAGATAAGCATCACTGAAGAAGTAAAAAAAAATTGGAAAACATATGTTACTGGCATGGGTAAATTTTAATATATTCTTGGCATTTTCTACATAAATTGATAAAAATCTAACAACTCTGATATTTTTATATGGTATAGACTTCAATAGTATTCAATGTAAATATCTAACAACTCTGATATTTATGGCATAGACTTCAATAGTATTCAATGTAAACAATTTTAAAGGAAAAGAAGCAAATTTGATAAATTAGGTGTTTAAAAATGTGTTCCCAGATTTATTGGGTGACATATTAATATTTTTGGACTATGGTTAACTGCTGATATCTGAAACCATAGAAAGCAAAACTGCCAGTAAGTGGGGACTAATGAACTTAAGTCAGAGTTTTATAAACATGAACTTTGTATTGAAATAATGTAGCTGAGTGAAAGATTTTTTTCACAGTCTTTTTGCTATTAATTTTCTTCCTTGCTATATAAGACAATGTGGATATTCTTCTCTGTTTAGATAAGTCAATAAATTATAAGCCTATAAACAAACAGGTATCCATATATTGGACCCAAATTGTAAAATTTCATCTCTTTCCCTTACCCCACCCTGTGTGTGTATACACACACACACACACACACACACACACACATACTTATTTACATACATACACTTATATGTATACATATGTATTTTTATTTTTTTTTTTTTGGTTCACGTAACATGCTTAGAGCTTAACATAAAATTGCTTAATTTCTCTTTAAAACTTGTTCATAAGTTTAATTGGCTAACATGCTCTATCTGGAACACTGGTAAATGGCATAAGGATATATTACTGTTACATGTGTTTAGAGCAATAAAATAAATCTGCTCTAAGTTACTATTGAGATACTATTAACAAGTTAGGCTAGGGCCAAATTATGAGGAATGTGAAATCTATGATTGAAAATTATGTAGAATGTTCTGCAGGCAAGTGGGATCCATGCAAAGGTTATGAGGAAAGTTCTGACATAATGAATTTTGTTATATTTATGTGTTTTATCTTATGATGAAGATTACAACAAGTGAAACAGGTGTAATAGTCTGACAACCTAGGCTTTAATGCTGCTCCCAGAAATGTGTCATGTTCCTGGATCTTTTTTTTTTCTTTACTGGGGAGGAGCTATGGAAGGATGATGCTCAAATTAGAAATAAGAAACAATTATACTTCCTTAAGCAACATTGATATGAGGGATGTGGTTATAAAAATAATCAGTGTTGGAGAAGCCTTCAGTAAAAACTATCCTCATGATAGAAACAGTTTTTATGTACAAGAAGGGGAGGAGAAGTTTCAAAGTTAAATTTAAGGACATTTTCTATTGTGAGATGATATATTCAAGAACGTTCAGGGAAAAGGTTTGGATAGATGGGATGAGGTGAAAGTGTATGTGTGTGTGTATATATATAAATGTATGAGAATATATTAGGAAATACAGAAAGTCATACTTTCCATAAACAAGAAAAGATGTAACACATCTTGACTTGTTTTTTGAGGCCAGTGTAACATTAAACCAAAACCAGTTAAGTATAAGAAAAACAATGAAAAAAATCCCATTAACATATGTGTAAAAATGTTTAACAAAAGTATTATCAAATGAATGACAGTGGAAATCTGTATTAAAATGATTCTTCAGCATGACAAAGTGGTTGGTTTAACTTTAAAAAATGAACATCATCACATTAGCAGATTTTAGAAGAAAATTTATATGATTATCTTAGAAGTTGTAGAGAAATGGATTTGACAAAATTTATCACCTACTCATGACAAAACTCTCAGCAAACTGAAATAGAAAATATCCTTATAAGGAATAATTGCAAAAACATCCATAGCTAACATCACATGATGTGTTGTAAAATGTAATGCTTTGTCTTTGAAGTTGGAAATAAGATAAATATATTTGTTTCTACTACTTCTATTTAATATTTTACTGGAAGTGAGTTCAATAGAGAAAATTGTAATGGAGAAAATAAAAATGTTTTCTCACAGATACCATGATTGGGTAAGTAGAAAATCCAGAATAATGTACAAAGTAATTCATAGAACCAATAAGAAAGTTTAGTAAGTTTGTGGCATACTAAATCAGTACCCCCAAATTTATTCTATTACTGTATTCCCATTAGAAAACATAGGGAAATGAAATTTTAAAACATTACAACATTATAATGTTATAGCCAACATTTATAACATTAAAGAAAAAAATAAATAACTACTCATATATTTAATAAAGTGGTTGCTGAACGTTTTTTTGTTTTTTTACCATGAACATGCCTTAAGGTGAATGCACAGCGAGGACAGCAAATGAGCACAAAGTGAGACATGGCTATCAAGTTTGATGGATACAAAATTAATATACAAAAATCAATTATGTTTTCATATAATTGCAATGAACAATACAAAATAAAACTTTTAAAATCCATTTTTTTTCTTTTCTTCTTTTGAGACGGAGTCTTACTCTGTCTCCTAGGGTGAAGTGCAGTGGCGCGATCTCAGCTCACTACAATTTCTGCCCCCTGGGTTCATGTGATTCTCCTGCCTCAGCCTCCCAAGTAGCTGGGACTACAGGCATGCACCACCATGCCTGGCTAATTTTTTTTTGTAGTTTTCGTAGAGACGGGGTTTCACCATGTTAGCCAGGATGGTCTTGATCTTCTGACCTCGTGATCTGCCCGCCTCGGCCTCCCAGAGTGCTGGGATTACAGGCATGTGCCACCACACCCAGCCTTTAAAATCCATTTTCAATAATATCAAAGAGAATAAAACACTTTTGAAAAATAAATTTAACAAAGGAAGTGTAAGTGCATACCATGAAAACTAAAAAACCAAGTTGGGGGCATGTAGGTACCCATTTTAAAAGTACTACCAGGCAACAATAATCAATAGGGTGTGGTACAAGCACAAGGATAGACATACAGATCAATGAAATAGAATTGAGAGTCCAGAAATAAGCCCATATTTTGATGATCAACTAAGACAATTTAATGGGAAAAAAGAGCCTTTCCAATTAATGGGCCTGGGACAACTAGATAGCCATATGCCGAAGACAAAAGTCAGGCTCTTACTTTACACCGTGTCTAAAAATTTACTCCAAGTGGATCAAAGACCTAAATGTATAAGCTATAAAATTACTGGAAGAAAACAAAAGTATAAGCTATACTTATAATTTATACTTCTAGCAAGTTTGTGGCATACTAAATCAGTACCCCCAAATTTATTCTATTACTGTATTGCCATTAGAAAACATAGGGAAATGAAATTTTAAAAGTATAAACTATAAAATTACCTAAAAGTATGAACTATAAAATTATTAGCAGAAACAAAAAAGTTCATTACTTCAGAATTGGAAATGGATTCTTATATATGACCCCAAAAAAGCACAAGCAATAAAATTTTTAAAAATAGATAAATTGGACTTCATAGTTTTTTAATGGAGGTTTTATAGGACACTATCATGAATGGAAGAAAATGTTTGTAAGCCAGAACTACTGCAGCAAACTAGTATGTATGGTAACTTTACTAATGCTTTATTTAAAATTTGCTAAATGAAAGGCTGCATTTCCCATAGCAGCCTCCAAGATGGTTCCCAGTGATCCCTACCTGGCTCCTGGTATTCACACTCCTGTCCCTCAAAGCATCAGAATCGATCTGTGCAACCAATAGTATATGGCAGAAGTCTTGGTGTGTCACTTCCAGGATTAGGTTATATAAGATACTGGTGCTTCCATCATTGTTACTATGTCAGAGGTCTCTAAAACTGGCTCCAGATTTGCTTATTCAGTAGAAGAACTCACAGGACTCAGTATACAGTTGTATTTATGGCTAAGATTTATCAAAGCAAAATAACACGCAGCAAAATTAGTAAAGAAAAAAAGGCCATGGGATGAAGGCTTAAAGAAACCAGGTGCAAATTTTCAAGAGTTGTCTCCTAGTAGAGTCACACAGGACATACTTACTTCTTCCTGCAATGAACTGTGACAACACATGAGTGTTCACTACGAGGAAAGATTCAGTATGTAAGGTTTTCATTGTAGGCTGGGGACACAGGCAGTCTCTAACTAACACCTAAATTCCAGATATCCAGAAGGAAAGCAGGTGTTCAGCATAAACCATACTGTTTACACAAACAGTTTTAGGCACAATAAGCTACCGGTACTTATCATTTTCTCTTTCTTTATTTTCCTTTTGGGAAACACTCTTCTAAGTTTCTCACTTCATTTGGTTCTAGAGGTGCTGATCCTATCCCCTGGCTCTAGGGCATATGACCAAGGTGGGCCAGCTACGGCCATACCACCCTGAACGTGCCCGATCTGGTCTAGTACTTATCATTTATGTAAAAAGTCATCGTAGTATAGAGAACTGATTAGCAGTCACATTTCCAAATGCCAGCCATGGACCAAAACTTCCAGGCAGGCCTTTCTAAGGATTGCAGTCTTAGAACTGCTATGTTAAATCTTCTGCAAAGTCATCCTTTCTCTTCAATCAATCACTTGAGGGGAAGCCAGCTGTCATGTTGTACGCAGAGCTATGTCCTGCCTATGGTGAGAAACAGATGTCTGCCAACAACTGTGTGTGAGTTTGGAAGTGGATTAGTAAAGTTATAGATGAAGGCAACCTTGGCTGACAGCTGGACTGCACCCTCATGAGATACTGTGCCAGATCGACCCAGCTAAGCTTCGTCTAGATTCCTGACCATCAGAAAATATATGTGATAGTGAATAGTTTTGTTTTAAGCTGCTAAGTTTTTGCATAAATTATTATATAGTGTTGAGAGATTAATAATTTCCCCACTCAAAGATGTCCACATTCTAATCTCTGGAATCTTTGAATACGTTACTTCATGCGGAATTTGCAGATGCAATAAAGATTTTTTTTTTTTTTTTTTTTTAGATGGAGTTTCGCTCTTGTTGCCCAGGCTGGAGTGCCATGGCGTGATCTTGGCTCACTGCCACCTCTGCCTCCAGGGTTCAGAAGATTCTTCTGCCTCAGCCTCCTAAGTAGCTGGGATTACAGGTTCCCATCACCATGCCCAGCTAGTTTTCTAAATTTTTAGTAGAGATGGGGTTTCACCATGTTGGCCAGGCTGGTCTCAAACTCCCGACCTCAAGTGATCCATCGGCCTCCTAAAGTGCTGGGATTATAGGCGAAGTTAAAGATTGTAAATGGGGAGACAATCCTGGATTATATGCGTGAGTTCAATATAATCACAAAGATCTTTATACTAGGGAAGGAGGCAGAGTAGTAGGAGACTTGATTATACAAGAAGTGTTAGGATAAGGAAGCGAGAGAAGGACTTGACTGGCTATTATCACCTTTGAAGATGGAGGAAGCCCCATGGACCAGGAGATGTGGGCAGCCTCTAGGAACTTAAAAAGGCAAAGAAATGGATTATCCCCTGGAATCTCTAGAAGGAATGGAGGCCTGCAAACACCTGGATTTTAGGTGAGTGAAAATGATATTGGACTTTGGCCCCTCACTGCTGTAAGATAATTTGTTGCTGTTCTTTTAAGCTACTATGTTTGGGGAAATATGTTACAACGACAATAGGAACTAATACGTGTAGCAGTAAATAAAGAATACTTGAGGATATATCATTGCACAAAACCTATTGCTCTCAAGGAATTTACATTCTAATGGGAGAAAAAGGTATATATATGAGAAAATATATATCAAATGATTATTAGTCCTACAAAGAAAAGTAAAGCAGGGTGAGGAGAATAGAGCAGGCCTGATACAAGTTGTTGAGAAAAAGCCTACTTTACCAGAGGATGCATAAGTTAAAAACTGAAGGAAGTGAGAAAACAAGTCTTTTGTGTCTCTGGAATAAGAATGATTCAAGCAGAGGGGGACAAGCTCAAATACTCTGAGATGCAAGCAGGTTGGATGTGTTCTAGGAACATCTGAGGGGGACAGTGTGGCTGGACCTCATGGGTAAGCAAGATGGAATATGGCACAAGAGCACTAAACCCTATATGGACTGTGCATAAAGTTCTTTCACTTTCTTCACTACTGCACTGATAAGAGATTCATTCTTACCAGAGATCTTGGCAACCTCAGCATATGATTTTTGTCCTTCCTTGTTGAGTCAAGAACTTGTGCCTTTTCACTTGAAGAAAGCACTTTTGGCTTTTCTTTGTTATATCTGAATTTTCAGCATCACTACTCTTGTGCTTTGAGGCCATTATTAAGTAAAATAAAGAACCCTTATTTTATTTAATATCTGCACCAAGATACTGTGACAGTTGATCACCCAGAAGACTACTGACCAATGGGAAGGGAGCAGATACATGGTGGAGATGCTGGTCCAGGGGATCATTCACCTCCTGGGTGGGATGGAGCAGGCTGACCTGAGATTTTATCACACTCTTCAGAATAGCACATAATTTACAACTTACAAATTGTTTAAAAAACATTTTTTAAAAATAATAAAACAAAAAACCCTCATAAACGATTCATTTTTGTCATCTCCCGTTTGATATTTTCAGGCTACAGTTGATACAGGTAACTGAAACTGTATAGAAAGAGATCATGGAAAAGGTGGGTGCTGCTGTAAGACGAATTTTCAAAAAACAAAACTATAATGTGAGAATTTCAGAAAAATAAAACGTGTCATCTGGGTGGGGGATAATTTGGAAATAGAGTTTTGTTCCTACATTTTTATGTCACACTGCCCAGGAAATGGCTTCATATATTTATCCTGAAATATTATCTCTGGAACACTGTCATGACTAAGCTTTAGTTGGGAAAGGAAAAACACAACATGAGAATTGACGTGGACAAGACAACCCAGGACCTGCGTTCACATCCATGACTTTCAACAGTTTATCTCACTGGCCTCAATTAACCCTCTGTGAAGTAAAGACCCCATGGTATTTACTTGGACCCCAAGCATCATTGGACCCCATGGTGTCTGAGATTCCTACTAGTTATATAATTATGTGGAGCATCAGCTTTCTCTTTTCTACAAGGAAAATTTAAACTTTATTGTGAAAAAGTCATGTTCCTTTGAGGTGTGATTTCACTTTCATTTTATTATAATCCTTTCCATAGAGAGGAGGTTTATTTTTCACAGTAAATGCTTCCTTTATATGCAATTCAATCTTTTAGAAGCACGGAGAAACTGGGGGGAGCAATCACTGTAATATTTTAAAACAAATATTTAAAATGTTCAGATTGCCCCTGTCTCTTCAAATTACTGTTTTAGCCTACTTCAAAATGTATACTTTGATCGATTGTCAGAAAAATTATACTGTACTGTAGTTACTCAGAATCCCACTCCTTTGTGCACTGTGTCATGTGAGGAGTCGTGGCCACTGAAGCATAGTCAGGAAGCAAATTACTTTCGTCTTTGTTCATCCAAAATGCTTAAATTTGAGCTATGTTTTTCAGTGCAAAAATTCCTGGAAATGAATCAATTCTAGCAGATCTTGTAGAATCATAATTCTGAAAAGTGCTTGAGCAGTTATTTCATTTTGTCAGGGATGGAACAAAGGCATAGGAAGATTAAGAGATGTATTTCAGGTATCCTCGTTAGAGCTAGGACTTGACTTCAAGGCTTGGGACTTGCCGACCATGGCCCTTGTCTGGCTTTATGCCTGGTCAGACCTCAACAACTTCGAGCATATGGAATGTCACTTGTTATTTTCTCTATTAACCATTTTTAGAAAATTTTAAATTATAGTAGGACACCAATTAATACCTGTAGAGGAACTGATAAACTTAAAACATCAATATTTTATAATTATTATAATAATTTAGGCAAGAATCACCAGTGGATGTTAAAATTAACAAGTGGACACTGAATGAGGAATAAGATATTCATGTAACATCAAACTATCTCCCCACAAATTACCTATTAATAAAAGGAAAAATAGTAACCATATAGTGAAGAAACCTGGCAGATAACATTTTTAACCAAGTGATCAAAGTTAACACCATGAATAATGTGACTTTTATGATGTCCTTGACAAAAAATGCTTAACTTGAATCTAGTCATGAGGAAACATCGGATAAATCCAAAGTTGGGAACATTCTACAAAATTGATCTATTTAAAAATACCAGTGTCTTGAAAGACAAAGAGAGGCTATAACTGTTTCATATTAAAAGAGGCTATAGAGAAATGACAGTGTAGCTCTCAGGTTCTCAATTATATCCTATATAGAAAAAGATTATGAAAGACAATACTGGGAAATCCGGTGAATCTTGAAGATGGACTGATAATAGCATTATCAATATTAAATTTTATTTTGATAACTGTAGTTATATAAAAAGCATGTTCTTAGAAAATAATTTGTGTAGGGAGGGTGTAGAGAGAGAGGTAGCATGCATTGTGTCAAAATATTAATTGTTGAACCATGGTACATAGAAGCTATTCATGCCATTCTTGCAAATTTACATTTAAAATTTTCTCAGAATAAACAAAAATTAACCAAAGCTCTCAAATTGCAATAGCAATGTGATTTTTTTGTAACAAATGAAATTCTCCAAAAATGTATAAAAAGAACATTTTTAAATTCTCTCTAATCACCTTCCTCTATTCTTTTCCTGATAGTAAATATAAGCAGAAAAGTTACATCCTTCCACATCTTATGACATGCTCATCCAAATATATGCATAGATGTTCGTATGAATGCATACGTATTTTTGTTGTCACAAATAATTGTTTGCATGTTACTCTGTAATGTGAATCAATATATAAAAAATGTCTGTCTTGCTTAATACATACAAAAATAGCTTCTTGGCCTCACTAGTTGCTTAATATCTCAGAGTATGTGATCCACTCATTATCCAACCATTTCTTTAGCTGTTTGAAATTTGCTAACCATTTTCCACTCCCACAATGCTGCGGTAAATATTGTTGTGTTTATATGTGTGTACATATATAAATTTAAATTACATATATGTATTGTGTATATACATATATACACACACACACCTAGACCTAGTACTTCTTTAATTAAAATAACAGAGACTTCCAAATAATCAGGATGAGTAAAAATGTATACTTCCATGAATGTTACCATATTATTCTCCAAATTTTAAGAGTTCACAATTTCCATTTAAAATATATGAAAGTTTGAATTTCTTGTACCCTAAAAACACTGGAAATTTTCACAAATTTTCTGCCCATGTACTACTTTATAACAATGAATATTGTATCTGCCTTTTTGTTTGTTTTCCTGATTTCATATATTTCTAAATATGCTTGGTGTTTGCATATATTTAATTTTTAAAACAAGAAAAAAAAACAGCAGAAAAAAGATAAACAATATGACAGTTGATAATAACACTGAAATAATTATTGAATATGTATCTTTAATGTTTATTAATATGAAAATATATTTCCTGTGAAGGATTTATTTCTTCCACTATTGCAAGACTGCCAGCTTCATTAAAGAAATAAATTTTTATCTTTGCTTCTTCTTTTGTTTTTTTATTCTCTATAACTGAACTTCCTTTCTTCACAAGTCAACCCATCTCAGTTACATAGAAACCTGTGCACTCAAACTTTGTGGTTCTTCCTGGCATATTGAGATTAGCTTGGACTGACCTCAGGAACTCAATTCTGGCTGCTGCTCATAGTGAACCTCTAGGGTTTTACTTACATCAACCTTGGCTAAACTTGACTCTTTAGGGCTTAGTTCACAGAGTCTCAAGCTTTGGTCTCCAGAAAAACAAGCAGAGAAGTGTTTGTTTTTGTTTTTGTTGACTGTTTTTCAATACCACACGTAGAACCTACTTTCTAAACTACTGAAACAAAGGCTTTAGGGGTAGAACTTAGTCATATAACTTTTGAAAATATTATGAGATTCATAACTGCTTTGATATTTGTGTGACCATACTCATTAATTATAAATGCTCTGTGCTGTCTTACGTTTTACATTTACAACTATTATATAACTTATTCACTCATGAACACATTTTTATGGATCGTCTATTAAAGACTAAAGGGAGCCTTTGTCTTTCAACTTTCACACAAGAATGCTTCTCAAGCTCTTTGTGGTGGAAGACAAGTTTTTGTTCCTAATCTTTTAAGTTTCCAGTTAATCACTGGCCTATACATGCTGTTTACATTCCATATCATTCAGCACATAAGTTCAACCGCACCTGAGCGGGTCTATAACAAGGAGCCTCATTTGAATGTTGCTGCAATGTGCTTTTCAAGGGTCACTATCAATTTCTGACCTTGTCTCCTTGTTGACGCTTGAAACTTCGAGGGTCAGTACTAAGGGCCACACACCACACTGGGAGTCCCACACCATGAAGAATGATTGAACTGAAAGATTTGCTAATCTAAACCCCTCTGTTTACTTCGAAACATTTGGCTGCTTTAATCTCCTCCTTGTCATTACCTTCCACCCATTTTTCTATCCTTATTCAATTTCCCCTAATATAGAATTAAACAATTATACTGAAAATAAAAAATTGATAGGATAATACAGAAAATGTGAGTGGAAAACAACAATAGCAACTACCCAACCCAGAAAATTATATTCTTCTACCAATTCCTCTCTGATTACTAAAAAATAAAAAATATTAATAGCGTTTATTGTTCTCCAGCTAGACATATACATGAAACCCCATTCACAAGCTAGAAATATTCAACAATTAACACATATAATAGATGTGTTAGGACTACAGGAGCCAGTGATAATTGAAAGGGATTCATATCTGCCAAGTTTTACATCTAACTTGTAGAGTTTTTTTTTTTTTTTTATTTTTTAAATAGAAGCTGATTCTCTCAGTAAGACATTTGTATGACAAAGACACTCAAGGGGAGAACAGAGAATGTAGAATGTAAAAGCATTATAGCACATTAGCCTTTCTCTATGATGTTTATAATACCTACCTGCACAAAAATACCTAGCTTACATTCTATTAGTAGTAGTATAGGAATTATTATTTTTTCCTTTTTTATTTAAAATCTTATATAAACCCTTGCATATTTCCTAGTTTATTGACGATTCCTGGTACATGCTGAGTGACTGACTGAATATTTACATTAGACAATAAATATCTACTAACTTTGTAGAATATACCCATTGTTGCCTATGCAAAACCTTTCCCCTATTTCTCATTACCCAAACCCTAATTGTGCTGAGATATTTTTCTCTTAGAGAAATTTAAATCACAGGTGGGTATCCTTTGTTAATGCTGGATGGTGGGTATATGACGTAGTTTTGGCTTATGAAATGTGATAGAAAAAAGGGGGTTTTAGAGGGTTTCTAAGAAAGGATTACTCACTTTTAAAGAAGGGACACCTTGGCAAAAACAGATTTTTTTCACTTAATATTTTCAAATTTGCAAATAATGCCTATAAATACAACTGTGATTTCTCATGAAGAAATCCAACATATGAAGTATGGCAGAACAAAACCGTGGCAAAGCTAGGTTTTTGATTACCTCATTTTACCAGTTAAACAATTCCAGAGCTGTTTTATTCCTGGACTTTATAGGAGTGAATTAGTTATGTCCTATTGCTTAGTTAGGTTGCAACTAAAATCATCCATGCTCATCACTACTTTAGGCATCGTGAAAAATATTTGAAATAGATACCACCTGGAACTTCTGAAATTTGCATTCTGGTGCTACTTCTCCGTGTCTTCAGTCCTAGTTATAATTCATATTTCTTGATATTACTTCTCAATATCAAATTAGGATTTAGCAGTGATTAGCAATAATGTTGGTTATATAAAAATGGATTATATTTTCAAACGAAGTTTAAACAGGGTTACTCTTCCATAAGTCTGTAGTTTGGTCAGAAATTTTAAGGATTATGTGAGATAAATTTCTTTATAGTTTCATTAAACAGTTTATTGCCCAGAGGGAGAAACCCAGCAACAGGGTTTGGCTTTTGTTTCTGATGAGTGTTCACTATGTAATGTGGTGAAAGTTTGCATCTATGCATAACTCTCTTTGGATCTTAATGGATTCTGAAAACAGTTATTAGGAAAGCACATCCAAAATTACTGCTGAAAGTCCCTTAGAAATGCCCAGTGCTACGAGGGTTAAGCTGAACTTTGAAAGGCATTTACTTATAATGTTCTACGAAGGCATGCATTAAAATAAATAAAATTGACCTATTATGCAATCAACATTAATCAAATGTAAGAGGTTACAAAGGGAATAATTTACGGCACATATTGGGAAATAATTTGAGATTTTTAAATCTTCAAGCTCATGCTTGGAAAGATAAGTTTCAAAAGTTTAGCAGTTTTAATACTGTTCCTTTTATTTGGACATATATAGAGGGTAGGTGTCCAATCCTGCATACCATCTAACGGCAAATTTGTAGTGTTTGGAGTACATATCTACAAATATTTCAGAAGATCACAACTGAGAATTCTACCAGTAATTATAAAGTGTAAAATGTCAGAGTAGGTAAGAAAGTTGACACTGTAAGTTGTTTCTTAAAGAAAGCATACCTTTCTTAAAAATCTGAAACACTAAAATCCATTAAACTGATATGGTATAAAATACATTTCTTAATAAGATTCCTCCCAGTTAATTAGAATCACGAATATTGCTAGGTGATATAGTACCCCAGGTCTCAAAAGTCTTAGAAAATATGATATTTCAGATAAGATCCCTAAGCATAATTATATTATGGTCTTTAATTAAACAGAGATATGCTTTGACAC
Source organism: Homo sapiens (assembly GCF_000001405.40). NCBI lineage: Eukaryota > Metazoa > Chordata > Mammalia > Primates > Hominidae > Homo > Homo sapiens. Next base: position 116,251,103 of record NC_000002.12, read on the forward strand.
ATATTCAGTTGCAAAATGAAAGAGACAAACTGGAATTCACAATCATTGTGTACGTTTTGTTAAATATAGGTGAAAACTAATATGTGGAGGTGTGTGAGCATTCATTTGTCTCCCGTAAGCTCCTCTATAGATTATATTCAAAGCAACTGTCAGACCAAACTCTACTAAGCATGCAGATACTTAAAACCAGCAAAAACCAGTGTAGCCATCCCTTTTATAAGTTTAGCAACATTCAGGCTCATCCAAGTCTGTTGGGAACAGGCACCCCCAAAATCTGGCCATAAACTGGCCCCAAAACTGGCCATAAACAAAATCTCTGCAGCACTATGACATGTTCATGATGGCCACAATGCCCATGCTGGCAGTTTGTGGGTTTACCGGAATGACGGCAAGGAACACCTGGACCACCCAGGGTGGAAAACCACTTAAAGGCATTCTTAAACCACAAACAATAGCGTGAGCGATCTGTGCCTTAAGGACATGCTCCTGCTGCAGATAACTAGCCAGACCCACCCCTTTATTTTGGCCCATTCCTTTGTTTCCCATAAGGGATACTTTTAGTTAATCTAATATCTATAGAAACAATGCGAATCACTGGCTTGCTGTTGATAAATACGTGGGTAAATCTCTGTTTGAGGCTCTCAGCTCTGAAGGTTGTGAGACCCCTGATTTCCCACTTCACACCTCTATATTTCTGTGTGTGTGTCTTTAATTCCTCTAGCGCCACTGGGTTAGGGTCTCCCCAACTGAGCTGATCTTGGCAAGCGGCGCCCATATGTGGGGGCTCGAATCCAGGTCGAAGGGTTGCTGGAGCAACAGTTGGAGAGGGTGGAACTAGCTGGAGGACACCCGAGTACTCTTATAGCAATTCCCGTGGTGAGTAAGAAGGGGAGCTCAGAAGCATCAGGGTAACAGTGGGACAAGTGTGGGGTGTGGTTCTTCCACCTTGGAACTTTTTCACACTGATGATTAGGAGAAAGGAATGCATAATGAAGTAACAGAAGAGGTTACAGAGCAGATTTATTTGCCAGCTAAAGCTAAAGTGGAAAGGAGGGCGAGGTTCATCCCTACCCTTCTGCACCCCCTCATTATTATTTTGAAGAAAAAGACCCGCCAGATCTTTCTTTTCCAGAGGACACTGGGCGAAAAATAGTTGCCCCATTGACTGTTCGAGCAGTGCCTTCAGTGACCACCCTCATTTCTTTTCAGGCAGGAATTCAGCAAGCTAGATAAGAGGGTGATTTAGAGGCTTGGCAGTTCCCTGTTAGAATACACCCCCCAGATCAACAGAAAAATATTATATCTACATTTGAGCCTTTTCCTTTAAATTACTCAAAGAATTTAAACAAGCTATTCATACTAAAAAAGAATGTAGAAATAATCAACGAGTCAGGCCACCAGACAGGGGAAAAAAGAAAACTGCTGAGCCTGAAATATCTCCAAAATGTAAAAAAGGAAGACATTGGGCTAATCAGTGTCACTCTAAGTTTGATAAAGATGGGAACCCAATTTCGGGAAATGCCACGAGGGGCCCGTCCTGGGCCCCATTTTAAACCAGGGCATTTCCAGCTCAGCTCATTCCCTCACCCCTGTACAATATCTGTCCCTGCCATAGCCAGTAGTGCCACAGTAGATTTATGCTGCACAAAAGCTCTGAGTCTTCTGTCTGGGGAACCCCCGCAAAAGGTCCCAACAGGAGTCTGTGGACCCTTGCCAGCGGGGACAATAGGATTACTTTTAGGAAGCTCTAGTTTAAGTTTAAAAGGGGTACAAATACATACAGGAGTCATTGATTCAGATTACAATGGGGCAATTCAAATTGTTATATCTACTTCTGTTCCCTGGAAAGCAGAGCCAGGAGAGTGCATAGCACAGCTCCCGATTGTGCCATATGTGGGAATAGGAAAAAGTGAAATTAAATGAACAGGAGGATTTGGAAGCACAAATAAACATGGCAAAGCAGCTTATTGGATACATCAAATTATTGATAAACATCCTACCTGTGAAATAACTATTCAGGGAAAGAAATTTAAAGATTTGGTAGATACAGGAGAAGACATTTCAATCATTTCTCTACAGCACTGGCTGTCCACATGGCCAATTCAACCTGCTCAATTTAACACAGTTGGAGTTGGTAAAGCCCCTGAAGTATATCAAAGTAGTTATATTTTGCATTTTGAGGGGCCCGATGGACAACCTGGGACTATTCAATCAATTATAACTTTTGTACCTATAAATTTATGGGGAAGAGATTTATTACAACAATGGGGAGCACAAGTTCTAATTCCAGAACAATTATATAGCCCTCAAAGTGAACACATACTGCATGAAATGGCGAATGTCCCTGGTATGGGAGTAGAAAAAAATTTGCAAGGTTTGAAAGAACCACTTCAAGCGGAAAGACAAAGTTCCCGCCAAAGACTAGGATATCATTTTTGATGGTGGCCATTGTTAAGCCTCCAGAACCTATACCTTTAAAATGGTTAACAGATAAGCCAATTTGTATAGAACAGTGGCCACTAAATAAAGAGAAACTGGAGGTGTTAGAGGAATTAGTTACTGAACAATTAGAAAATGGGCACATAGCTCCAACATTTTCCCCTTGGAATTCTCCAGTTTTCGTAATTAAGAAAAAATCAGGTAAATGGAGAATGTTAACTGACTTAAGAGCCATCAATTCAGTTATACAACCTATGGAAGAATTACAGCCAGGATTGCCTTCTCCTGCTATAATTCCAAAAAATTAGCCTTTAATAGTCATAGATTTAAAAGACTTTCTTTACTAACCCTTTAGCTGAGCAAGACTGTAAATGGTTTGCATTTACAATTCCTGCAGTAAACAACCTTCAGCCTGCTAAGCATTTTCATTGTTTTACAGATGGTTCTAGTAATGGTAAAGCTTCTTATTCTGGATCAAAAGGTAAAGTTTTCCAGACGCCCTATACTTCAGCTCAAAAAGCGGAGCTTGTAGCTGTAACTGAGGTATTGACTGCTTTTTATGTGCCTATTAATGTGATTTCTGATTCTTCATATGTGGTTCATTCCACACAGTTAATTGAAAATGCTCAGTTATGATTTCATATAGAAAAACAACTGATGACAAAAATGAAAAAGGGGGGAGAAACAGGGATTATGGGACAGCCCATACACAATTAAATCTAGCATTATTAACTTTAAATTTTTTGAGCCTGCCAAAAGGCCAGATGTTATCAGCAGCTGAACAGCATCTACAGAAACCAGCTGCAAAGACAGAAGCAGAACAATTGATTTGGTGGAGAGATCCAATAACAAAAAGTTGGGAAATAGGTAAAATAATAACTTGGGGTAGAGGTTATGCTTGTGTTTCTCCAGGCCAAAATCAACAGCTGATTTGGATACCATCAAGACACCTGAAACCTTATTATGAGCCAGACGCTGAGGAAGAGATTCCAGGAGGATCCTGAGGACCCGCTGGTTGCAGCCATGTCAAGGCTGACACTGAGGAGGACCCCCAACTGTCACAAGCAACACCCGTCAAACACAGCCACCCACCTGGGGAGAGATCAAGAAGCTGTCACAGATGGCGGAAGAAAACCTGATGAAAGCGAGACAGCCAGTCACAATGAATAATTTAATGGTAGCTATGATAGCAGTGATCACCATTGCCATGAGTATTCCTTCAATAAGGGCTGACACATGGAACAATTATACTTATTAGGCATATTTTCAATCTTGGCTGGCAATAATGCCTAGATGTAATCACTCTATGATGCAGTTACATATGCTTTCTGATCTCAGTATTTACCATAATAAATCTGCTCCTATAATTGAGGCATACCACCCTCAAAAACCTATTTGTAAACAAAATTAAACCTGGCCAGAAAATATGAATGTACTTATTTAGGAAGATTGCATTGCAGAACAGGTAGAGGTGCTGCACAATGATTCCTATGGAATCATTATTAATTGGTCCCCTAAGGGGATGTTTAGCTTGAATTGTACCTCTCAGTATGCATGCCACGGCCACACTATGTTCAGCTGATGTGAACAAAATGGTCAGATGGTAGAAATGATAAGAAGTACAGCAAGAGTTCCTATTATCTGGAACCATGGCGGTATAGTGGTACCTCAACCTCAAATGATATAGCCCGCTGTAGGAGCTAAACATTAAGGATTTGTGGAAACTATTAATAGCTCTTAATAAGATAAAAATTTTGGAAGAATAAAAAAGCATCTGGAAGGACAATCTACAAACTTGTCTTTGGATATTGCAAAATTAAAAGAACAAATATTTAAAGCATCCCAGGCACACTTGACCTTAATGCCAGGAACTGGAGTGCTTAAAGGAGCAGCAGACAGATTAGCAGCTAGTAATCCATTAAAATGGATAAAAACACTTGGAAACTCTGTGATGTCAATGGTTATTGTGCTTTTAATCTGTGTTGTCTTTGTATAGTCTGCAGATGTGGATCCTGACTCCTGTGAGAAGTAGCTCACTGTGACAAAGCTGCCTTTGCTTTTATCAATTTGCAAATCAAAGAAGGGGGACATGTTGGGAACAGGCCCCCCCAAAATCTGGCCATAAACTGGCCCCAAAACTGGCCATAAACAAAATCTCTGCAGCACTGTGACATGTTCATGATGGCCATAACGCCCACACTGGGAGTTTGTGGGTTTACCGGAATGAGAGCAAGAACAACTGGCCCACCCAGGGTGGAAAACCACTTAAAGGTGTTCTTAAACCACAAACAATAGAGTGAGCTATCTGTGCCTTAAGTTATCTGCTGCAGATAACTAGCCAGACCCACCCCTTTATTTTGGTCCATCCCTTTGTTTCCCATAAGGGATACTTTTAGTTAGTCTAATAGGTATAGAAACAATGCTAATCACTGGCTTGCTGTTAATTAGTACGTGGGTAAATCTCTGTTTGAGGCTCTCAGCTCTGAAGGCTGTGAGACCCCTGATTTCCCACTTCACACCTCTATATTTCTGTGTGTGTGTCTTTAATTCCTCTAGTGCCACTGGGTTAGGGTCTTCCCAACCAAGCTGGTCTCGGCACAAGTCACTCTTCATAGATAATTGACCTGAGGCAAATGTGACAGTTTTTTAATGGCAGGACTGAGCTCACCGTTAGTCAGACTGAGACAACTAAGAAATTCTTCAAATGAGTGGCTCAGCACAGGCCTGTTGATCAATCAAGCTAAGCAGTCAATGTTGAAGAAGCTACAGGACTCACGTTTTGTTCATTCAAAGGGAGTATCCAGGAATTCTTTTGAGCTAATCACTATATCTTGTATGCAAAAAATTGCACCAATTGGGAACCAAATTCTAACAATTTTAACCTATTTCATAAGGCCTTTCCTTCTCCAATTAAAACGATTATCTAATCTTTACTATGTTAATTAGAAAGCCTTCTGGTATTGATATAAGAATATTAGAAAGGTGTCCAAAACATGGTCTGAAACCTGTTCTAGGCTAGGACTGACAACTTTATTCTGAAAAGAAATCGGCATTCCTGATGAAATGCTTAAGTAATTTATTGATGAATTTTATTGGGAATAAGATTTGTTCTGAGAATAATGGGAAAAAAAAGTTTATACGCACACCCAGCTGGCTGTTAGTGAACTCTAGTGACTGTAATCAGGCTTTTGTTTTCCTCTTTATACTATTTATTACATTTCCTATAAAGATCTCCTAATCAGAATGAGTCTTTCACATAGTCTAGTAGAGGCCTTTCACTTTCCAAGTAATATTGTAATAAAAATTTAATGTATGCGTACCAGTCTGTTTTCATGGTGCAATAAAGAAATACCAGAGATTGGAAATTTAAAGGAAAGAAGTTTAATTGACTCACAGTTCAGCATTGCTGAGAAGGCCTGAAGAAACTTACCATCATGGCAGAAGGTGAAGGGGAGCAAGGCACTTTTTTCAAAAGATGGCAAGAGAGAGAAATGCAGAGTAAAGAGGAAAAAAATCCCTTGTAAAACCATCAGATCTAATGAAAACTCACTCACTATCATAAGAACAGCATGGGGAACTGCCACCATGATCTACTCCCCTCCCAGGAGGCCCCTCCCCTAACACATGGGGATTACAATTCAGATAACAAAGATGAGATTTGGTGGGGACACAGAGCCAGACCATATCATTGTGCCCCTGGTTCCTTTCAAATCTAATCTTTCTCACATTTCAAAATACAATTGTACCTTCCCAACAGTTCCCCAAATTTAATTAATTTCAACATTAACAAAAAGTCCAAGTCCATAGTATTATCTGAGACAAGGCAAGACCCTTCCACCTATGAGCCCATTAAAGGCAAGTTAGTTACTTCCAAGATATAATGGGGGTGCAGGAATTGGATAAATGTACCAATCTCAAATGGGATAAATTGGCCAAAACAAAGAGGCTACAGGCCCATGCAAGTTCATAATCCAATAGAGCAGTCATTAAACCTTAAAATTCCAAAATGATCTCCTTTTACTCCATGTCTCAGATCCAGGTCGTGCTGATGTAAGAGGTGGGTTCCCATGGCCTTGGGCAGCTCTGTCTCTGTGGCTTTGCATGATATAGCCCCCCCTCCTGGCTGCTTCCATGGGCTGGCATTGAATGCCTACAGCTTTTCCATGTTCACAATGCAAGCTCTCAGTGGATGTACTATTTTGCAGTCTAGAGGATGGTGGCCCTCTTCTCACAACTGCACTAGACAGTGCAGAAGCAGGGACTCTGTGCTGGGGTTCCTTCCCTTCCACACTATTCTAGCAGAGGTTCTCCTTGAGAGCTCCACCCCTGCAGCAGACTTCTGCCTGGACATCCAGGCATTTCCATATATCATCTGAAATCTAGGCCCAGGTTTCCAAACCCCAATCCTTGTCTTCTGTACACCCACAGGACTGACACCATGAGGAAGCTGCCAAGGCTTGCACCCTCTGAAGCCATGGCCTGAGCTGTATCTTGGCCCCTCTTAGCCATAACTGAAGTGGGACATATGACATGAAGTCCCAGGCTGAACACAGCAGGGAGGTCCTGGACCCGGCCCATGAAACATTTTTTCCCCCCTAGGCCTCTGGGCCTATGATCTGAGGGGCTGCCACAAAGCTCTTTGACATGCCTTGGAGATATTTTCCCCATTGTCTTGGTGATTAATATTCGATGCTTTTTTATTTATGCAAATTTCTGAAGCTGGCTTGAACTTCTCCCCAGAAAATGGGTTTTTCTTTTCTACTGCATTATCAGGCTGGAAGTTTTTCAAACTTTTGTGCTCTGTCACCTCTTGGATGTTTTGCTGCTTAGAAATTTCTTCTGCCAGATACCCTAAATCACCTCTCTCAAGTTCAACATTCCACAGACCTCTAGGGTAGAGGCAAAATGTTGCCAGTCTTTTTGCTAAAGCATAGCAAGAAATAGCTTTATTCCAGTTCCCAACAAGTTTATCACCTGCATCTAAGACCACCTCAGCCTGGACTTCATTTGACTCCATGACTCTCACATCCATATCACTATCAGCATTTTTGTTGAAGCCATTCAAGAAGTCTCTAGGAAGTTCTAATTTTTTCCACATCTTCCTGTCTTCTTCTGAGTCCTTGAAACTGTCCCAACCTCTGCCCATTACCCAGTTTCAAAGTCATTTCACATTCTCAGGTACCTTATAGCAATGACCCACTAGCTTGGTGCCAAATTAATGCATTAGTCTGTTCTCACATTGCCATAAAAAATATACCTGAGACTGGGTAATTTATAAAGGAAAGAGGTTTAATTGACTCACAGCTTAGCATGGTTGGGAAGGCCTCAGGAAACTTACATCATGGCAGAAAGTGAAAGGGAAGCAAGGCCCCATCTTCACAAAGCAGGAGAGGAGAGAAGTGCAGAAAGAAGTGGGGAAAACCCCTTATGAAACCATCAGATCTCATGAGAACTATCATGAGAACAGCATGGAGAATGGCCACCATGACCTAATCACCTCCCACGAGGTTCCTCCCCCTATACATGGTGATGACAATTCAGATTACAATTCAAGATGAGATTTGGGTGGGGACACAGAGCCAGCCATATCATTCCACCTGAGGGCCCTCCCAAATCCCATTTTTCTCACATTCCAAAGCACTATTATGCCTTCCCTACAGTTTCCCAAAGTCTTAACTCCTTTGAGGACTAATCCAAAAGTCCAAGTCCATATTTTCACCTGAAACAAGGTAAGTCCCTTCTCCCTATAAGCCTGTAAAATCAAATGCAAATTAGTTACTTCCAAGATGTAATGGTGGTACAAGCATTAGATAAATGCACTCATTCCAAATGGGAGAAATTGGCTAAAACAAAGATGCTACAAGCCCCATGCAACTTCTTAATCCAATATGGCAGTCATTAAACCTTAAAGTTTCAAAATGATCTCCTTTGACTCCATTTCTCACACCCAGATCACATTAATGCAAGAGGTGGGCTCCCACAACCTTGGGCAGCATGTTCATGAATAAATTGAGATGCTTTCTTTGCCAGAGATAATGATGGCTGAACTACTTATTGTAGCTGCCCTTAGAGTGTGATCTTTTTATTAAAATACTACCTTTGGAGTACAAATTACTGATTAGAACAACTAACTGTCTGGAGCATATTGTTTAATCTAGCTAAAAAAAACAAAAACAAACAAAAAAAAAACCCAGAGTATTTCAATGTCTATGTTAGAACACTTAAATTATATAGACTTTTGCTTATAGAAAGATGAAGCAGACATAGTTTTTCCATACTTCTAGGTAACTACAACTAGAAATCCTGGACATTGTATATAAAACCAATATATAAGAATTCTGAGATGGAGAGGAAAGATAAAGACTGCCTAGGGATCTCAGAACCCAAGGAACAACAGTGGTGAGTTTGCTGGGTTTTCTCTTTGCCTCCCACATGACCCAGATTTGGTGCCACATAAGCAAATAACCTGAAAACACCTTTGGGCACACGTGTGCACATGTACACATGCACACGAACAAATACACAACCCCTGTTCTCTCTAGCCAAAAGACCAGGAAGGGAGTAGCCTAGGAGGGCATAAAAAACTTAGAAATAATGGCCCTAAGCCAGCTAAACACTGCAAGGAAAAAAAAAAAAAAAAAAAAAAAAAAAAAAAAAAAAAAAAAAAACCAGTGGTCCCACTGCTACCCCAACAGCAAATGCTGATCAGAGAGACTAAATTTCCACCCTCATTCTAGGGAGACCCCCTGAAACTATTGCTATGGAATAAAAGATGAAATGCTCCTGATTATTGTAAATACAAAATTGCATGCAGGATTGTGTAAAGATAATGCCAGGTTGGGCTGCCATAATGAGCCAACAGCACGTAATGTGCTTCCCCCTGCAGAGAGCCTATGAATGGACGTGCAGTCAGGGATGTTTCACATCACCAAGATTCCTATCCCAGAAAAGCAGATGTTCATAGCTCTGGGAATGGAATGTGACACTTGTGGAGAGCCTATAAACGGACGCATGAGGGGTGCCTGTTCATATGGATAAGATAGGGTTATAAACGCCCTTATCTTGCCACAGCTTTTCTAGGTCTCTTTAGTGTTAAGGCATACTCCTTTCTGAGAATTTTTGGTCTAACCAGTTGTCTAGCTTCACGTCCTGTTTCTATTGATTGTTTGTAACCAGCTTTTGCTGCAATGGTTACTGCTGATTAATATCTGGCTAATCATAGGTTATAGACTGTGTTTCTGTTTTAAGGCTGTTAGAAATTGCTGACACACACACTGTATTGTAAATTCTTATCTCTGTATACTGTACTTCTGCATACCGATGTTATGTTAAAGAATTACTTCATTCCCATGTGACCATCTCACCTCATAATCAAACGACCCTAAATCCCTCACTAACCTACCCCCACCCTTACTAAACTTAATAATAAATACTGGTATATCCAGTGCATTGGCAGCATCGCAGGACCAGAAGGCAGTGACCCCCGTGGACCCAGCTTTCACTATCTTGTGTGTGTCTTTTATTTCTCAACCTGGCAATCTGCCTGGGAACAAAGAAAGAGCCCCGTTGCATTGTGGCCTGCTGGCCAGATCCTGCGATACCTCACGAGAGTGTAAAAAGGCACCCCAAAAACCTGTTGTCATGGTGTATCAGTGAAAACTGTGTGGGGAGCATGGACTTTCATTCCTGCTGAGCAGTAGTGAGGCCACACTCTGCTATGTCATCAGAGACCACATGAGGAACCTGCGTTTCCACTCCCACCAGGCAGTAACATAGGTGCCTCTTTCTCTTCCTGTGGCAGTGATGTAAGAAGAGACCGAATTGAAAGGTCAGACTTTCACCTCAGTTTAACAGTGATGAGGTCTCTAACTTATATAGTTTGGCTCTGTGTCCCCACCCAAATCTCATCTTGTAGTTCCCATAATTCCCACATGTTGTGGGATTGACCTGGTGGGAGGTGACAGAACCATAGAGGAGTGTCTTTCCTATGCTGTTCTCATGATAGTGAAAGGATATCATGAGATATGATGGTTTTGAAGGCAGGAGTTTCTCTGCACAAGCTCTCTCTTTGCCTGCTGCCATCCGTGTAAGATGTGACTTGCTCCTCCTTGCCTTCAGCCATAATTGTGAGGCCTCGCCAGCCATGTGGAACTGTTAAGTCCAATAAACCTCTTTCTTTTGGAAATGCTCAGTCTTGGGTATGTCTTTATCAGCAGTGTGAAAACAGAATAATACACTCTCATTCCCCTGTGGTGTTAGTGAAGACAACATGGGAGTTAGTAAGAAGGCATGCCTCCTACCCTCCCAGCCAGGGCAGTATCAGTAAGACCTAGTGGGAACCAGCACTCCTACATCCACCTAGCAGAGAAGAGGCACTACAGACCTCAATAATAATAGGGATCAAGCAGGAAACCTGGACTTCTACCCTCATTTGGCAGTAAGAAAGTAGCAGACTTTTTTCCTTTGTCAGATGACAACAGAAAAAAGTCAGGTAAGACAGAAGGTTTGCATGTGATCTGAGTCTCATAGCACTCAAAATGTTCAGGTCTCAATGGAAAAGTATTTGCCACACCAAGAAGCAAGAAGATGTCAAGATGAGTGTAAAAAGATAATCAAAACATGTCAAAACTGAGGTAACAGAGATGTTAGAAATATTTTAAAGTAGCCATCATAACAAATATTCCAAAACACTATAGATATGTCAAAATGGAATTGTGAAGCTTGATTTAGGTAACATACAGGAAGGCAAGCCAATAAACTAAATAGAGAAACAAAAACCAGAGTAAACAAACGCATGCCAAAACAGAATGGTAGACCTAGCCCAAATACATCATTACTTTAAATGTGAACAGTCTAAATAAACCAACTAAAAGACATAAATAGGGAGAATGAACTAAAAAATAAAACTGCACTTAATATTATGTTGCCTAAAACAATCTGACTTCAAACATGAAGAAGGAGGCAGGTTGGAAGTTAAAGGATAGAAAGGACATGCCATGAAAACATTAACCACAAGAAAGCCAGAGAGGATATATTAACACCAGATAAAGAAGACCACAGAACAAACAAAATTATCAGAGAGGGATATATAACAATATCATCAACCTATCAAGAGCATATACATAACCCTATACATGTATGCAACAAACAACAGAGTTGCAAAATATGTGACACAAAAATAGAACTTGAAAGAAATTAGACAAATTGACAATAGTAGCTGGAGATTTCAATACCCTTCTTTCAGCAATTGATAGATTAACTAGACAGAAATTCAGGCAGGACATAAAAGGAGTCAGAAACAACATCAACCAAGAGAACCTAATGAACATCTACAGAATATTCACCAAAAATGGCAAGAAGTCCATCATTTTCAAACATATACCAAAACAAACAAACAAACAAAACTATACCCTGGGCCATAAAACACATCTCAATACATTTAAAGGTTTTCAAATTATATAGAGTGCATTCCCTGACTACAAAGAAATCAAACTAAAAAGCAACAGCAGGGAAATCTCAAAATACTTAAAATTAAACAACACTCCTAAATAATCTTTGGTCAAAGAGAAAAACACAAAGCAAATAAACATATATATAGAAATGAATGAACATAAAAAATACAATATATAAAATTTGTGGAAAGCAATTAAGGTTAGATAAGATTAAAACTCTCATATCAATAGTTTCAGCAACCCCCCTAAGAAACTTGAAAAATAAGTACAAAATAAACCCAAAGCAAGCATGAAGAAGGAAATATCAAAGAGCAGAAATGAATGGAATTGAAAAATAGGAAAATGATAGACTAAAAAATAATGAAATAAAATTATTTCTTTGGAAAGGTCAATAAAATTGACCCAGAAAAATACCCACACAAATACATCTAACAGATTTCTTACAATGGCAAAAAAAAAAAAAAAAAAAAAAATCAATGTAGGAAAGGTAGCTTTTTCAACAAGTGAAGGAAAAATAAAGAACCATAAAACTTTTGGAAAAAAGGAGAAAATCTCAAGGAACTAATGCTAGGCAAAGAGTTCTTAGATTTCATAATCAAAAGTATAATCCTTAGAAAGAAAACTTGTTAAATTTGATTTCATTAAATTAAAACTTTTTCTCTGACCAGGACACTGTTAAGAGAATAAAATACAAGGTACAGATTACAGTGAAATAATGGCAAATAACATATCTGACAAAGAACTAGTGGCTAGAACATAGAAAGAATGAAAAATTCTAATAAAGAAATAATCAGATTAGAAAATGAGCAAAGAGTATAGTGATATTTTCACAAAGAGGCTATACATGTGGCAAATAAGCACATGAAAAGGTGTTCAATATCACTAGCCATTAGTGAAACACAAAATAAAACTATAAGGCCGTATCACTACACATTTATCAGAATGGCTAAAGTAAAAAATTGTGACTACACCAATTCTGGTGAGCATGTGGGCAACTGGATCACACATACATTGTTCGTGGTCATGCAAAATGATATAGCCACTCCGTAAAACACTTTGACAGTTTCTTAAAAGTGTAAACCTGGGATTATGATATCTACTACCAATTGTATTCTGAGGCATTCATTGCAGAGTAGTGAGAATTTGTGTTTCCACAAAACTTGTATATACATGTTTATAACAGCTTTATTTTTAATAGCCAAAAAATAGAAACATTCCAGATGTCCTTCAACAGGTAAATTGCTAAACAAACTATGGCATATCCACACCATGCAATACTACTAGCAAAAAAAGAAATTAATCATTGATAAAGGCAACAACTAGGATAAATCTCCAGAGAATTATGCTGAGTGAATAAAAGGCCAATTCCAAAAGATTGTGTACGATATACTCCCATTTACACAACAACACTTTTGAAATGATGAAATTACTGATATGGAGAACAATTGCCTGGGGTTACTGCATTTCAGTTATAGATGAAATTGAAGTTGCTGTGGCTATCAAAGGGCCACAGGAGGAACTCTTGTGGTGATGGAAATATTCTGCATATAATTGTGTTCTTGTACTATAGTCTTGCAAGCTGTTGCCATTTAAAAAGTTGGTTAATGTTACATAGGATCTTACTGCATTTTTAGCTAACAGCAGTATATAAATCAAAGCCAGTAATATAATTTAAAAGTAACTCTTAGATCATATAATAACACATACCAAATATTAAGGGTCTAAACTATTATACACTCAGATAAACTGCAACTGACTTCAGTTTGAAAACATACTTCAGTCATGAACAGTAATAGTTTTTGTCTTTTGTCTCTGGATTTATTTATAACATTGTCCTATTTGAAACACTGAAGTATACTTACTTTCCTTTTCTTTTTCTTTCTCTGGTTGTTAAGGGCATCACCACAGGTGTCCCTCATGTGGCCCTTTTATAGCCACATCCACTTTGATCTCACATACACCCCTATGTAGTAATCCCAGGCAATTGTTCTTCAGTTCTATAATCTTGTCATGTTCCGAAAATGTTGTGTAAATGGAATTATACAGATCGCAATCATTTGGGATTGATTTTTTACTCACTCAGCATAATTTTCTGGAAGTTAATTACCTCTGGTTAATCTCAGGCACTCAGGATTCCCAATGGTGCCTTCTCTTGGGGTTGTAGTAGGACCTATCTCCTCACTCTGCAAAAGCTGGTCTTAACCAGTCTCATCTATTCTTCACTCATAAAACATTAGATCGCGTCTTAGAAGGTAGCTAGGAGTACGGACATCAAAGCTACTTCATTCTAATGTTTCCAACATACCTGAAGGAAAGGGACAAAGCCATCGTTGTTTATTTGCACAGAGTTCATTGTTTAGAGTTCAGTTTGTCACAGATAAGAATGCTAAATACCTATCTATTCAAGTAGAGACTACATAGTTACCTGAAAATTCACAAAGTAAAATAATTTCATTAACACTTTAAATATTTGCTAATAGAAGGGTCACAACATACATTAAAATGTATATTTCCTTTATTACTGCATAGCAAAATAGTTTTAAGACCAAAAACCTAGTGACTTACCTAACACTGTCTTGTCTACTTTCATGGTTCTGAACACTGATAGGCTCAGCCTGCTAGGGTTGTTGGTTGAATAAATGAACAACCTCAAGTCAACCAAATACATTCTCTTTTGAATACTTTCCCTTCATTGACTTTAGTGGCCAGCATTTGGTATTTGTTGAGTGAATTCAGGCATGTATCTGAGGATAAATGGCTGTTGAAGTAGAAAAATCTTTCTACTGTAGACCATCTCTGTGGTAGTCACAGTCCGTAAGTAAACTAGTGATATAAACGGAGAAGCTGACTATTCCTTTAAAGAGAAGTCCATGCGTTTTTCCTAACATTAAATGTTTCTGTTCTATCATTAAATTGCATTGGCTGTACCACCCAAAGAGAAAAACATGAATTTCATTATACTGTCTTTGTGTATATCTGTTAGTAAATACTTATTTACTTAGGAATCACTCACTAAAGCTGATGCACAATCTTTATTGGGGGTGAAAAAATACTTAAACCACTTAAAAGACTCCTGTTCTCATAAATCTCTGTCAAACACATCCTTGCTGATTGAAATTAGAAAGAAAAAAAAAGCAGTCAAAAAATAAGGTTACTTCTCTAAATTTAAGTAATAGTTGTCTTCCACAAAATAGTGCAAAAATTGCCGGTTATTTTTATTCATTTTCCTGTAGAACATTAATCTTTTTATGTCCAACATCAAATCTGTTGAAAAATTACTACAAAAGTCACAAATTCTGGTAAAAATATACCTATATACCTATGAAAATGTTAAAAAAAAACCATCATATGGCAATAGAAATACTGTCTGAGTTTCAAGAGCACAGGCAGAAATTCTCCAATTATCTTCATCTTCACATGAAACATTTTGGTAATTTCAAATTAGAATTTAAACGTGAAAGACATTGCTTCCTCCAGGTTTTCTAAACCAATTAGTATGTGAAATTTAAATCTTTCTTCACTTTCTAATCTTTGAAAATCTAATCAGGCAAATGTTTTTGTCCCAACATTATATTATCACATCAAAGATATCTCACTGCCAGTTTTTCTACTATTCTAAGTTCAGTGACTTTTATATTAAACTTAAGCTAAATGTTACTTGCATGAGTGATTTTTACTTTCTAATATCCTTTATGTATACTCAAGATCTACTTTGTAATGTGAAATAAAATATGAGGTACCATTATCTGAAATAATATTCAAATATATTAATTGCAAATTGATTTATTCAAAGTTTAAAATACACTATTGCTTTGCTGACTTCAGAATTCTCAGGAGAAGGCACTTGTTTCTTCAACATACCTCTTGAAAAGATTTATATTAATGTTAGAAAATGAAAATAAATGATTTAGCAAAGAGTATACTTTCATTTGTAGAAAATAAAATGGGAAATGATTTCAAAGTATAAACTTTCAGCTACTAATTTATAGAAAAGATATATCTCAGCACATAACAGAAATTCTATAGAAATTATCTATTTACATGTAAAAAATGGAAAAATGCGATTTAAATTTCTTTTTTGTTCTATGTAAAAACAGTACAAATGTAAGTACAAATTCATAAATCATTGTAAGAAGTGTAAAGAATGACTTCTGATAAATTAAGCACTAATGACATTTGAAATGTCAGTACAGTTTGTCTCTCTATTGAGAGAAACAATTTTCCATTATTCCTCTTTAAAGCGATTAGACCTAATAACAACTAAAGTCCATCTATTCTGGACTTTAAGAGAAGTAAAACACATGTACTTATGATTTAGGGTCTTTATGGTTCTACATTATCAAAGTTCTTAATGACAGTGTAGAACCATAAATATCACAATATCACAACTCATTGTGGCATACAGATTACAATATATTTGTGAATAATCATGTGTATTTTAGAAGCTGACTCTTACATTAATGGTCTATAGTAATTTGCTTTTAAAATTCATTATAAAGATGTCTTCATTTGATGAGTAGATTCAATTGCTGAAAGTACCTTACCTTTTCAGAAAACTTGTGTTTCTCTTTTTAAGGCTTACACAATTTATTCATGTGGTCCTTTTGACAATTTGCCCCTGTCCTAATTGATGAACATTTTGTCAATTTTTATTTTGTATATTCTTTTAATTGGCATTATATCTCTCTTCTCTGACCTTCATTTGAGTATCTTCCAACACTGCTTGTCAAGACTGTCTTTCATGATAGGACAGGATTCTTGTACTGGCATCTGTATTCTCCTTAAAGTAGTGGATACATACCATTTTGAGTCCGGACCTTTTTTCACATTATCCAAGGGGAGAGTAACCTGAAAGTGGTTAAGAACCACTGCTATGGGTGATAATGAGGTAGGAGAATAGGGTCTGGAGGAAGGGAACCTAAGGCCCATATGCTGACTTTCTGGAACTGAATCAAAAGGAAATCCCCACCTCTCCACAACCAAGTAACAAAAGGATCAGAAGTAACTCCCTTTGCACTGCGTTGCAGATGAAAAATGAAAAGTATCTCTGATTGGTCCCCTCCCACAACCAATCAGACTGATCATGGGCCAAGTCTTCACCTGTAAATTTGTAACTTCACTTCAGCCCCTGATTGGTTAGCCTTCTGCAACCAGACTGGTTGTTGAGAAATGCCTAACCTTGTTTTTACTTTAACTCGTTACTTTGAATTTTGTCCTGCTTGTGTCTTTCATCACCTGGCCTTGCTTCTCATATAAATGAGACTCTCTCTAGCTAGGAAGGTGGGACAAACTCCAATTAACCCCTTAATTTACAAGACACTGAGGGCTTCTCACCCAACCCCTCTTCCTAAGGACTTGGCCTGGGTAAGCAGATCCTCAGCATTTCAAAGGAGCCCAATTAACTGATAAGGTACTAACACCAACAATGTATGAAGTTCCCAGGATTTTTCTTCAAGAGATAACAACATAAAACCTTGAGTTCATGTCTGGCATAGACCCTATATCTAATTATAATGAAAGATTTAGAAGCTTGCACCTGGTACCGTTGCTCTTCTTGTAACGATTTGTCTTTTAAGTTGTTTATCACTCTGTAACCATTTTGCTTCTTTTGATTCTTGCATGTTTTTACTTCTGTAGAATTATTACATTTGAGTCCCCCTCCCTTTCCTAAACCTAGGTATAAAAGTTAATTGAGTCCCTTCCTCGTGGCCGACAGAATTTTGAGCATTAGCTGTCTCTTTGGCCACCGGCTTAATAAAGGACTCTTAATTCGTCTCAAAGTGTGGCATTTTCTTAACTTGCCTGGGTACAACAGTTGGCCACTCCCTCATTTAGATAAGGTGTAACCAAGTAACCAATGGAAAACCTCCAGAAAGTATTCTGAAACCAGTGTTTTCTTTTTTTGGGTCTCGCTCTGTCGCCCAGGCTGGAGTGCAGTGGCGCGATCTCAGCTCACTGCAAGCTCCGCCTCCCGGGTTCACGCCATTCTCCTGCCTCAGCCTCCTGAGTAGCTGGGACTACAGGCCCCCGCCACCACGCCTGGCTAATTTTTTGTATTTTTGGTAGAGATGGGGTTTCACCGCGTTAGCTGGGATGGTCTCGATCTCCTGACCTCGTGATTCGCCCGCCTCGGCCTCCCAAAGTGCTGGGAATACAGGCTTGAGCCACTGCGCCCGGCCGAAACCAGTCGTCTTGAGCCATTTGTTCGAGCCCACTCTCACTCTGTGGAGTGTACTTTCATTTTCATAAGTCTGTGTTTTTGTTGCTTCATTCTTCCATTGCTTTTCTATGTGTTTTGCCCAATTCTTTGTTCAAAATGCCAAGAGGGGGACCACTCATTGTCAAAACCCTCCAATGGTAATAATGAGAGACTACAATGCAATCCGAATGAAGAGAGACTGGCTTGTATTGGTTTCCTATTGGTGTCATAAAAATTAACAAATCTTATTGGCTTAAACAACACAAATTTAATATCTTATAGTTCTGCAAGTTAGAAGACTAACACAGTTCTCACTGTGCTAAAATGATGATGTTCATGGGCTGCAGAGCAGTCTAGAGGCTCCAGTTGGCAATCTCTTTCCTTCTTACAATTAAAGGCCATTCACACTTTTTGGCCGGTGGCCTCTTCCTCCATCTTTAAAACTAGCAATATTGCGTCTCTCTGACCCTTCTTCCATGTAGTCATGCCTCCCTCTCAGACCTGGCCTGGAAAGGTTCTCTGCTTAATCATGTGATTAAGTTCGGCCTACCTTTTACCATGTAATGATTATTAAATATTATTATTAAATAATTAAATATTAATTCACAGATTCTATAGATTAAGACGTGGGCATTTTGGGGGGACTGTTATTCTATTTACCACAAGCAACAAACATTTTCATACAGTAAATATGAGATTAACATTCTAAATTGAGATATAAATTTGTCTTCTCATGTTCTATGGAAATCTTCTCTCTATATTTGAGTCAAATCTCAATGTCCACTCTTCTATCCTGGTTTCTTCAGTTCCCATCAACTGAAATCCCTCCTTGTCCAAAACACTTGCTGCTACATATCATCAGATGCTTACTGTATTCCTTTCTTCCTCTATGAATTATTTTTTAAATAATCTCAGGTCTATGGCCCTCAATCCTGTCTCATTCTGGTTGAGAAAAAAGTAAGAGCTTCCACTAGACTACAGAATGCTTTGGAGGTAGAAAAATGAATAGAAAAAAACAAACTTCTCAAAATGCTTTGGAGATAGAAAAAAAGTAATAGACACTTCCTCACTTTTAACTTGGATCAGTGATGAAATACGTCATTTGCTATATGAGCGATTTAAACTTCTTCCCACAAGTATTTCAATGGAACCTCCTTTTTAGCTTTGGTATCTAGTTTACATTTTCTATTTTATTTATATTAACTTATTAGTATATTAATTTGATATGTAAGATTATATGGCATTTTTATAGCACATTTGACTTGTAGATTAAGAAATATGACTATGACACATTACCAGCTATTTGAACATAGGCCAGTTATAAATATTTAAACTGACTCATTCTGTCTTTGTAACATAGTTGACCATGCCTGCTCCTTTACTTCAAATATTGGTTTTGATAATCAGATAATTGTATAACATATTTGAAATTATTAGAAAACTTAATCAACTAGTTTAAAATAATACTGAAAAATAATTATAATTACAACTACAGTTTAAAGTTGAAAAACAAGACAAAAAGACATATTTTAATAACAGCTTTATGCTTTGTATTTTTTTCTTGTAAATGGTATATTTATAGACATGCTGCGTGCTGTTAACTGTGATTCCTAATATTAGGAAGCTTTTTTCTTTTTTTTTTTTTTTAACACAATTTCCCTGTTCTTATTGTTAAGTAAAAGAAATCTTTAGTTTGACAAGTTCATTATTTCAGTAGGAAAGCAAGGTGTGTACACATGGAAATTATACATAAAAAAGTACATAAATGAACTGAAAAAATATGAAAAGAACACAATTAGTATGAATAGAATTTGAGTATTATTTTCTATAATTTACTGAATTTTTCAAGAAATGTTAAAAAAGTTAAGAAGTCAAATATCTTTTCTAACAGTGACCATTTATTAAGCACTTTTATATAATAGGTAAATTATATATTAAAACCATATAACAATTACTGAGACACAACTAGCCTATGATTAAAATATTGTTGACTCTATTTTACAGATGAAAAAACTGAGACTCAGAGATTAAGTAATATCTTTGAGGCTACATGGGTATTCAATGATCATATCAAAATTTAAATCCCAGTCAGCTTAAATGTTGAAGCTTCTGACCTTGGGTGCTCTGCTTCATGAAGAGGTCTGTAAAGAAATGATGTGATTTAATTTAAAAGTGTGGAGACTGCCATTTGAGACCCTTCAATGCTACACCAAAATTAGACACACTGTTCAACATTTTTTTCTGAGCAAATTTGACTGTGTTTTATAGTAGGAAAATTTTATTAAATGCTTATAATGTTTTGCTAAATGCTAGAATTATGGCAATAAATTTTCTTTAATATTGATGTGATTATGTTTAAAAATAGGTAATTTGCTTGTTTTTTAAAAGTCAACAAAAATGCCTCTCAAAAATAAGCAGTAATTATACAAGTAGATGGAATATGGGGAAAAATAACTCTTACATTGCTAGGACTTAACCCACAAAGGGGTGGAAGAGCTACTATTTAATTTATATTTGATTTTTTGTTTTTGATATAGTATTCATTTATACTATAAACTGTAATAGAAGTTATCACTTACTTTGGTGGACTTTGCAGTAAATAAACTTCTAGAGGACACACTTCAAATTTAAATTTCAACTCTGACTTAAAGTCATCAGATAATTCACATTCCAGAAGTCTGCGTTTATGGTTTGATGTCTTCAATATATTTTACGTTAACTAAAATTACACATTGAGTTATATTAGTGTTTTAGTTATTATAATATTTGGCATCTAAACATATTTTTAAACTTTGTAATATAATTGTTGAATTTCAAAAATTGTACCCTTGAGCACTTCCTGATTTGAACATAATGCCATTTCTTGATTAAAATGATTTGAAAATTTCCCAAACTCTCAGAGTGAAACACAAAATTATTATTACGATTCAAAAGACCCTCCAGGATAAGACTCCAGGATACCTCTTCAGCCCTATGTGTTCTTGGTGTCTCTAATCCAGCTATACATGTTTTTATTTAATTACATGAACTTTCCAAGCACTTTCTTTCCTCAAGGTATTTGTGTGCATAATTTCTCTGATTAGAATACTTTTTTCTGTATATGTAACTATGTAACTATTTCTTACCATAAAGCTCTCAGCCTCAACATAGCATCATTCTCACACAAAATTTAATATTCGTATGTTAATTCTGACTTTCACATCATAATTGCACTTCATATCAAGTGCTTGATATGAAGGCCAGGCACAGTGGCTCACATGTGTAATCTCAGCACTTTGGGAGGCCAAGACAGGAGGATCACTTGAGCCCAGGGATTCAAGGCCAGCCTGGGCAACATAGCAGGTCCCTGTCTCTACCAAAAAAAAAAAAAAAAAAAAAACTGTTGGGTGTGGTAGTGTGGGCCTGTAGTCACAATTACTTGGGAGGCTTAAGTGGAAGGATCTCCTGAGCCTTGGAGGTCGAGGCTGTAGTGAGCTGTGATTGTGCCATTGCACCCAGCCTGGGTGACAGAGAGAGACCCTGTATCAAACAAAATGTGCCTCATATGAGCCAGTTATCCTTAATAGGGCAGAGATACAGCAGTGAACAAAATTGTCCAATATCCTTTATCTATAGATTTGATCCTAGATACTGTATTTCAGAGTGGCCAGCTCTGGTGATAATAAATTGGTAGGCTGATTCTATTTTCATAAATATTTTGATGGCATTCCTGCAAGAGTTTTGTTTACTAATGATCTTAACCATAATGTAAGAAATTTACTCAGAGTAATTTGCTTAGAGAAAGTCATTTGTATAATTTATTATATTATTAGTAGTCTAAGGCAAAGACCATTTGATCTTGGAAGAATAAGTTGGTTAATTTTACAATTATTGAGACCTGGAGGAAATAGTGAGATTCCCACAGTCATATCTTCATACATATGAGATTCAGGTTTCCAGACACTGACTCTATGAACTTTCATTTTGTGAACTTCCTTTTGCTGTGTACTTAATTATTAAAGTAGTTATCTTTATGATTAGTCTTATAATTCACTCTATTATCATTATTGTGGTTATAAATTACTGTTAACAATCACTGTTACAATATTGCTTATAGTTCCAGGGAGCAGTCATTACTATTTACAACCCTTATTTAAACTACCTGTATATCTTCTCTATGAAACTGTAGGGTTAATTAGTTCCACAAACTAATTGACAATTTTATCTGTTCCAAAAAGTGTCTCCTTCATGCTTCTGAAGTGTACATGTATGGGTGTTGATAGGGATTGGTGGAAGCAGAGACTAGGTTGCTATTATTGTGTGCTGAGACTTAATGAACAAGTTTAGGCTCACATTCACTTTATCTATTTTATGAGATGAGACTTCATACTGATCCTATTTAAATTTTTATATTTATTACTCTAAAATAACATTTTTAGTCTATGAGCATATATGTTCTGTAATCACTTTGATTTATTCTCTTAGCTTTTTTTGTTCATATATGCCTTTATGCAGGTGTGTTAACTACATACTAATTCAGCCTTAGGTACAGATTAATTAATCTACTCATTTATTTATTCGACAAATATTCATTGGATGTTGACTACATACTTGGCACTAGAGATTAAAATTCTTCAAGGACTATGACTTCAAAGAATTTGTATTTAATAGAAAACACAGAAGAGTAAAAAAAGAAGAAAGAAAAAGAAACCCAAAAATGTCACAGTAGAGTCAAATACAGTGTGTTATGAAAGCATAATAATAGGACAAAATAAAATTTTGCTTGGGAATGTTATAAAAGGGTTTCTGTAACAGGGGGAAACTGAGTTGTGTCTTGAGGTGTGAACAGGAGTTAACCTTTTGAAGATATGATAAAGTGTTTCCAGCAGAAGAAAGAGGACATTCTAAAGTACAAAGATGTAACCACATTATAAGCCCCACCTTAAAAAGTGTGCTTTGTAACTGGACCAGAAAATGTATATCATTAAATAATTAATTAGAGCTGGAAAGAAAGAATGAGTAAAAATTATAGACTTGTGAAAACTACCATAAGAAATTTTGATTTAATGTATCCAGTGGAAACCTTCCCTAGCTAAATATTTTAATTCCAGAGATTAAGTTGTGTTTTCTGTGAAACCAGCAGCCATTATACAGAAATGCTATCAACTCCCTGCCAATAACAACAACAACAACAAATATCTGTTTTCAACACCATAATGTACTATTTCATTTTACACGATGAGAAATGCCTTAGCCTCTGCCCAAGTTAATCCATTTTTTGAACTCTTACTTTTCTTCATACCTCCTAGTGACCTTGTTCCTTTCTGCAATACATCAACCCTTCCTAGCTACTGGATCATTCTCATCTCATCAAATTTACTACTTAAGATAAACAAATAAGCAAATAGATAAATGTGAGAGAGAAAACAATCATTCTTGACAAAATTTCTACAGAAATACATGGATGGAGTTCTTGGGATATGCACAACTGAAAATATTTATTGGTCCTCCTTTTCTGCCTGCTGGCATGATGGGGGCATAAATAAATTTTTAGCAAAGGTCAAAAGGCAGAATACAATCTAAATAATACAACCTTATATATCATGACAAACATTGTTGATAATTGGTAATTGTTAAATTATCAATTTAACAGATAATCGATGTGTTACCCTCTATCATTTGGGTCAAAACTCTGATTATATCCTTCTTAGAACACATGAACAATTTCAGAATTACATGTCAAATAATAGAGTTGTGCTATCTGTAAAATTCAGAGTTGTAAATTATTAAATAGAAAAGTGCAGTATTAATTTACTCTTTGAAAACTAAGGAAAGAAAAAAAGTTAAATTAACCAAAGTTTAAATGAGATGTTAGTTCATTAGAAAATAAAAAATAAAATCATTTAAAAGTTTTAAATAAATAACAAAAAACAGGAGAATGCATATATAAGTATAGTATGAATAAGAAAAGTAAATAGTTCTATTTCTGATTTTATTAAATGTTCAGTTGTGACAAAAATGCAAAGCTGGTTTGAGCTTGGGTAAGAGGAAATTTTTCAGAGCAGGTTATTTTCCTCCATTATGGAATGAAACCAAAGCCCAGGATTGAAATTGTGAGGAAGTATCCAATGTTCACAGACTAGAACTTCATAATTATAGTTATTATACATTCATATATGTGACATATATATTACATATGATATATATAATACATCATGATATATTGTTACATCATATATGTCACATATTTATATGTCATACATATGAATATACATCAATATATGTATATCTATGATATATCATATATTCATATACCTGATATAGCATATATATTCATATAGAAGTGCATTATATATTATACACACATAAATGTATTCATATATATGTGTGTGTGTGTGCGTGCATGTGTGTGTATGCTCAAACATACATACTATTTTATAGTGGTAAAAATACATAACATATACATTCTATCTTATTGTGGTAAATATATATAACATAAACTTTCTCTCTTAGAAAATGTTAAGTGTACAGTATAGTATTGTCAACTATGTATTCATTGTTGAAAACAGATCTCTAGAACTCTTACATCTTGCATGACTGAAATTCTATATTCATTGTACAACTCCCCATTTCCCCCTCCTAATGCACTCCTGGCAATCAACCTTCTATTTTCTGTTTCTTTGAGCTTAATTACCTCAGATATCTCATATAAGTAGAATCCTGCAATATTTGTCATTTTGTCATTGGTCAGGTTTCTTCTATATTGTATCATTTATCACCATTTCATTTTTTTAAGGCTAAGTAATATTCCATTGAATGTATATACCACATTTTCTTCATTTATTTATTCTTAGATGGACATTTGGTTTGTTTCTAAACCTTGGCTATTATGAATAACACTGCAATGAATGTGGCCATGCAAATATTTCTTAGAGATTCTGTATTTGATTATTTTGGAGGTATACCCAGAAATAGGATGGCTGAATAATATGGTAGTTCTCTTAATATGGTAATCTCCTAAGGAATCTCCATACTCTTTTTGCATTGTGGCTACACCATTTTACAATCACATCAACAGTGAACAAGGGGTCCAATATCTCCATATCTTTGCCACATTTATTTTTTTCCCTTTTTATGATAGGGGGCATCCTAATAATGTGAGGTAGTATCTCCTGGTGGTTTTGATTTGCATTTTTATAATGATTAGTGATTTTGCACATCTTTTTATGTGCCTGTTGACTGTTTATCTTCTTTAAGTAAATGTCTAGTAATTTTTGAGTTTTTTTGTTATTGATTTGTGGGTGTTTCTTATATATAATAGATATTAACTCTTTATCTGATATATGGTTTGCAAATATTTTCTTCTGTTTCATGATTGCCCTTTTAACTCTCTTGTTTATCTTGCTGTGCAGAAGTTTTAAAATTTGATACAATCACATTTGTCTATTTTTGCTTTTGTTGTTTATGCTTTTGGTATCATATCCAAAAAAATCACCATTCTAATGTCATAATTAATTTTCACTTTGTTTTCTTTTAGGAGTTTTATAGTCCAGGTCTTACAGTTAGGCCTTTAATTTATTTTTAATTTGTATAAACAGAGTAAGATAAAGGTACATCTTCATTCTTTTCCATTGTGTATATCAAGTTTTCTTAACACCATTTGTTGAAGAGACTATCCTTTCCTCATTGCATCATTGTAGCACCTTTGTCAAAAATCATTTGACTATATGAGTGAAGGTTAAGTTTTGGGCTCTCTAACCCATTCCATTGATGGATGGTCTTTATACCAGCATCATACTGTTATGATGGCTATTACTTTGCAATATGTTTTAAACCTGGCAGTGTGGGGCCTGAAGCTTTGCTCTTTCTCAAGATTCTTACTGCTATGTAAAGTTCCCAAGGATTCCATATAAATTTTTGGATGTTTGTCCTATTTCTGCCAAGACTGCCATTGGGATTTTGATATGGATTGCACTGAATCTGTAGATTGCTTTAGGTAATATGGACATTTTAACAATATTATTTATCTTAATCCATAAACATAGGATATCTTTTTATTCTTTTTTGCATTCTTTAATTTCTTTCAGCATTGTTTATAGTTTTCCGTACACAAATCTCTCACCTGCTCAATTTTATTCCTCAGTATTTTATTATCTTTGATGCTATTCTAAATCAGTTTTTTAAATTATTTTCAGATTGCTCTTTGCTGGTGTATGTAAATGTATTTTTGGATGTTAATTTTATATGATGCCACTTTACAAAATTTATTATTTCTAACTGTATTTTTGCATGAAATACTTTGGATGTTCCACATACAAAATCATG